>NT_187614.1:639349-959024 GCF_000001405.40 Homo sapiens | reverse complement strand
GCCCATGTGGGGCAGGAGTCAGGCCCTGATGCAGGCAAACAGATCTGGAGACGTGTGGGTAGATGACAGGAAGATGGCAGCTACTGGGGCTGCCCTCCATCTCCCAACTGTCCTGGGAGCCAAGGCCAAGGGCCCTGCTCCTGCAGACTCTGAGGCACAGCCCAGCTGTGGCTATGATGGCAATGCTTGGGCCAGCATAACCCTCCTTCAACCCGAGAGCCCCTCTGCTGGCCCCCTTGCAGAAGAAGTTACTCTCCCAATCTTAAGCAAGTCCTTAGCGCTCAAATTCTGCGGGTCTAGCTTAAAGCCCTCCCGCTGCAGCTTAAGTTCAACTCCAGCGTAAGAGTGTCGGAGCTCAAGGCCCCAGAATAGGTGCTACCAGGAGAGATGCCAGCTTCATGGTGATCCCAGCTCAGGAGCCTGGCCTGCTGGAAGGTACCTACAGCAGCACTCCCTCAAGAGAGGCGCTGGGCCCACCTCCACCACATTGAAGCTAAGTTGGGTGTGGGGATTTGCTCAAGATTCCACAGGGGTGGATTTGGAAAGGGTCTCGACTCCTCAAGCCACACGGCTTCCCCTGACAGCATCCGACCCCTGGTTCCTAGTAGAGTGGGGTGGGCCCCTAGGGGACCTGAACACAAGAGGTTGACCCCTGCCACAGCCCACACACAGGGGGTTGAAGAGGGTTTGGGTGTGGTTCTGGGAAAGAGGAGGGGGATGAGGACATGAGCCCGCCCTGGCCACCCCACACTACCCTCCACGCCCCCAACAGCACAGGGTGGGACACCCAACAAGCTGGCCACACCCCACCTGCCACCCTGCCTGGCTGCCTCTTCTCACCACTTGAGCCCCGGGTGGCCTACTTTCCTCCGCCTCCTCCCGCACACCGTTTCCTTCCGTCCAATACATTTGCTGGGGGGACGTCCTCACTTAGCTCAACACTGAGGTGTGGTGGTGACAAAAAACCACAAAACCTTAGGGAGCTGGCGGGCTGGCGAGGGAGGGGCGAAAGTGGCCGACCGCCAGCAAGTAACCCCACCAGTGGCTCCATCAAGGGCAGACAGGACTCGGAGAGGAAGAAGTGGCGCCGCAGGGGCTCCCCTGTCCCCGTCCTCCGTCCCAGCGTGGCTGTCCCTTGACCCCGCTGACCGCCCAGCCCCCTACGAGCTGGCCTCGCGTCCACAGCCCCGCAGGCCGCCCTGCGGCGAGCGCATGCGCGCTGGGGCCCTCCGGGCGGGGGTGCGCGGGTGGGGCGGGGTCGCACTGGCGGCCTCCGGAGACTGTGCACAGCGCGCCCGGCGTGCACCACGCACCGGGCCTGCCCCCCGGATGTTAAGTGCAGGGCCCACGCTTAAGTAGCAATTAAGGCTGCCAGGGAAGAAAGAGAAGACCAAACCGCCTGTTTATTTCCGTCCCTGACCTCCCCCATCACACACACCTCTTAGTTGGAAGAAAAGAGGGAAGGAGTGAGAGAGAAAGGAAAAAAAAAAAAGAGTAAACCAAACCTCACTGCAATTAGGAGTGCGGGCTGGGGAAAAAAAGATACGCATTAAATGGATGTTTCTGCACAAAAACCCCAGGCTGACAACATCTCTGGCCTTGTAAGGGGGAAATGACTGTGCCTCGGTGTTTACATAGCCGAAATCAGGGGGAATTATGCTGTCATACTGACAACTGTAGGAGGACAATTTTAAAATTACACCGTTCAACACCTTTAATGATTTGTAACAGAAGAGGTGTGGCTACTCCTATTAAATGTGTTGCCAAATCAATAAAAGGGATAATTGGAGTTGTTAGAGCAAATTATAGCAGCGTCTCTTCTGTTGCTGTACAATGTTCCCTTGTAAACTGCTATTACAGGCAGCGCCGTATTTCTCTCTTATTTGGCCGCTTTGTAATGAGTTGGCATTTTGCAGCATAATAGTTCCACTTTCTTTTATGGAGCTCTCACTTTAACTTTTTCTCCTTTGTGCAGCCTATAATTTCCTTGCCCTCCCTGCCTCCCTGCCTGTTTTCAGAGGTGGCCACACTGCCTGTCAGCAGCCTCTGGGTGATACTATATTATTTCACATTATTATCAGGCCTTTTCAATCGGCAGTCAGATGGGGTTGAGGGGTAGATGGGTCTGAGGGGATGGGGATACAGAAATGAGGGAAAGAGGAGACAGGGCCAGGAGGAGAACTAAAAAAATTTACAGAAATAGAAAGGAGAGGGTACAAGGGGACACGAGGTTGGCCTTGCTCCCAGGGGTGGGGGTCTGGCCCTTTCAACACAGGACTTTCAAGAGCCTTCAGAGCAGAGATTCTAGCTGTTGGTTTAGCTGTTGGGGTGAGGGGGTGTATAGTGCCCTGCCAGACCCCAGATTCACTCTCAGCACCCCAGAACCTCTGACTCTCCGTGCTCATAAAAACAAAACGGGCCGGGCACAGTGGCTCACGCCTGTAATCCCAACACTTTGGGAGGCTGAGGCTGGTGGATCACCTGAGGTCAGGAGCTCAAGACCAGCCTGGCCAACGTGGTGAAACCCCGTCTCTACTAAAAACACAAAAATTAGCCAGTCGTAGTGGCATGCACCTGTAGTCCCAGCTACTCGGGACGCTGAGGCAGGAGAATCACTTGAACCCAGGAAGCAGAGGTTGCAGTGAGCCGAGATTGTGCCACTGCACTCCAGCCTGGACGACAAAGCAAGGACTCCATCTCAAAAACAAAAAACAAAAAAACTGATAAACAGCTCAAAACTAAGAAGCTGTTGATTCTCTCCGTTCCCTCAGGCACCAAGAGCTTAGGCAGAGCCACAGGAAGGGTGTGGGGCTGCACCTCTGGGAGCATCTTGGGACTCCCAGATGGATGGATCTTAGGGGATGGACAAGACATTCCCACTGCAGACAAAGCCTAAAGCCACTGGGAATGCTGAGGCACCGTGGTCCTGGCTGAGGCAGGTGATGAAGACTATCATAGGCCTGTTCCTGGTAATGTATCAGCTGCTCTAAACAGAGCACTGGGCCAGGAGTCCAGAAGCCTGGTTCCAGACTTGAAGGAGCCTCCTCGCCTCACCCACCTTCAGGGCTTGCCCCTGACTGGAAAGGACAGAACCCTTGGGCAGCTGGAGAATAATCTGGCTGTGTATATCATTCAGTTCCTGAGACAGCAATAAAAGCCCGGGCCCAGACAAACTTCACTCAGTCAGTCCCTGTGCTGGGCTGTAAGACAATCAATCTGAATTACCAAGAGGTCTCAATGAGAGACAATTGGAAAAGAAATGCCATTTTATTACTTCCATGGAGCTGCCATCCCTGGAACCCATCTGCTGCCAAGCAGCGCAGCAGCAGGACCCGCCACGATGAGCAGATAAGACTTGATGGTGGACAAATAAGATTCATTTGCAATGAGCAGCAGCAATTTGCTTGCCAACAATGAGCAAAGCCCTAATTCTCTTTGGTAGGTTCCTTGTGGCCTTTTGAGTGTCCTCTTTTTTCCATCCTTCATGATTCAAGGTAACTTTTTCCCAAGGGGGAAAATGAAGGTCAACCTGCCTGAGTGCAACCAGAGGAAGTTTGGGATTACTGAGTTTCAGTGAATACCATTTAGCATGTGACAGATTTCCAGGTACCAGTCACCAGCTTCTTAATTTAAACAATAATCAGTCCCATAAAGTCCCAGCAAAATGAAAACATATGAACAGTTCCATAGCATCTGCTTTTAAAAGGAGCTGACATTTTTCTTTATACTAGTCTATGCCAACAATGCTGCAATTCAACCAATAGTTAACTGTCAATCCCACCAATGTGTCTCCTCTGTTCCAAGCACTGTACTGAGGTGCTGGGATCCAGTGGAAAATGAAACACCATTGCTGCTCTCCTGGAGCTGACATTCTGATGTCCATCCGATAATAATAACAACGACGATAGTCATAACACAGCAATCCTTACACTAGAATTGTGTAAAAGCAACAGCAAAATGTTTTCACTCATCATCTCATCAGAGGCATTGGGGTACGGTGAAAAGAGCATTGAAGAATCAGGAAATGTGGCTTCTAGCTCCAGGTCTGCAACCTGAGGGCACCTTCCCTCTCAGAGCCTCAGTTTCTTAATTTGTAAACTGGAGGTGTACATGTTAGTCTGTTCTCACACTGCTATAAAGAACTACCTGAGACTGGGTAATTTATAGAGAGGTTTAATTGACTCACAGTTCTGTAGGCTATACATGAAGCATAACTGGGAGGCCTCAGGAAACTTACATTCATGGAGGAAGGTGAAATGGAAGCAGGCAAATGGCAGAGCAGAAGAAAGAGAGCAAAGGAGGAAGTGTTACACACTTTTTTTTTTTTTAGACGGAGTCTCGCTCTGTCGCCCAGGCTGAAGTGCAATGATGCAATCTCAGCTCACTGCAACCTCTGCCTCCCGGTTTCAAGCGATTCTCCTGCCTTAGCCTCCTGAGTAGCTGGGATTACAGGTGCATGCCACCACGCCAGGCTAATTTTTGTATTTTTAGTAGAGACAGGGTTTCACCACGTTGGTCAGGCTGGTCTCGAACTGCTGACCTCGTGATCCACCCGCCTTGGCCTCCCAAAGTGCTGGGATTACAGGCGTGAGCCACCGCACCCGGCCTGGAAGTGCTACACACTTCTAAACAACCAGGTCTCATGAGAACTCTACCACGAGACAGCACTAATGGTGCTAAACCACTAGAAACCGCCCTCATGATCCAATCACCTCCCACCAGGCCCCTCCTTCAACATGTGGAGATTACAACTTGACATGAGATTTGGGTGGGGACACACCATATCAGTGTATTTACTTATTCAACAAATATGCACTGTGGATCTACTATGTGTCAGGCACTACATTAGGCACTAGAGATGCAAAATGAGCAAGACAAGTGTAGGGTTTGCTCCTATGGATCTTACCGTCTAGTAGCAGAGACAGACATCAATCAAACAATCAGCATATAATTACAGAATATAAGATAAATGCTGGGAAGGAGAAGACACGAGCTTTTGTAATAGCTAAAACCTGGAAACAACTCACATGCCCAAAAGAGACCAGAGTGGCTGAAGTACAAGGGACAGAATGATCTTAGATGAAGCTGGAGAGGCAGGCAGGAGTCCTGGGAAAGCAGGAACAGGTCAAGGATTTGGCCCTTGATCCAAAGGGCAAGGGAAAGCTATAGAAGGGTTTTAAGCAGGAGAGCAACAGGACCAAAATGCTATGTTAGGAATACTCTTTGCTGCAGCTGTACTGGACAGAAGGGATTGGAGAGGCCCAGAGCAGGAAGAGCGAGGTTGGGTAGGAGTTCTGCACAGTGACCCATGAGAGCATAACAGTGGCTTGCAATAAACAAATGAAAGGATGCTCAACATCATTTATCATCAGAGAAACGCAAGGTACAACCTCCATGAGATTCTACTACAGACCCATCAGAGTGGTTAAATTTTACAAGACTGACCGAGACTACCAAGAAGGGTTGATGAGGTTGTGAAGCACCCGAAACTCACATACACTGCAGGGGGGAATGTAAATCAATGTAACTACTTTGGAAAAAAATATTTGGTAGTACCTTTTAAAGCTAAAAATAAATGTACTCTATGACCTAGCATAATGTCCGCTAAAAGACACAAGCTTTATTTGTAATAGCTGAAAGCTGGAAACAACTCAAATGTCCACCAGTTATAGAATGAACAAATAAATTATGGTCTATTCACATAATGGAACATTATGCAGCAGTTAAAAAGAACAAACGACTCGATTGATGCATGCTACATGGGTGAATCTCACAACACAAGGGAGGACACGCTGCATGGTGCTATTTATATGAAGTTCAAAAACAGGCAGAAGGAATCTGTAAGAATAGCAGTCAGGATAGCTGTTATCCTTGGGAGGGATAATGGCTGTAGGGAGGTAGAGGAAGCCTGCTATAAAGCTGGGAATGTATAGCTTGATCTCAGCAGTGGTTACCTGGGTGTAAAACTTCATCCAGCTGTATGCTTAGGATTTGTGCACTTCACTAAATATAAACTATACCTTAGAAAACCTTAATAAAAAAAATTGACAGTGGCTTGGACTAGGAAGATGGCAGAGGTGATGGAGAGATACAAAATAGATTTGAAAAGGTAAAACAATGCTTGCCTACCTTGCCTCAGCAGAGCGTAGTAAGGATGGAATGAGGTAATGTACAGGAAAGGCTGATGCCCCAGTGGCTTTCTTGCTGTGCATATTCCAACTAAAACAAAAATGGCTGGCTGTGGTGGCTCATGCCTGTAATCCCAGCACTTTGGGGGGCCAAGGTGGGAGGATTGGCTGAGCCCAGGAGTCTGAGATCAGCTTGGGCAACATACCAAGAACCCATCTCTACAAAAAACAAACAAAAAAACCCACAAAAATTAGCCAGGCGTGGTGGCATATGCCTGTAGTCCCAGCTACTTGGGAGGCTGAGGTGGAACCAGGAAGTTGAGACTGCAGTGAGCTATGATGGTAGCATTGCAGGTCAGCTTGGGTGGCAGAGTGAGACCCTGTCTCTGAAATAATAATAAACTGGCCGGGTACCTTGGCTCACGTCTGTAATTCCAGCACTTTGGGAGGCCGAGGTGGGTGGATCACTTGAGGTCAGGAGTTCGAGACCAGCCTGGCCAAAATGGTGAAACCTAAGTGGTTTCACTAAATGGTCTCTACTAAAAATACAAAAAAAATTTATCTGGGCATGGTGGCGGGCACCTGTAATCCCAGCTACTTGGCAGGCTGAGGCAGGAGAATTGTTTGAACCTGGGAGGTGGAAGTTGTAGTGAGCCGAGATCGTGTCACTGCACTCCAGCCTGGGCAAGAGAGGGAGACTCTGTCTCAAAAATATAAAATAAAATAAAATAAAATAAACAAAACAAAAACAAAAACAAAAATTCCAGGCTCAGAGCTGATTTATTATGAACAGCCCCGCAATTAACACTAACCTCACCACGCCCCAAAAGAAGAGCATAATGAAAGTGTTTGCCGGGAATATGGGCTATCTGGCTTTAAAGAAGGCGTAGGGTCATCCAGGAGGCCCAGTACCAGCGTCCTGACTGGCTCGGCTGAAGGACACCCCGCGCTTACTGGTAGTAAAGAGGCCACTTGCTTTCCAGCTGCAGTGTAACCACTGGTGGTAGCCCCCAGGTCCCTCTTTATCCTAATTGCATTGAATCACAGCATTTTCATGGGATAACGGGATTTCCACGGGTGACACGGGGTTGCAGCTAAGACTGGATGAGGCTGCTGCTAGTGAAATAGGATGACAGATTCTTAGGGGAAGTCACCAAGAGCTTACCAAGCGCCCTCCCCACAACCATGTGAGGCAGTTATGTCTAACGGAGGGCACCAAGGCTCAGAAAGAGGCAGTGGGTTTCTCAGGCCAGGCTGGTAAGAGCAGAGTGAAAACTGGCACCAGACTTTGCAACTAGAGCACAGTGATGTTCCCACCACATCTCAGCCACCCGGCTGGTCCACTAACGCGGCCCCTCCCTATCCCACCGCCCAAGCTCTCTCTGACAGCATCAACCATGGCAAAGCCAAATTCACTGTCCTTGCCGGGCGGAGGCTCAAATTGGCAGGGTCACTGGTAAGTAACTTCATTCAGCAGACTCCCTTCTTTTTTATCCCCTGGGGGGCCATTTCATGGCTCACTCTTTTTGAAGGTCCCCCAGGGAGCTGTGCTGCTTAGAAGGAGAGAGTCCACCAGGGCACTAACGATGCAGACATAGGCAACTCGTCATATCTGCTCTAAAAGTTTCTCAGGCCAAGATCATTCTTTCCATGGTCAATGGTGTGGAATTCTGGGTCTAAATTAGGTTCCTGGGCCAAGTGCAGTGGTTCACGCCTGTAATCTCAGCACTTTGGGTGGTTGTGGCAGGAGGACAGCTTGAGCCCAGGAGTTTGAGACTAGCCTGGGCAACATAGAGAGACCCCATCCCTTAAAAAAATATATATGTATATGTATATTTATAAATATATATAAATATATATATTTAATTAGGTTCCTGTTTGAGAGCGTAATGGGTCCAAAATACCTTGGGAGGAAGCTCTAAGTTTGCCAACAAGAGGGCCCTCCTTGCCACCTCCACACACAGAAGGGGAGACCTTCCCGGTGGGGAGAACACCTATCAGTCTCCGTAACTTTGGCCTCAGGATGTTTGTCTGCTTTTCTGGGTTCCGAACTCCCAGTACCTCCCTGCCCTCAGTAGGTGGCTTAGAATTCCACACTTCCTTCCGCATGCTCAGAGGCCAGTGCCACCCTGAAATGTGTTTCTCCAGCCGAGCAAATGCCCAGATAGGGGCAGTGTAGTAAAAGTCTCAGTCCGGAGACTCTTATGATAAAACATTTTTTCTTTAATGCAATTTAATTTCCATGCTGAGTCCTTGTGCCACTGGCAGTGGAAAAAAAATTCAGTCTCAGTGATTTTTGAATTTCCTCGGAGTTCTCGTCCTTTCCCTAGACTTCCGTCTAAGTCTGGGAGGGCTTCTGTAGTGCTGGAGGCTGGGTGGGGAGAGTATCACGTGATCGTCCATGTGATCTGTTCACCCAGGTGCCTTCTAAGAGGATCTTCTTTCTTGTCCAAGTGGCAATTTCAGTTCTGTGTCCTTCCAGGTCATGATGGAAGGCACGTTAGGGGGTCTGCTCCTCCTGCTGAGGCACTGGATTCTCCATGAAGCTATCTAGATGCCACCTCTCAGCCACACCCTCTTGGCTCTCAGGGGTCTGCCTGGGCACAGGCCTCATCCTCTGAGGTCCTTTGAGGCAACGATACCGAGGGGTAAAAGGAAGGGATGTTACGAAGGAAGAAAAAAGTCAGTATTTCAAAAATTTCCCACCATAGAAGTGAGATTTAGGAAGCACCTGTGTGTAATAATAAACATTTATTGAACATCTAGAATAAGCCAAGTACTATGCTGGTGTGAATAAATAAAAGAGGGCCGGGCATGGTGGCTCATGCTTGTAATCTCAGCACTTTGGGAGGCTGAGGCAGGTGGATGGCTTGAACTCAGGAGTTCGAGAACAGCCTGGGCAACATAGGGAGACCCCACCTCTACAAAAACAAAAAACAAAGACAGAAAAATTAGCTGGGGGCAATGGCACATGCCTGTGGTCCCAGCTACTTGGGAGGCTGAGGTGAGAAGGCTTGCTTGACCTTGGGAGGTCAAGGCTGCAGTGAGCTATGATCCTGCCACTGTACTCCAGCCTGGGTGACAGAGTGAGACTCTGCCTCAAAAAAAAAAAAAAAAAAAAAAGAAAAAGAAAAGAAAAGAAAGATAAAATAAAAGAGGCCAGCACGGTGGCTCACGCCCATTCCCAGCACTTTGGGAGACCAAGGCAGGAGAACCACTTGAGTCTAGGAGTTTGAGATGAGCCTGAGCAACATAGCAAGTCCTAGTCTCTACAAAAAAAAGAATTTAAAAAAATTAGCTGGGTGTGGTGATACATGCCTGTAATCCCAGCTACTTGGGAGGCTGAGGCAGGAGGATTACTTGAGCCCGGGAGGTCAAGGCTGCAGTGAGCCGTGATCACGCCACTGCACTCAAGCCTGGGTGATCGAGCAAGAGCCTGTCTCGGAAAAAAAAAAAAGTAAAAAAAAGAAGTATTAAAAAAAAGAAATAAAAGAGCCAATGAGGCCAGGCACCATGGCTCATGTCTATAATCCCAGCATTTTGGGAGGGTAAGATTGAGGATCACTTGAGCCCAGGAGTTTGAGACCAACCTGGGTCATAGCGAGACCTCATCTCTACAAAAAATTCAAAAATTAGCCGAGCATGGTAGAGCGTGCCTGTCATCCCGGCTACTCGGGAGGCTGAGGCAGGAGGATCACTTGAGCCCAGGAGGTCGAGGCTGCAGTAAGCTACTGCAGCCTAGGTGACAGAGAAAGACCCTGTCTCAAAAAAAAATCTTTTTTAATAAAAATTAAAAATTAAAAAAAAAACAAAAAACAATGTGCTGAGTAGGAGACTGGAGTGTAAAGGAAAACTGGAAGTTTGGCTGCAGACTGCTGGTCCTAATCACATCTCTGTCGCTCCAGCCCTGTGACCCCAGGCAAATTCCTCCATAAACTCTGAAACTTTAGTTCCTTCATCCATGAAATGGGTTCAACATATGGCTTAAATCCAGTACTATTTTTTAAGAGTGACTTGTACACAGTAGGTGCCTAATAAATGATGTCACTATGCAAAAGGAGAGCTCAGAGGAGGAGTGAGTGGGTTTCAGGTTACAAACAAGCAAAAAAGAAGGACTAAATGATTTTGTAAACTTTAAACATATACTTCAATATAGAGTAAAAAGTAACAACCACCCATAGTCCCACCACCTAGAATTAACCACTATTAGCATCTTGGCACAGCTGGGCATCTCAACCCAGATTTTTTTTTCTAAAATAAAATCATCCTACTGTTTTTGCAAGTATGATCCATACTTATTATAAAGAATTCAAACAATGATTAAAAATTCCAAGCTGAGTGCAAACAAATTCACCCCAAATCCCACCACTTAGATCACTGATGGATTTTGAGCTGGTGGAGTGTTGGGGTGATGATCAGGTCTGTGTAGCAGAGAGATCACTGGCTCTCAATGGAAGAGAGTCCAGGAGAGAGACCAGAGAGGTGGCAAGAAAGGACAAGGACTCACCCTAGGTGGTGGCAGTGGCAAAGAAGAGGATGGACTGGATTTCAGAGACAGCTGGGGCAGACCTTCCCATGGGCATTCGAAACCCCTTCCTTGCTTCAAGCTAAATCCCTAGAAAGCCACATACCTGGATTACATAGGTTGGATTCCTGTAGTATTGCCTCCATTGCGTTTGAGCTTTACCATGGTGCCCTCAGCTTTTATTGAGGGCAGACACAAGAAACAAGCACAGGAAGACCACGGCTGCACTTGCTGTAAATCTGCAGTTGGAGGCTTTGTCTATTATGCTGCTCAGAGTCCCTGTGTGACTGCCTTGTGTGATGATGACCTGCTTGAATGTAGTACCAAGGAACAGTTTGTCTCTTTTAGAAAAAAAAAAAAGTAGCACACATTTTTCTCCCAGATAGTGGAAATTATGTAATCTAATATATTTCCCTTTTTGCCCTGGTTGCCAAGAAGCTCAGAGCCTAAATTCATGTTACACAGGTTCTATGCCTAAACATGTTTACCTCTTTCTCATTGTTTTTCATTTTAATTTCAGTAGCTTTGTTGTAGTTATATGTTTTGAGGAAATCCTTTAGGAAAAGAACTCTCATCTCAGAGGCTGTTGAACAATAGGTATTCAGTAAGTATTTGATAGATGAATAAAGTGGTAAATTAAAAAGACAAATTTTAATTCTGCTTGGCAGCCAAGCAGGGCAGTTCAGAGACAGACACCTCCAGTGGCCGTAGGCACAGCCCACAGGAAATGGGGCATTTGAGGAATTAATGGAACAATCTCTTCTGCACTGAGTGAGCAAGACTTACTCCCGCTCTCTCTAACCCTGAATACTATTCAGAAGACACTGATCCAGTGAAGAGAACAAACAAAAACATGGTATGAGTATATATGTGTGTAACCATTGGAGTTATTCTCAGCAATAACTACACTCTGCCTATCAAATTTCTACTCATCTTGAGAGTGAAAGGCAAGTCACCCTAGATCCCCCAGCCCATAGTTATAATCATCGCCATTGCAGGTATGCAGTGCTTTACAAACTGTATACACACACAGCTTCCCATTCAAGTCTTGCAACAATCCTGCAAAGTGAGTGATATTAGCACCATCCCCATTTCACAGGTGAAAAACTTGGGGCTCTTGAGCTGTATTGTTTCTTAAGGTAATCCGCTAGGCATATGTAGCAGTTGAACACTTGAACTTGACTAGTCCAAATTGAGACGTGCTCTAAGTGCAAAATATAAAACAGATTTCAAAGATAATATCCCTCCCCAAAATGCAAAAATCTCATTAATAATCTTTATACGAATTATGTGCTTATATATTAACATCTTGATATTATTAAGAAAATAAAATACATTCTTACAATTAATTTCACTTGTTTCTTTTTACTTTTTAAAAGAGGGCTACTAGGACATTTGAAATGATATACTAGTGCTACTCCAGAGCAGTGGGTGCATAGGTCGGCAAATGTTTTCCATAAAACATTTCTGTAAAACTGGGGCTGGGCACAGTGGCTCACGCCTGTAATCCCACCACTTTGGGAGGCCAAGGCAGGCAGATTGTTTGAGCTCATGAGTTTGAGACCAACCTAGGCAACATAGTGAAACCCTGTCTCTATAAAAAATACAAAAAATTAGCCAAGCATGGTGGTACATGTCTGTGGTCCCAGCTACTTGAGAGGCTGAGGCGGGAGGATCGCTTGAGCCTGGGAGGCAGAGGTTGCAGTGAGCTGAGATCACGCCTCTGCACTCCAGTCTGGGTGACACAGTCAGACTGTGTCTTAAAAAAAAAAATTTCTGTAAAACCAATTGTAAATATTTTAGGCTTTATTGGCCATACTGTCTCTGTCGCAACTGCTCACCTCTGCCATGGTGCAAGAACAGCCATCGATGATAGTAAACAAATGGGCGTGGCCAGGATCCAATACATTTTATTTACGAAACAGTCAGCAGGCTGAGTCGTAGTTTGCTGATTCTTGCTCTAGAGTCATAGAGAAGCAGCACAGGGCAAGAGCTCAGGATTTGGAGTAAGAGAGGTTTGGATTCTGGCTGTAGCTGTTGCCAACTATGTAACTGGGTAGGTTACTCAGCTACTCTGAACCTCAGGTTTTTTGTCTAAAACATGAGGATAAGTCCAGTAGAAAGTGGGCAGAAAACATGGAGAGACAATTCGTAGAATACAAATGGCCAAGAGAAGTGGAAAATATGTTTAAGTTCCCTGCAAGGGACAATGAAGATTAAGACAATAAAGAGATACATTTACCTTCCAATTGAAAAGTGTTTTTTTTTTTTTAAATTGTAAAGTGTGCAGTTAAATATATGTCCCATACATGGTGAATGGGGATGGAAATCAATGTATCCCTACTAGAAAGCAATTTGGCAATATGGATCAAAATCTTTAAAAATGTATACCCTTTGATCTAGTAATTCCACTTGAAGAAATCTATCCTAAGGAAATAATCAGAGATGTGGACAGAGATTTATGTACAAAGATGTTCACTGTAGCATTATTTATTATATAATAGTGGAAAACTGGAAACAGCCTATATATGTCTAGCAATTAGAATAATGATTAAATATTAACACATCAATTGGATCAATACTAAGCAAATATAAAAATAGCATTTAAAATATTTAATAACATAGGAAAATGTCCCCTTTATAGTGACAAGTGGAGAAAATGGTCCAAGGCCATATATACCAGGCTATGCTAGGAATGGAGGTAGAAAGTACATATGTTGGGCCGGGCATGGTGGCTCACACCTGTAATCCCAGCACTTTGGGAGGCCAAGGCAGGTGGATCACCCGAGGGCAGGAGTTCGAGACTAGCCTGACCAACATGGAGAAACCCCGTCTCTAATAAAAATACAAAATTAGCCAGGTGTGGTGGCGCATGCCTGTAATCCCAGCTACTCGGGAGGCTGAGGCAGGAGAATTGCTTGAACCCGGGAGGCGGAGGTTGCAGTGAGCCGAGATTGCACCATTGCACTCCAGCCTGGGCAACAAGAGCAAAAGTCCGTTTAAAAAGAAAGAAAGAAAGAAAGTACATATATTTGCACAGAGAAAAAGAGTGGCAAAAATGCACCAATATGATGCCAAGTGTTATTTCTGGATGGTGAGATTATGTGTGATATCCATTTTCTTTATTATTTTTTGTGTCTTCTGATGTTCTTCGTTTAACATGTATTACTTTAATCATCAGGAAATTAATATTATAAGAACCTTAAACCCTCAACCCAATCAAGAAATGGGCAAAGCATATGCATCAATGGGTTATAAAAAAAGTAAAGAAGACAGAAAAAAAGGCAAATAAATATAAAGGTCCCCAGTCTCAGTAGTAACCAGGGAAATTAAAACAATGAAGACTTTTTTTTCATATATGAGTTTAGCAAAAATGGAAAAAAATATGCATAATAGCCATTAATGGTAAACAGATCAGGAAATGGGGGTCCTCCCATATGCCTTGGGGGGAGCATGCAGCCTTTTTGAAGGACAGTTTGGCAACAACTAGAAAAATATTAAAGGCACATTCTGTTCCATTCAGTAATTCCACTTCTAGCTGCTGAGCACATGTGCCTGAAAAGCCGGTATTAGAATACCCAAGGAAGCATTGCTCATTGCATTCAATATCAAAAAATCAGAAATAATCCACATGTCCGTCAATGGGTGAATTATGGTAAGCCCATTCTCTGGAATATTAGGTAGAAGTTAAAAGAATGAACTAGGTCTACATATATCAATATGAAAGGAGGGAAATCTGCAGAACAATACAACAGAATGATCACATTTATGAGGAAAAATCTCTCTATACATTGTCATACATATATAAAGGTTCTCGGAAAATTCTACCTCAAAGCTCTTTGAGGGGGAGGAGGAGAGTGTGACTGGGGTGCAGTATAGGGAAATTCTCCCTTGGATTCCATAAGCTTCTCTCTCATGAAGAGCTTTGGGTTAAGAGCTCTAAACCTGGAGACGGATTGCCTGGACTTAAACCATTTTCCTGGCCTCACCATTTATTACGTGACTTCGCAACTGAAAATCTCAGTTTCCTCATCTGGAAAACAGAGGTGACAATAATATTACCCGCCTCAAAAGGACATTGAGAAAATGAGATGAGAGGCTGTGTGCAGTGGCTCACACGTGTAATCCTGGCACTTTGGGAGGCCAAGGCAGGAGGATCACTTGAGGTCAGGAGTTCAAGACCAGCCTGGCCAACATAGTGAAACCCCGTCTCTACTAAAAATATGAAAATTAGCTGAGCGTGGTGATGCACACCTGTAATCCCAGCTACTAGGGAGGCTGAGGCAAGAGAGTCACTGGAGCCCGGAGGGCAGAGGTTGCAGTGAGCTGAGATTGTGCCACTGCATTTCAGCCTAGGCGATAGAAAAAAAAAAAAAGATGAGGTAATGCAAACAAAGCATTTAACACAATGCCTGGCACATAGTAGGCCCTCAAACCTCACTACCAAGACATTTAGTAGTTATTGTCATTATGGTTAGTAACACAGTACTTAAAATGCTCTCATTAAATACTTCTGCAAAAATAAAAATTACAAAAGGGCCAACACATTTATATACACCTAAGTGAGCATGAGAATCCCAAACTTGAAAAAGAATTGTGAAAAGTGGGTAACTGGCACACAGCAGATGACAAGTTTGAGGGTGTCACCTCTGGAGTCAGTCTTGGTCCCGACACAGAATCTTCCACTAGCAAGTTGTGCAAGTTCTGCGCACCTTAACTTCTCTGGACCTCAGAATTTCATTTACAGACCAGTGGGTAATAACAATACCTGTCTTATGGGGTTGTGGAATAATGTTCTTGGAAAAGTGCCTGACACAGAGTAAGCATTAACTATTGTGGCTGATGTTATTTATATTATGAGTAGTGGCGCTACTACTACTACTATTACTAAATGTCTTATCTCCTCCAAGTGGCCTCCAGACTCCTCCAGACCAGCAAAAACACCTCATTGTTGTGAGCCCCCATGAGCCCCTCACCAGTGTCTGACAGATAGTAGGCACTTAGATTTTCACAAGGTTGCTCTCACTGCTTTAGTTGGTATCATTTAAAAAATGGAGCCAGAGGCAGCCTGAAGAAACAGGAAGCCCATGAGCTGTGCAGTCAGTGGCCTTAAATCCCAACCCTGGTTCTTACCACCTGGTGACCTCAGGCTGGCATATCATTGACTGAATCTCCCTGATCCTCAAGATCCTCACCAGTGAGATGGTTTAATAATATTATCTACCTCATAAGGCCATTAAGAAAGACAAATGAGGTAATGTACCTGACACCTCCAGCCCTCTATAGGTGCCCAACAATGTTGCATCCTTAATGATACCCCCTTGCTGACTTAATAGAGATGGCAATGGCATTTGCCTACTAAGCTCTGCTGTTTGGACCACAATTACACATCACTGCACACCTATCGCATGGTATGCCACAACTCAGGCCAAACGCCTAAGAGGAAATAGCCACTTGGAATGCAGACTTTGCAAATTTGTAGAAGAGTGGTAACTCCACAGGGGTTGGGCTGCATGGGCTGGTGGCCGGGTGTGGTGGCTCACGCCCGTAATCCCAGCACTTTGGGAAGCCGAGGCAGGTGGATCACCTGAGGTCAAGAGTTTGGGACTGGCCTAGCCAACATGGTGAAACCCTGTCCCCACTAAAAATACAAAAATTAGCCAGGCGTGGTGGCGGGTGCCTGTAATCCCAGCTACTTGGGAGGCTGAGGTGGGAGAATTGCTTGGACCTGGAAGGCGGAGGTTGCAGTGAGCTGAGATCACGCCATTGCACTCCAGCCTGGGTGACAGAGCAAGACTCCAAGTCAAAAAAAAAAAAAAAAAAAAAAAGGGCGGGTAGGCCTGGGTAGAATCAAAATAATAATAGTAATAATCACAATAGCAACAGCAATAGTGTTTGTACCAGGCACTGAGCTAAGCATCTTACACGGCTCCACTTCTTTATTCTTTACAACATTCCTATAAGGTTGCAGCCCTAATATAATAAGCCCCAATTTACAGATGGGGAAACTGAATCTGAACGCAGGAAAGGAACTCTCTCAAGGTCACAGAGCAGGAAGTGGCAAAGCAAAGACCCTGTTTCTAGAACTCAAGCTCCTAACTTCTCTCGTTGGAGGGGGATAGGACATGTGCACGTGGGCGCACACTCCTGAGTCCTCAGTGAGCAAAGGTAGGTGGGTCTGCAGCACCTCAGGAGTATCCTGCCCCTACTTTGTCTTCTTTGGTGAAGAACAAAGAGGCATCACACAGTACGTCTAGGCAGAGCTGAGGCCCTGAACCCAGGGGTCTGTGCTCCTGGTTCAGCAGGAGCTGCCATTTTCCTGGCTAAACACACAAAAGTGTCTACCCCAATCCTAAAATAATAATGCTAACAATATCTCTACTTTTCTGAATGATTAAACATTTTTACAGTAAAGAAAAAAAACTCTATACAAAAACCAAAATAAAGGCTTCAAAGCGTTAGGGAGCCAGGACTCAAGTATTCACGATCACTAACCAGTCAAAGCAGAAAAGACCCACCTGTGCTGCCCTCTTGGGGCCGGCAGATGGCAGGGCGGGGGCAAGAGGCCAGGAACAGAGAGGTCCCAGTCTGATATAAGAGGTAGCCTTTATTCTCTCAAGACTTGGAGCACACACGTAGGCCCAGTGGTGACCTGGGCATCAGGACCTCTGAACAGCCCCCTCCCCAGGCTTTCCAGACAGAGATGGGTTGGCTGACAGATTTCCTTTCTTGCAAGGTGGACAGGGTCTCGGCTCTAGGCATGAGTGCTCTTGGTATCATTGACAGAGAAGAGAAACTGTGGCCAGTGAGACCTGTTCATCGCTTCCCTTGTTTAATCGCCAGAAGCTGCGCTTTGTGAATGGGCGAGGAACCAGAATCTGACATGTCGTGCAGGAGGGACAATGTGAACTCGAGTGACAAAGCCAGCTTGTGTGTGCACAAGTCCACGTGGCTGTGTGTAAGCACCTATCTGGGAGTATACAAAGGGAAGCTGGTCAGACACTCCCGCGGTAATCTTATAGTTTTTCTTCCAGACCCGAGAGCCGGGGTTTCAGTTTCAGCAAGTGAGAAGGAGTTGGAAGGTGACACTGTGCCTGCATTCAAGGGCGCAATATGCAGCAAGGGAAAGTCTCATGCCCAAGAGTGTCACCAGGAGTGTGTGGCTTTGGGTGCCAGAGCCAGTAGGAGAGGCCACTGCTCCTTTCCTACTTAATCAAACCTCCTGGCATTGACAGAGGTGAATTGGGGGTGGAGAGATCTGCCTCACCATTATCTCTGCTCTCGTGGCACCTTCTCCTCCCCCGACTCCTATCTCTCTCCCTCCTTCTCTCTCCCTCCCTCCATCCCGGCTTTGCTCCCGCCTATGAAAAATCAGCAAATAAAAAGTTACATTAACCCCACCCTGACCTCGCCGACATAATACACTGCAGGCTGATGCGCTGCCTTCAGAGGCTCGCTGAGAACCTGTCACTCTCCAATGTCCCGAGCACAGCCTGGGGAGCATTTACCAGATAATTAATATATTAAATGCATGAAAAATAGTTACACAGACTTCCCCTCCCTGCCCAGGGAAGGGGGGTGGGATGCAAAAAAGACAGATTCAGGCTGTATACCATCAATATAAAAGCATCCCCCGAATAGCCGCCATAAAAACTGTTCATAATTTTATAGCTTCATTCCTGTTGGAGCACCATAAAGGCAAGTCATATTTTTTACACTCAGGATGCCCCATAAAAAAAAAAAAAAAGCGAATGAGAAAACGAGAACTTGGCAGGAGGCGCCTTCACTCTCACCTGAGGGTGAGGGAAAAGAAGGCGTCCCCCACATTTGTCCTCTCTGACCCCCTCCTTCCACCATTTTCTTGGCCCAGCTGTGAATTCTGATGAGTCCCTCAGAATAATTATTAATTGGATGACTTTATGACTTTTTATTTGGCCTTTTTTTCTTTTTGCTGATTCCATATTTGCCTTTTATGAGGATGGAGGTGGGGGTAGAGATGGGATGTCTCTCTGTGTCTAGGCCATTCCACCCCTCTACCTTGCTTCTGGGAGATGGGGGTACAAAGAGTGGAATGAGCAGGGTCTGGTTGGACCACCTGGATCTGTTAGGGTTCAGGTGTTAAGAGGCCCAAACCAGGTGATGGAGAGAAAGGAGGAAGGGCTGGGCAGAATGTCTGTAGGGCCCCTGATCTCCCCACCTCAGCTGGCATGGGATGGGCCCCTCAGGGTTCCCTGCAGAGGCCAGATGTCCCTGCACAGACTGTCACACAAACAGTTCACGATTGGGGAAGGGAACGCAAGATCAGCTACAGACCCAGGCCTGACCCACCCAGGCGGTGAGCAGGGCATCCAGAGCCAGAAGGAAGATTTCCTCTCCTGATCATTCTGTACTGCAGTGCCCCAAGAAGACATGGTAGTAAGATGATCTCTTCCCTGCGACATCCCCAAACGCACCCGCGGCGCGTGCACAGGCACACACACCCCCCCCCCCATGCCTTCAGAGACATCTGACCTGCTCCCGCTGACCTGACCCCAAGAGGAAGCCTTGACCCCCTTCCTGACCCTGGAGTAGGGGATGAGGTGGAGGAAGTGTCCCCTCTCTTGGCAGGGTCAGGCGCGGGCGCAGCCGCTGTGCGAGAAAGTCGCGAACACACTCTCCCGACGCCTCTATGAGGAGCAGCGGACGCATGGGGGAGACAGATACTCGCAGAGACGCGCGGAGGAGGCACCCCACCGCCTCTCATACCCCGGTCGCCTGCCCCACCCACACCTCCAGCCCGGGATGCCGGTGGGCCGAGGGACACGCAGAAGGGCCGGGAGGCTGGATGCCAGCCCAACCCGGGGCGGGGCTGGGGCGCGCGCCTGCGAAAAGGCCGCTGACCGTGGTGCTGAAAAGGCGGGCGGTCTCCAGGCACTGAGAAAAAGCGGGCAGCTGGGCTTCCAGCCTGGCCGGACCGGTCCAGCTTGGCACGCCCAGCCTCCCCGGGTATCTGTCACTCTGATGGGCTTGAGCCGATTTCTTCCCAGCTGAGCTGAACGGTTTGTGCCTCCCCTCTTTCGGGGTTTCTGCAGTCTGCTTGCCTTTACTCGCCCTGCCATCCCTGTAAAGGGTGGAAGCTGCCCCACCTTGGGTACCATGTCTTCCCAATAAGACCATAAGACCAGGGTATCTGCCACTGCAAAGAAGCCCTCCCCGATCACACTGACATCCCCTGAGGCCAAGGGGTCTCTCTTCCCCAGTGGTCTGGGAGCTCCCTGACGGGCAGGCTCTGTTTTCTTCCATCAGATGGGCCTTCTTTAGGCCACCCTGTTCTCTCATCAGACTGAAATCTCTTGAAAGACAGACTCTGTCTCCCCCATTAGACTGGGATTTTACTATGCCAAGTGTTATACATCCCTCTCCATATTTAGGCTCCCATAGAGCAAGAATTTTTCTCTACCATCGAACTGGGAGGCCTTCCAGAACACAGAGGCTGTGTCTCCTCTATCAGACTGGAGTTTCTGCAGGGTAAGGGCCCAGTTTCCCCAACCAGATCAGAAGGCCCCCACCGTGATTGGAAGCTGGATTTCTCCCATAAAACTAAAATGCCTCTCAGACCAGGGGGTTGGAACTCTCATAAGACTGCAGACCTCCCTGGTGGAAGGCACTGTGGTTACTCCATAAGAATGGGAACCCTCCAAGGACAGGGGTTCCAGCACCAGACCAGAAGCCCCTCTCAGATCAGAAACTGAGTCTCTTCCATAAGACTGGGAACCTCAGGTAGGAACATGACTCCTTCATGGGAGTCTGAGGGCCCCTCAAGAGCAGAGGTTCCCCCACTACAATGGAAGCTCCCACACATCACCCAGGGTGAGAGGCAAGTATCCTTTGTTCAACTCTGCACCAGAAAGAGATGCCTGGTTCCTGCTATGGTGGAGCCTGATTGCACCATCTGTGAACTGGACAAAAGGGACTAACATTATCAGCCCCTCTGTGTGCCAGCCCCAGCCCCAGCCCTTCACACCCATTATCTCATGGCTTTACCACCATTCTGCAAGGCAGATATCCTTATCCACTTTCTGCACATGAGATGAGACTGACATACAGGACTCCCACTCCAACTCCTTTGCCCCCAGTCCTGGCCTCCCCCATCCCTCCCCTCTTCCCTCTCCCATGGTTCCTGCCCAACCCTGCTGCTCCATTCCTATAAAAGCAGCCATGTGGGCCAACCCAGGGCCATAATCTCAGGGCTTGAAAGGAATCAGGCTTCAAGCAATGAAGAAGCTGTACAGCAAGGGCCACTCTTCCTCTCCTTGGGTATTCAGGACTGTGGGAAGGGGATGATGAGGGCTGGGGCTGCAGATAATGAAGGACCTCTTGTTTTCTCCAGAAGCCCTGTTACCTTGGTAATTCTATGTGCACTGGGAAAGGAGGAAGTGCATGGAAGAAAGGAGGATTACTGGGATACTCTGTAAATCAGATTTTTAAATTCCACTTTTTCTTTTCCTTCTTTGTGTTTTTCTCTTTTGCTAAATGTAAACCTATGCTGTCTACTTCCCCCTTCTCATACCCAACACAGTATCTCAACATGTTGGGGTGAGAGTAGCTATTACCATCTCTGAGTTATATATTGTTCTCTCTCTCTCTCTCTCACTGTGTGTGTGTGTGTGTGTGTGCACGCGCGTGCATGCATGAGTGTGTTTAATGAAAATAGGTCCACCTCCTCTTCCAGACCAGAACTAAAATGGAGTGGGAGTGGGGGGATAAACATCCTCCTCCCCCAAAAGGAAAAGCATCAACTAATTTGAAAAATATTTAAGAAACTCTGGGTCGTCATCCACTCGCTTCTCCCTGCTCCATAATTACACTGCAGTGCCTGATATTTTCATGGGACATTAAACCAGGAGTCAGGTGATGGGTTCCTTCCGTCTACGCCTATCCGTTAGCCGCCAGGCCCCTGCGGACCTTGACATTATTAATAGTCCTATTCATTAAGTATTACTCTTGTAGAATGAGTAGCATAATATTGGCCTGGAGATAGGAACAGGCAGAAGGAATAAGTCAAATTAATTTTCCGGAGCAAACGCCCCGGTTCTGTAAATGACATTCTGTACTGTTAGCATTTTAAATGTGGCACAAATGGCAGGAGACACAATTTGAAAGCAAAATACTAGAAGACATGGCTCAGGGTGGAACGTGGCAGCAGGAAAATCTAAGAGCGTCAGGGACCTGGGGGTGGGAGGGTCTGGCCCATGCAGTCACAGGGAGGGGAGAATTTTTTTTAATGGGCATTTATATTAAATGCAGTTGAAGGAGGAGGAAGGGAGGAGAGTAGGCAGTGAGGTCTGTGTGTGTGACGCTGTGTGTGAGTGTGTAGAGGGGTATCTGGTAGAACAGAAAGGAGGAATCAATCACAGTTCTCCTTCTCTCCCTGCTCCTCCAAGTAGATGGTCTGGGGTTGGAGCTGAGAGGTTCTGCCACTGACTCCTCTAGGGGGATGTCTTCTACCCCTTTTAAGTCTTTCTGACTAGGTCTAGAGAAGCCTAACTCTTAACCTTCTTACTTAATGAGGTTTGATCTTCAGGGTAGGTGAGGATACTCACTCATTCACTCAACCCTCTACTATCTGTTCAACAATACACGCCAACTCTGCACAAGCCTGGTGTTAGACTGTAGAGTGTGGGGCACATGCAGATTGGTTACACAAGGGCCCATACCCTTCCGAAGCTTAGAGTCTAGTGGTTGAGCCATGGGGAGTCCAGGTAATGGTGGTGCAAGGCTGTTTGTGATCAGGTCAATGAGGGAGGGAAATATGAAAACTGTAAAGTGCTCAAGACAGAGAGAGACCATTCCATTGGGTGAATCAGAGGACACTTGCTAGAGATGATGGCTTTTAACCTGGGTTTTGAAGGATGGGCAGAAGTTGGACATGGAATAATGGAGAAAGGCAATTCAGATGAAGAAAGCAGGATGAGCCAAGACAGGAGTGTCAAAAGGAGCAACATGAATTGGGGACGGTAGGGCTGTGTTCCAGGATAGAAGGCTTGGGAAGGGTAGTCATTGGCAATGATGTTAGGAAGGCTACTCTTGCACAGTCCTATACTAAAAGTGCTATACTAAAAGCATCTAAAAATTCAGAAACTAGTGTGAGAAGATGGTGCCTCCTTGAAGTCCATACTCCTGTCTCATTCTCCTCATGACATATGGACAGGTGCTTGCCAGAAACAGGGAAGAGAACTGTGGACTGCGGCCCATGCCTTGGATGGTTTGGGGGCCTGTCCCACTGCATCCCAGTCAGTGGCTAAGCAAACAGGAAGCTCAGTTTGGAAATCAGATTGTGTCTCAATGAAATCAGGCTGTGGAGTATGTAAAAAGGTGAATGGACACTCATGGGCCACCACTATTCCCACAAGGAAACCAGAAGCAGGACTCCTTTCTGTTTAATTTCACTTGCCAGTGGGCTTTTTTGGGTCTAGCAGCCATTACCACCCACTTAGGTATCTTTAAGCATTTCAAACATGCCCAGAGGACAGGTAGAACCTTCATCTTAGCACTCTGCCTGGAGCTGAGCTTCTACATAGCCGTGTTCCTGTCCTCCTTACTCTCTCCCTATCCAAGCTTTGGAAGGGTTTTTCTCCTCCACTTTGTGGAAGGCAATGTCTGAAGAACTTACCTGGATCCTGACTAGAACCTGAAGCCATTCAGGATCTGAGAGAGCCAAAATCTCTGAAGTGTGGGCCCTAGAATCTATCCTTAAGGGTTTTGGAGGTGGAAGGCAAATATAAATATATGAAAAACTTAATGCATTTCAATCTTCGATAGGGAGGCACGTTTAAAACGTTAAATCAACAATAGTTGTCACTTACATGGCAATTACTACATGTTAGACACTGTTCTATGTACTTTTACATGTATTAACTCACTTCATCCTCGTATCAGTCTTACGAGGTGAGTGCTGTTATTATCTCCCTTTTACAAATAGGAAAACTGAAGCGCATAGGTGTTAACTAACTTCCCCAAAGTTATACTGGTAATAAGTGGCAGGTCTAAGCTTTAAATCCACGTAGCTTGGCTCCAGAGCCCATGCTCTTAAAAAGTTTCACTATGTGAGACCATAGGTCAGCCAAGGCCTAGGGGATTAGGGGCCAGAGAGGTGGTCTGGAAGGTTCTTGGGGTCAGAAAACCACATGTTGACATCTCAGACAGAGCTGAGTGACCAAAGAATCCCTCTTACCTAAGTTCAGGGGAAAAAAATGCTATCTTGGGTCTGCCTGGGTCTGAGACAGGGAGCTGCAGAGCCAGGATTCTGATGTTTCATAGTCACTGGTTCTGATCTGACCTTGTCCATTCTACCATAAAAAAGGAAGGAGTGCAATGGAAAGGAAACAGGGCTGAGAGTCAAGAGTCCAGTCCATCTCTATGGATCTTGGAGAAGTCAATGGCCTCTCTGAGCCTCAACTCCTCATCTCTGAAATAAAGACCTTAAACTGGATGCTTTCCAGAGTCTCTCCCAGCCTCATCTCTGAAATAAAGACCTTAAACTGGGTGCTTTCCAAAGTCTCTCCCAGCTCTGACACTCTACTAAAGCGATTCTCAACTTTGGATGCACATTGGACTCGCCTGGGTAGCTTTTAAAAAATACCAACACCTGGGAGGCACACCAAGCCAAGTGAATCAGAATCTCTTGGGGAGAATAATCCAGACACTGGTAGTTTAAAAACCTACCAAGGTGATTCTAGCATGTATTCATGGTCTATAGAATCCAGGTGCATTGAGGAACTAAGGCTTCATTCTCACTCTAGCCTCATCAGTGATCTTAGAAACTGATGACCAGGACCATGTTGAGGGAGGGGAGTGGTTTACAGCTAAGGAGACCAGTACACTGGACCCAAGAATCCAAAAGTAGCCCCTGATTTTACGGAAAAGCAGCCTCTCAAAAATGACTGATTAGACTCAAACCACATATCTGTGGACAGAACTCGAAGCTGAGAATCCCTGCGGCCTCTTGGAACGGTAGATCTTGTGGACCCTTCTTACTCCTGGCATTCCAGATCCTTGGTTGTATAGCATTTCCCTCCAATTTTGGAGGTGCCTTCCCCCATAAGTTCTTCCCAAAGAAATGAGGTTCCTACCTCCCTCTGAATCTCACTGGGACACCACATCTTTTGGGGAACCAGCTAGGCAGGAGGACTTCTTCCATCCAATGCTAGAGGAGGAGTCATATCTTCCCCTCACAGAATAAATACATTTAGCAGCCTCCGCCTTTTTTTTCCCAATTTAGTATTGTTTAATATGCATTTAATCAGGCCATTCGGTATTACAGCGGCTATGTAGCGTGACTCCCCCCATGGGCACGGGGGGAGGGCGTTATAGGCCATTAGGCTAAAGTAATATGTATGAGGAGTCACTTTTCCCCAGGGCGCAGTAACTATTTTTGCTCCCCAGTCGTCCCCATTAAATCATTAAACCTCATGACTATACTTTCTGAACTCTACCATGATCTTTAAAAAGCCAAGCATTAAAGGGCAGCTGTCACCCTCCACCGCCCAGGCCTCCGCCGCTTTATGTATTCACAGCATTAAGTCCTTTGTCAGTCTATACATCATGGGGTGGGGGGTGGAGTTACAGCCCACGAGGAGTAGACATCCCATCCTCCAGCCCCCCAGCTCTCCCCTCGGGAGGGCTCAAGGAGTCTGGTGATATTTCCCCCGCACCACCTCCCCACCCACCCAAGGCTTCATAGTCTGGCGAAGAGGGGATGTGGAAACGGTGGTCTGAGAACTGTCCGTGGTTCTGAAGACCTATCCCACAGACGGACATCATCCTCTCATCCCCTCTCTAACCAACTACATCTGGCTTTCTCGACCGGCAAGCGTCATTTCATAACCAAACCCTTCCTGAAAGTCTCTGTTTTTCCTCTATGGTGAGTATGATACTGCCCAAGGAAAATTCTGGGTAGTGCAAAGATCTGTGGATTAGGATTCAGAAAGCTGCTAACTGGCACAATTTGGACAAGTCTGAGCATCAATTTCTTCACTGATAAAATGGTGCTGATAATACCTATCACACAGGATTGTTAGATTTAATAACATGTTTGTCAAAGTTATTTTCAAACCCATAAGCACTGCACAATAATAGCATATATTAATGGTTAATAAAAATTAATATGAATTTCATTTTATTCTTTAGTAAACATTTATTTATATTGTTAATACTATTTATTATTGTTGTTGATAGGTGTTACTCAATCATTTCCCAAGAACTTCCTTCTTCCCTAGGAAATCTCTACAGAGATGCAAAAGAGGACTACCACTATTAGAAAAAGAGAGGTGGCACGTTTTCATTTTATTCTACCTCCTGTGAGTTGAAGTGGAGAGGACTTTTCAGTCCCTTCTTCCATGACCCAGTCCCCACCCTGTCCCCCATCCAATCCCAACTCTAACCCCCTAATCCTCACCCTGGACACACAGGTGCTTTTCTCACTGTGCATTCCCACACCTGCCTCACCATCAAAGGGCTGGGCAGGGAAGGGTTAAGCATCTCAGCAGCCCCCAACAGGGTCCTCCTCACCGGCTGGGAAACAATGGAGCCATCAGTCTATATTTGACCTTTGCCCCTGCAGCGTTTATGACTTATTCCTCTCCTTCACTGCCTGCTGCGATTCAGCCTTCAATCTCGCACCCCTTGCCAGAGTGGAGCTGGCCCTCCCCCCAGCACCCTCCCCAGCCTCTTTGGCCTCCCTCCTTCCCCTTTTCTCTCTTTCCTTATCTCTCCTGGATTCCTTTCTGTCTTACTCCCACTCTTTTTTATTTTCACCTTTCCCTTACTCCCTCATCATGCTCTTCACCCAACTTCCATTTCTTTCTCCTTTTCTTTCTTTCCCTTCCTTCTTTCCTCTTTCTTTCCTTCTTTTCTTTCTTTCTTCCTTTCTTTCTTTTTATCTCTTTCTTTATTGCCTTTTCTTCTCTTTCCTTCCCCTCTCTTCAGTTTTCTCCTTCTCTCCTTATCATACTAATTTATCAGCTGGCCTACCAATTTTGGGTGAGAGCCCTTGGGAAATCTCAGCTTGGTCTCCTCTTTCCATTGAACACTCTTAAACCTACAGTGCTCTCTCTGTTCTCATGGCTACTTTCGGACATTATTGTAACCAAAAGTGGTCATGAGTTGTCATAATGAAGGTACGTGGACTGGGGAAGGTACTGCATCCATTATGGGATGGGAGCCCCAGGGGGGTGGGAGCAATGTCATCCAGACCAGAGCAGGGACAGAGGGGCTCTGGTGTGTAGAAGCAGGGAAACAGCATCAGGCCTGGGTATCAGAAAGAACCAAATTCCAGCCTTAGCTCACCCACTAACTGGGCTCACTAACCCTCGGCAAGTCATTTATCCTCTTTGAGCTTCTTCTTCCCCTAAAACATGGGATTTAATAATGCCTGCCTTGACCTGGCTTGCAAAGTTGTTGTAAGGAACAAGAAATACAGAGTGTGAAAGTGCATTGTAAACTGCAGAGGACTGTATAAATATGTGGGGATTGGGAGGAAGGGGTTCTATTTTTTTTCTAGAATCTCATCTGGCTGCCCTGCCCCCATCCCATCCCTGCAACAGGACTGACAAAGCAGTGATCCCACCCACCTATATAGTACCTTCCAGTTTAAAAAATCACATTGTGCCGGGTGCGGTGGCTCACACCTGTAATCCCAGCACTTTGGGAGGCTGAGGCGGGAGGATCACGAGGTCAGGAGATCAAGACCATCCGCACCAACATGGTGAAACCCTGTCTCCACTAAAAAAAAAAGATACAAAAATTATCTGGGTGTGGTGGCACGTGCCTGTAATCCCAGCTACTTGGGAGGCTGAGGCAAGAGAATCACCTGAACCAGAGAGTCAGAGGTTGCAGTGAGCCAAGATCGCGCCACTGCATTCCAGCCTGGGTGACAGAGCAAGACTCTGTCTCAAAAATAAATAAATAAATAAATAAATAAATAAGCACGTTGACATCTTTTTCACTTTTAACACAGCCCCATTTCATAGATGTGGGCACCGAGGCATCAGCAAGTTTTAAGTGACTGGCCCAAAGCCACAACGCTAGTAAGTAATGCAGCCAGGACCCAAGCCTAAGTTTTCAGCCTCCAAGTTCAGTGCTCTTTCCACCATCCCCTATGGCTTCTCACTTGCCTTCAAGTGCCCCAGGCTGGAGGGCACCTGTCACACCAGCCCCTGTTCCCTCCTGACACTGTCTGTGTACATGCCCATCTTCCTTCAGCAATCGTGAGTTCCTGGAAGGGACAGAACAGATCTGGTGGGCACTCAGAAGAATGTTTTGCCAAGTGAATGAATAACTACATGCCCCTCCCCACCCTATCACACAGTGTTGCTCCTGAGTCAGTGGTATGTCTTAGAAGGTGAATTACAACTTGGTCCTCTTCTCTCAGAACTCCAGAGAGCTGCTGCATAGTCAGAGTGGTCTCTGGTCTCTGGCATGAGAGTCTCTCCTAAGGAAGGGGTCTTGCCTGCCACCCCCACACATGCACACATTGCTCAGCCCCTGCCCCCAGTCTGTGACAGCAGCCTCTGTAATGAATGACCCTGCAGTGGGGCCCAGCAAAAGGACAGGAGGGCATGAGACAAATCATAGCTGCCAGGCGCTAATCTTCCCCTGGGAAAGTCACCTCCACCCCCCTCATCCATCACTGGGCACTGGGCTGCCACCGTAACCACCCCCCCAAATACACACCCAAAACAACCACCCAGGCCTCATGGATGCATGTGAAAGTGCTCAGAGAGGCAGGTTTTGGTGTACAAGTGGGAGCATCTGCACACAGCCAGAGGAGCCAATGCAAAAAAGGCCATTATTGCTCCAGACCAGGTTCCTGCCTCATATCTCTCACCCCAGAAAAAGTCTGATGATTCAAAATAAATCCTCTGAGCCATGCATTTGTTTAATTGCCTAAGAAATGTTTGTTAAGAATCTATTTCAAGTAAAGCAATGCAGTGCAAAGGGCACAGAGATGGACAGAACAGGATCTAGTCCTGAAGGAGTCCATGGTTCAGCAGGGGAACAGAAACAGATCAAGGGAATGGGAAGGAAGGGACACAAGCGTAAGAGAGGAGGAAGATGGAGAGTGAAGGGAGGGATTTCTCCCAGTGGAGAGGTTCAGGGACAGCTTCATGAAGGAAGACCTTGAAGGATGGGTAGAGTTTGCAGAGACAGGAAGAAAGCAGTCTGGGAGGAGGGAACAGGGTGAGCAAAAGCAGACTATGGAAGGCAAAGGCATAAGACAGTGCAATAAGTTGTACAAGGAAAGATGAGGTTGACACCTGACCACTGAATGTCAGGTTGAAAAGGCCCAACATTCACCCACACCCACCCATTTCCAAAACACACATGCACGCACACACATGTGCAAAGAATTCCAGCCTCATGAAAGAGTGGAGCAGGTTCAGTCTCACCATAGATCAATTTCATGGAGATGTGTCCAGCCATGTGTACATCTTCTCCCATTGAAGAGGCTATGGAGGTAAGAACCTATATCCATAAGCCATGTCACTGTACAGCCATAGTCACCCTTCTAGCCAGCATTCATAGAGCACAGTTCTGAGAGCTTTACATGCATTATTTCCCACTAGAATGTAAGCCTCAGGCCGGGCACGGTGGCTTATGCCTGTAATCCCAGCACTTTGGGAGGCCAAGACGGGCAGATCACCTGAGGTCGGGAGTTCAAGACCAGCCTGACCAACACGGAGAAACCCTGTCTCTACTAAAAATACAAAATTAGCCAGGCGTGGTGGCGCATGCCTGTAATCCCATCTATTCAGGAGGCTGAGGCAGGAGAATCATTTGTACCCAGGAAGCGGAGGTTGCAGTGAGCCAAGATCATGCCACTGCACTCCAGCCTCAGCAACAAAGAGTGAAACCCCGTCTCAAAAAAAAAAAAAAAAAGAATGTAAGCTTTATGCAGCATCAAATGTGTTACTGCTGAATTACTAGAGTTCAGAACAGTGCTTGGCACATAGTAGGTGTTCAATAAGCTTTTTTTTGAATGAATGATCTCATGTCCTCATTTAATAGGGTTGTTATGCTATAAGATAGGCACAAATATTATGACTACCACCCCACTGTCCCCCATTCTACAGAAGAAAAAATGCAGCCTTGGAGAGATTCAGTCATGCAACTAGTCATGCCACTGGTCATTGCGACTAGCAAGTGGAGGAGCCTAGCTCCAAACACAGCTATCAGAATGCAAGCTCTTTACCAACAGTGCTAAAGAGCAGCAGCCCTATGTCTGACTTTCATGTTTCTGCAGTCATTGTTATGCTTCAAGGTGGCACAATTTGAACTTACGCTCTCAGAATCTGCATAATCAGTAACTATTGTAGGAAGACACTAATATATACACTTCTATAGTTATATGCACTCAGTCAGTCCACTTTAGGGAAGACCAATATAAACAAAAGCACCCAATTTCCAAAGCAGATAAATCTAGGAGGGCTCATTTGCTTTACAGAAAAAGTCTTGGCCAGGCACCATGGCTCACACCTCTAATCCCAGCACTTTGGGAGGCTGAGGCAGGCGGATCGCTTGAGCCAAGAAGTTCGAGACCAGCCTGGGCAACATAGAGAGACTTCATCTCATTTAAAATTTTTACAATTATATTTTAAAAAAAGAAATAAAGAAATAAAAAGAAAAGCTATTTGCCCTCTAAAAAAGAGGATTCATCCAAGGGCTTTTTTTAAGTAGGAGAGCTTCTCTGGGCATTTCAGTGCTTAATTTAATGGGGTCTGCAGGGGGTGGAGTGAGGGTAGCATAATTTATGGGTCACCTGCTGTGTGCCAAGCTCTTTATGACCCTGCAGAGCAGATATTATTATCCCATTTTATAGATAAGGAAACTGAGTATCAGGTTCAACACATTTGCTTATTCAACACTATTTATTGAGTCCTGTTCTGTGCTAGGAACCAATGCAGGCTCCAGGGAATCAGATATATATAAATAAAGTCCTTGCCCTCACAGCGCTTGCATTCTCATGGGGAGAGATAGGTAATAAACAAGTGAATGAATAAGTGAACAAATCTTTGAGAGAATGTCATGTTATAAGTGCTTAGAAGGAAATAAACGGGGTGATAAGAGAGGGCTAGGGTCCCTAATGTAGATCTGGAAGCATCTGGGGATCCCCTGAGCCCTTCAGTTAGAAACTGATTGACTTCATCTGTGGCTTCTCAGCCCCAGTTCAGAGAGGGAGGGAGTGGGGGGAAGGGTGGGAGGAAGGAGGAAGAGAGGGAGGGGAGCATCCAGCCTGCTCTTCTACCATACTACCTTGTCAGAAATCCAGGTGGGAAGAGTTGCCAGAGAAGCAAAACTTATTAGAAGCCATTGTTCATTACAGACCCATCTGAAGTTAGCGCTGAAGCCCTGGCACAAGGTCTCTGAGAAAACAGGAATTTGATGTGTAAAATGTCAACTCAGCCAGCTTGGTAGGAGCACTGGAGCCAGGAGCACTGGGCTGTGGGTGAGTAGGGCAATGTAGGCTGAGCAAAGTGAGTTTTGCTGAGAGGGTAAGGCCGGACTGACCAGGTTCCATTTCTGGCTCAGCGACTTAAGGACATGTCGCTTCAGATGGGTGTCTTGACCTCTTTGCACTCCAGTTTCCTCATCTATAAAGTGGGTATCAGGAAAGTACTCACCTCTGACGGTTGTGAGGAGGATTAAATGCTTCAGTATGTGTGCAAGACTTCCTAAGCAATAAAAGAGGATTGCATTTAGCATGGGTGCAGGAGTCAGTAACTCCAGCGATACAGAGTGGGAAAGAGAGCAGGAGGAAGGACTCGAGAGAAGAGAAAAAAGTGGAGAAAGGAGACACTGAGGGGAAAGAGAAAGCAAGTGTGCACATAGTTACAAGGTTTCTATTCAACTTCCCCCAAAGCTTAATAGATTTCTAAATGGGCTTATTATCACCACCTATGAATTCTTTTAAAGGACCTAATTATAAAACACCAAACTAGCTAATTAGGTTTCCTGAGCTCGCCTTGACACAGGTGCAAACAGGCTCTCTGGATGGTAGCCCTGGCAAAGCCCGCAGTGCCAGCTCCAAATCAATGGGGGGCGGGACCTGCCTGTGGTCACACAATTAGGTCTGTAATTGTGGGCCCCCTCCTGCAACTGCCAGGCTGCCAGAGATGCTAGCTGTCTGACCTCTCTCACCTGGTGCATAGGAGCAGAGGCCCTGCAGAATAGGGGACCAGCCTCCTGGGACACCTCTGGGTTGGCTTGGTGCTGAGGGTGCACCGGGTGGGTCCCCCAGGATCCAGTTCAGGAGGGACTGCATCTAGACAGAGGGGTCCAGGAATTGGGTCCTTGGCACTTATCCATCTCTCTTTGGAATAGAAATGCCCAGGGGTGGGATCACCATGATGCTCAGAGAATGCACATGTCTTACACACCATTGGAGAGATGAGTGCACTTGTGGGTAGTAAAGTGGCAGAGATGGCTATGCCCGCCCCTATTGGATTAGAGGACCCTTGAGACAGGGGGCAGTGAAGGGCAGAGTTCCCGAGTCCTGAGGGTGGGGAGACTACAGGAAATCCTGTCTCTACTACAGTGATTTCCAAAGTGTGTTCCCGGAACCACTAGCATCAAGATCACCTGGGAACCTGTCAGAAATCCAAATTATCAGACACCACCCAGGGATGGATTCTTGCAATCCGTGTGTAAAGGAATCCTTGAGGCGTTTCTCAGGCGCGCTCCAGTTTCAGAACCACTGCTCCCCTGTATCCAAGAGGAGGCCATTAATCAATGCAGCTGCCAATGGTGGTGCTGCTGACCGAGGGGGGTGTGAGGAGGGATCTGTTTCTTAAATTAAACTAAACGATGGCCATTAAGGGGGCATCCCCTGCACATAATTAATTCTCCTTTTGCTGAAAGGGGCGGGTAGGAACTGGACAGCTAATGATGGTCACTGTGCGCCTCACCTGCATTCCTCCGCCCTCATTGCCTCCAGTGTCCTTGTCTTTGGGCCCACCATGAACACCTGGTTCTCTTTCCATGTAGTGGCCCCACCAGAGTCTAAAATTCGTGAGCTACATAGCACTCACTTCCCCAAACTCCCTCTCACTGCCCCCTCCCCCAAGTCAGTCACCCCTCTTGCCAGCTCTATCCCTATCCTCCTGCTCCTCTGCAGCCTTCATAGACCCCCCGTGTCATGCCTCAAGGTGGGGGCCAAGAAGCCATACTGTAATTCCCTCCAAGGAATTTTCTTCCAGTTGTTAAAGTGAGGCCAGAATGCAAATCCAACCACTCTCCCCAGATACATCCCTAGCAGCCTAATGTGTCCCAGTCATGCCTAGCCCCCAAGGCAGGGGTTCTCATATTCCGTTATCACTGGCCACTCCACTCCATATTCCATGGTTATTGCCTCCTCTCCAGCCGCTGCCTCTGCTGGGCAGATTTTATGGGATTCTCTCAATGCATTTTTACAATGCCATAGAGCCTCCAGAGCTGGCCATGCAGAGATCAAAGTCCCCACTGCTGACCAAGCCACCAGCTACCTCTTGCCTTTGACAATAGGACAGATTTCCCCTCTTAGACACCTACTTCCTAATAACTGGCCATCTCTTAGGGTCATGGTGAAGATTGACAGAGACGATATATGGGGAGCATCCGGACAGCCCCTGTTACACAGTTAGGCTGGGGACGTGATCCCCCTCCTCACCCTCTCTGTCGGTTCCATATGGCTCAAATGGGGTTCACCTCAAGGACCCAGAGATGTCTGTGGGTTGCAGTAGCCCACCCCCTCATTCCATTTATAAATCCTGGAGTCCAGGGGCTGGGTCATGCCCAACTGGGTCAGGTTGACTGCAGTTCAACAAACTTCTCCTGGGCCCCTGTTGGTGCTGGGTACCCTGATAGTGGCTGAAGATGCAGAGACAGAACAAGAAAGGACTCTACTCTAGATATCCGGTGTGGTAGGGAAGCCACATTTGTGATAATGCATCCTTAAGAAGAAGAAATAGAAGATGAGGGAGGAGGCAGAGTGATATAGAAAATAGGGTCGCTTTGGAGACAGACCTGGGTTCCAATTTTGGCTTCACCGCGGTGTGGCCAGAAAACCTTATGCAAATCACTTAACCTCTTTGAGTCCCCTTTTCTTCCCTTATAAGATAGGGGGATAAAAATAAGAAGAACTTCAAAGGCTCAGGCTTAAAGATGTTTGGGGTAAGTACCTGGGACGTTGCGGAGGCTCAAAAAATGGTGTTGTTATTATCATGAAGGCAGTGGGTTTCCTTGCACTCCAGGAGCCCACCCTGCCTCTGTGGGGTCAGAGTCTGAACAGTTCTGGCGGCCCTGGGTTTTGGGGTTAACCAGATGATCCTTTAATATACAAAGAAACCCCAAACAGCTTAACCTCAGCCGAGGCATAGAGGGCCCGGCTGCCCCATGAATACTGGCCTTGAATCCTGTGCTCCATTATTGCATCTGAAAATCCGTTAAAATTTCACACAATTTCCTGCACAGCAGTGTGCTTCATAATGCTGGGAGCCAAGCCGGCCCAGTAATTGGGACCGGAGTGGGGCAGAGTCCAAAGCAATTAATCCAGCCTCCTTCCTTGTTTGCGCCAGGATAAGCCTGATGGGGTGGAGAATAATTGGAAAGGAGCGGCCTCCATCCCCAACTCCAAATTAATATTTTCCTGCCCTGATTTAATTCCGCCCAGGAACAGTGACACAGAGACACGCCGTGTCAAGCGCTAAGTAATCCACCACGAGCCACCTGAGGAGGAGGAAAGGACTTTTCCTTTTCTTTGCGGTTGGCCGGGGGTGGAGGGAGGTGCAGCTAATAAGACAGAACCTCAGAATCAAGAGGGCCTTCCAGGGACATCCGTAGTGCAACCACCGTCCCGATGCAGTGACATGCCACAAGGAGGAGAAAAATCAGGGATCCGGGAAGGCAGACAAACCTGAGTCCCAACCCTGGCTTTGCTGCTTAGGAAGTGTATGACCGGGGGCAAGTCATTCAACCCCACCGAACCTCAGTTTTCTCATCTGTAAAGTGGAGATTATAGTACCTGCCATGAGCAATTGTTGTCAGGATTCTTTACAAAAAATACAGTAGGTGGCTGTCAATGGTGGCTATTTTTCCTGTTATTTTAGGTTTTACAACCAGGAGCCAAGCACAGTGCTAGGCGCTGAGAATCCAAAGGTAAACAGGCCGGGCATGGTGGCTCACGCCTGTAATCCCAGCACTTTGGGAAGCCGAGGCGGACAGATCATTTGAGGTCAGGAGTTCAAGACCAGCCTGGCCAACATGGCAAAATCTCGTTTCTACTAAAAATACAAAAATTAGCAGGGCGTGGTGGTGCGTGCCTGTAATCCCAGCTACTTGGGAGGCTGAGGCAGGAGAATCACTTGAACCTGGAAGGCAGAGGTTGCAGTGAGCCAAGATTGTGCCACTGCACTCCAGCCTGGGTGAGAGAGCGAGACTCCACCTCAAAAAAAAAAAAAAAAAAAGTAAATAAAATGTGGGCCCCAGTTCTTAAGGAGCTTGAATTCTAGTTCCAAATATCCAGGACTGCTACACAGAAGGTGTTTAATATTGGCTAGCTCCCTGCCTTCTGCCTACAGCGTCCCTGGACAGGCAATGATTCAACCTCTGCCTGATCACTTTAATCACTGGACCATCTCCTGCCAGTTCTGTTGGTGCATTTGCCTGTGTGCAGGCTTCCTCTCCAGCATCTAGCTGCACCCTGAAACTTCATCCCACCGGTTCTAGCTCCACTCTAGAGCAAGCTGGAGAAAGAGGTCCAGGTGCAGGAGTCAGGACTCAGGAATCTGCAGATTTCTCTCCCTGTCCCCACCGAGCCCTGCCTCTGTTGGCTCAGCAGCCTTATAATAGGAGGAGGGGTCCTAACTTGATCCTCTCTCACCCCGGGGGGTTCAGGCATGTTGAGTAACCTGGAGAACTGGGGCAGGATTGAGCTCAACAACTCACAGTGGTAACCTTCCCGGTCTCACTTCCCATTCCTTCCTGGACTTTCTTTCAACTCCCAAATAAACCACCTCCCTTGAATCCTTATAACAGGTCTGATTCTGGGGGACATCACACTAAGACAACCAGGTGTCCGCAAGCCCTGAGGCCTGGACAGCCTGCCAGGGGTGCCTCTAAGCTTCACGGCTGAGCAGCGCCAGCACCTCAGGATTCCAAACTGTTGGCAGAGGTGCTTGGTGGGCAGGCTGAGGTTACCCACCTGCAGGGGCAGACTTATTCATGGGCACCTGAGGCCCCCACCCACCCGGGACACTTGGGAATAATTGAAGGCCACATGGCAACAGGAATCCCACAGGCTCAGGCAGCGGGTGGCGAGAGCCAGGGAAGTCTCATTATTTATGTAGCCCTCTCCCCAGTAGGAGGAAGAACACAAACTCCAGGGTGAGGGAGGAAGAAGATGCCTCAGTGAGTTCAAAACTCCCCCAAAGAAAACCATTCAAGCCAAAGCAGGGAGTTGCCAGCAAAACCCCCATGGGTGTTCGACAAAACTGCAGGGAAACACTATGCAAATGTCAAACTGATGAGGAGAGCGGGGGAGAAAGGGACAGGAATAAACCAAACATTAAATCAAATCAGTAGGAGAATAAGAGCTAAACTCCTTGCTTGTAGCACTCAATTCTGTAGTCAATACGGTCAGGAATGAATGAACGGCCTGCTCAGAGCCACATCTGAATTCAGTGTGTGTAGCACCCTAAACTCTACGAGGAGAATCAGCCAGCCAGGTGTCATCCTGCCCCATGCCCAACCACAGGGACAAATGGGCTTGGGGAGGGGACCTAACCTAGGCCCTCTGGGGGCAAGGCAGGGAGGAGCCCTGCCCAGGGGCTGGGTGGCATGGGGCAAGTCCTGTCTCCTCTCGGAGCCTCACAGCACCCACATGGAGGGCAGCTTGAGGAAGCTGTTGTGTGTGCAGGGCACAGAGGCCTGCGTGAGGATAAAATGGTTGGCCATAATAAAAAGATGGGGATAAAGGAGGTTGAATGAGATACCGGTGGAGCAGGAGCCCTGTGGTCTGTGTCCTATCCGGCTTTGTTTTGCTTCATTGGGGATGTAAAATGAGGATTTGGTTTTGTTAAAGAAACTGGGATTGGAGAGGAGGGGAAGAGCACTGCCTGGAAGAGAGATGACGAAGGAGAGAAGGGAGAAACCCAGGGCTGCTGTGATTAGGCTGGAGTGTGCTGTATGATGCCATCTGCTCCCCTGGTTTCCCACAAAAACTTCAGTGAAACCCGCAATGTTCACCCACACGTTGGGAACTGGCCGTGTGTGTGCTGCATGGCTATAGGGTGGGCGCAGGGGTAGGACAGAGGCTGAAGGGGCCCAGCTATGTTCAGGTCCTACGTGGGCAGACATGCTGTGTGAAGGATCCCATCTGCCGCTCCCTGTAGCTCCATTCCACAGCCATTCGTGGATTATACGGCCACGCAGCAGGCACAGTGCCAAGACTGGGAACAACCGCAAATATGACGTGGCCCTGCCCTTGATCAAAGACTAGAGGGGAAGACACAAGCCAACATGTTGGTTCAGGGGATAAGCTTTGCATGCCAGGGTAGGTTCTAGCCCCAGGGCATGTGAGTCTTGCCTGAGCGCTCTCTGGAAGCCGGGGTGGAGCCAGCACTTACATTTTCACACTCGACCCTCAGAAACTCTGCTCAGAAACAGTGGGGGACTGGCTCATGGTCACACAGCTGCGAAAGGGTGGAACTGGCTGTGAACCCACGTCTGTACCTTCAGAAACCAGTTTTGCTCATGGGTCACCTGGTTGAAACTTCACCAGCCAGGCTTTTGCAGAAATGGGATGCCGACAGTGGAGTGGACACTCTTTCCCTTCGCCTAGGGCAGCCTCGAGGCTACATGGCTGTCTCCAAGCTCCCCTGACATGTGGTCCCTCACCCCCAGCTTTGGGCTTTATCTCAGCTGTCTCCAAAGTTCCAGATGTGACTTAGAGCCCCTTCAATAACTTCTCCTTTTGGCTTAAGCCAGTTTGAGTTTGGGTTTCCATCAGCATCTTTCTCCAAACTGAAAAGAGTTAGGACTGTATAGGCCTCAACATCTGGTGGGAATTGTGCCAGTGTGTTCACCCCTGCCCACTCCAATCCCAGGTAGATTGAGTTTAAATTCATCTTTGACGGTGGAAGAAAATGGAGTCCCAGATAAAAGAAGTAGCTTATGCAAGACCACACAGCCAGTTAGGGGCAGGACTGAAATTTGAACTCAAACCTTAAGACTTGCACTCTGCTTCCCTTCTGGATCATTGTGTTATCCACTTTGTCTGGTTCTGAAAAGATTTGTATGCAGAGTATGTGAGTGTCAGTGTGAGTGTGTTTCTATGTCCTCAGAGAGATACTGAAGTCCCCTTGGGTCAAGCTTGTGCCACTGACGTCCCTGACATCTCCCAGACCCCAGTAAGAGCAAGTGGGTCCCCCACAAGTGGTCCCTGGACTTCAAGCGTAAATGGGCTTCCAGAGGAGGCTGCCCTGGCATGTCCAGATCTGGGCAGCAACATGGCTCTGGGAATGCCATGCTGTGTGTCCAGGGGAAGACATCAACCTTTCTGGGACTCAGGCTGATGTGAAATTGAATCTGATAAAAAAAGAATACCAGCAAAAGACATAACTGGTGTGAACCATCTCTTGTGAAAAAGTAAAACACTTGCTAAAAAGAAAGCTACCGAACGCATTCCACTTTAAGAAAATCCAATACGCAAAATCTAAATTTACTCTCTGAATTTAGATAAAGAACAGTTTGACAAAAGAATTCTAATTGTCACAGCAGTTCTATTGAGGAACCAGGGTGAGTGTTTCCAGGCCTCCCCAGCATGCAGGCAGAAATGCAAGAAACAGAGACGCTTCGAGCCAGAGGGCCGAAGCTTTGCCCACTGAAGACCCCAGGAGGATGGCCAGGGTCTCAGAGGGAGTAGAGGAAGGGGTCAGTAAACAGTTGCTATGGAGACACAGGGATGTGTCGAGTGGAAGTACAAGACCCCGAACTCCAAATTCCAGGGCAGCTTGGACCCAAGACCAAGCCCAGAAGGGTGTGGTATGACGTGTTAAAAAATCCACTCCCTTCTCTCCCAACCCATCCCTACAGGGCCTCTCCCTGGTACCCATCCTTGTGGGAGAATTGTACTTCCCATCCTACTGTTGGACTTGGCGATAAGACTCCTTTCAGCAAATGGAATAGGAACAGGAGGGACATAGACCATGCCCAAGCTAAGGCCTTTGGACCTCACGTTTCCACCATCTTTCTTGCTCTTCCCCTCTGCCACCAGATTGAAGCTGCTTTTTCAGCCCGAGCCCCAGAATGAAGACACATGGAACAGAGTCACAAACAACCTGCAGCAGATATGTATGATGAACAAAAAAAAAAAAAACTTATGTTGCTATAAGCCATTGAGATTTTGGGATTGTTCATTACTACACCATAAACTAGCAAAAGCTGACTAATATAGAAGGCAATACTCACAGCTTTAAGGCCACCTCTGACAACCCAATGGGATAAGTGGCTCAGATGTGTCTCTTCAGATCAGCATTTGCAGTGCACGGGAGTCCCGTGGGAACTTATAAAACAGATTCCCCCTTCTTCTTTTTTTTTTTTTCCTTGAAATGGAGTCTCACTCTGTCACCCAGGCTGGAATGCAGTGGCACAATCTCGGCTCACTGCAACTTCTGCCTCCTGGGTTCAAGCGATTCTCCTCTCTCAGCCTCCCCAGTAGCTCAGACTACAGGCGTGAGCCATCATGCCTGGCTAATTTTTGTATTTTTAATAGAGACAGGGATTCACCTGTTGGCCAGGCTGGTCTTGAGCTCCTGACCTCAGGTGACCCACCCACCTCAGCCTCCCAAAGTGCTGGGATTACAGGCGTGAGCCACCGCAACTGGCCCCAGATTCCCCCTTCTGAGAATGAAGTCAGTTCATCTAAGGATGAGGCCCAGGAATTGGTATTTTTGACAAGCTGTGAAGACGACAGTGGCCTGTCCACAGACCATGCTTTAAGAGGCCCTGATCTAATGAGTCCACTGTTTTTGCTATCCACAACAATGTCCAGAGAGGCACAGCAACATGCCAAAGGTCACACAGCAAGGGGCTACACAAGAAATGAATCTCCACCTCATTTCCCTGAAGCACACTGTCCTTCCCCAGAGAAACGGTGGGGAGGTGGAAGGGGAAAGAGAGACTCACAGGTTGAAAAATGCAGCTCCAGAGAGAAACCAGTGGGAGGCCAAGGAATTCAAGTTGAGCCAGGGTCCAGGTTCCAGCTAAGAAGGGAGTGACCTGTGAGTGGATGAAGAGGCGGCTCCCCGGGGCCTTCGCTGGAAGAGGTGGGGAAAAGGATGTCAGATTACAGAGCAGGAGGCTGGAGGAAAGAGAAAGAAAATAAATAAATAAAAATAGAAAAGGGAAAAAAAAAAGCCCTCCAGCCCTGGTGAGCCCAAATATCCCCAGCCTCGCTGCAGGCACTGCCCCAGCCCTCTTCGATTTTGATGTACAGTTTGAAGCAAATCAATAGCAGTATAATAATACTCAGCACGCTGTGTAATTTTTATATCATTAGTTTTCATTTTCCGCTCCCCATGCATCAAAAAACTTACAACGGGCTCGTAAAGTTTATTTAGTATTCCATGAATTCCTAATCAGTTTCATTTCATAATGATTCAGGAGCCGCCCGCTGCCTAGGCCCCTGTGTCAAAAAATCGATAAAACCAACACAGTTTTCCTGATGGCGGCTGCAAAAGGATCTATTGTAGGGGAATTATGATTTATGCCCTGGCCTGAACCATGAGCAGCAGCCTCCACCCGGCGGCTCAGGGCTGAGGTCTTCGCCAATAATGATTTATGCACCTCTGAGGGCCCCACCCTAGTTCCCTTCCTGCCCTGGCTGGCCCCTGACACTGGGGGCAGCGGGGAGGGCCCAGTTGGGAGGGAAGGAGGAAGGAGAAGGCACAAGGGGAGGGCCTACTAATAGTCTGAGCATCCCTGCGTAGGTCCAGCATCTGCCTCTAAGTCCACCCACCATCCAGGAAGGCCTGATCAGAGTACAGAGGGATTTAGGGAGCCCTACCTGGTCCCAAAGAGCTGCAGAGGGAACATTCTGAACACAGGTGTGTGTGGGTGGAGCTGGGGTAACTCCAGCTCTCCATCTGTAATCCTCATTCCCACTCAGCCTCCGTTCTGACCCCACGGATGAGTTCTTGGCCCCTACCTTGCACCAATGACAGTCACCTCCACCTCCCCTGTCCCTGCCCCAGTGGCTCTGAGAAAGCTAAATGGGAAAGGGGTCCCAAGGGTCATGGTGGCCAGAGGGCCTCAGTTAGACCCCATGGGATGCAGACACAGCAGGCTTCCAGGAATTCTGAGGCTGTAATGAATGTTTCCAAGACTCCCAGGAGGAAACAAGGAGTGAACCTGAGAGGTTGTTCGGAGGTTCCAGCAGGCGAGTCGAGCTCCTGGTATACCCTTGACCAAAGAACAGTCCTCCTCTATCAGGGAAGGTCATCCTCTCCAAGTGTGCAGCTTCAGCAGGGACACACATGGAGCAGTGAGGGAGGACGGGGACACCCGCCTAGCCAGCCAGATCACCCAAATCAATCCTGGTGATCAACGGGGTGACAAATGTTGCAGCCAGATTGCCCTCATATCCAGGAATGAACTTGCCCCTTCTCTTCTCTGTGAGGCAGATTGGCTTGGTTTTCAAACCCCTGCATCCCCACCCAAAGCTCCCGTGCCCTTCCTCCACTGGTCATAATTAATAGATCTGGGAGACATGTTAATGGGATGGGTATTAAGTCCAACAATTGGTTTAATTAAGAGCAACTAACCTAGCTGGGATAGAGAGATCTCACGGTGACTTCATATGGGAGGGGATGCCCTGGTGTGACAGGAAGCCAACTGGGGCCACCAGTATGTCCACCCCCACCCACCATCTATCAGTGGGTTTCTCGGCCTCCACGTGGTGTCTGGGGAAGACTGGGGCTTCATTTAAGTGGGTTGAGAGAAGCAGAGGTTCAGGGGCTCATCTCCGCAGGACCTGTCCTGAGGCACCGTTGGCACTCCAGCCTTTGACTCTAGTTAGAATAGGTGGGCTTCTGGCCGGGCGCGGTGGCTCACGCCTGTAATCCCAGCACTTTGGGAGGCTGAGGTGGGCGGATCACAAGGTCAGGAGATCGAGACCATCCTGGCTAACATGGTGAAACCCCGTCTCTACTAAAAATACAAAAAATTAGCCAGGCGTGGTGGTGGGCGCCTGTAGTCCCAGCTACTTGGGAGGTTGAGGCAGGAGAATGGCGTGAACCCAGGAGGCGGAGCTTGCAGTGAGCTGAGATCACGCCACTGCACTCCAGCCTGGGTGACAGAGCAAGACTCCGTCTCAAAAAAAAAAAAAAAGAATAGGTGTGCTTCCTCCTGACACCTTCATTTGTTTTTCATTCATTCACTCATGAAACATCAGGGAGACACCTCGAAGCCGCTTGCTTTATTATGCAAAGAGAAGAGAAGGGACTTGCCTGGCGCCACGCAGATGCAGAGTGGCAAAGCCAAGATTCCAGGCAAGATTCGCCAGGTCTGACAACAAGCAGTGTCTGCCCATCCCGTCCCAGTGAGCCCCACAATCTCCTCACCGGCTGCCTGTGCTCCTCTCTCCAGCCTACTTTGAGGGGTTGGGGGAACAGAGCATGACAGCCGCTCTCCTTCCATGTCCATCCATCACCCCATGCACATGGCAGTTTGGAAAGAGCCCAGACTTTGGGGCCAGACCTGGATTCGAATCCTGGTTTCCTCCACTCACCAGCTGAGTGACCCTAGACAATTTAATTAACCTGAGTCTGGCTTTCCTCACGTGTAAAATCAGAGTCATAATTTCTGCCCCACAGATGGTAATGAGTCAAAAGAACAGCAGATATAAAATACCCACCCCCATGAGGCCCCTGATAGATGCTTCCTGCCCTTCCCCCGCTCCCTCGTTGCCTCTAAGCCTCACTTCTCCCCAGAGAATCATCTATCTGGTGCTGGGAGTGAAAAGGGGGCCTGGGTCTGTCTCCCCTCCTCCCAGGATTAATCAGAAAACCAAAAACCGGCCAGGATTTGGCATCAGTGGGCTAGGGCTGTGCCACTGTTCATTGCACTGTGGCAGAAGGAGAGGAGCCCAGCCTCATCTACACAAATCTGAGCCAAAGCCCCTGCCAGCACCTCGGTTTCCCCATCTGTGAGACAGAGGCATGATTCCTTCTAAGGCTGAAGCCTGGCAGTTCACTGACCTGGGAATCGTGTTCCAGGAACCAGCAGCTTCTCCCAGGTCAGGAGTCAGAGAGTAGAGGGGCTGGGGTGAAGCATGAGACTCCCTGGATGTGGGGTGGGAGAAGGGGAGGGCCCCTGGCCTGGGGAAGCTCTAACTGCCCCCTCTCCATCCCCAAAAGAGACAGAGGCCTGCTCCCCATGAAGCAGAGTCCAAATTCTTCCCCCATGGAAATGGAGGCCCTTGAGGCTGGCTGCCACTCCAGAGCAGCCCGGTCAGGATCTGCAACTTCAGACTCAGCCTGTCTCCCTGGGCTCCTTCCTCCACTCCCTGCTCTGTCTCTGTCTTCTCTAGTGAGTTTCCTGTCCTTCTGTCTCTTCCCCTCTATTCCTTCCCCACCACCCGCTTCCCTCTGGGGAAAATAAGCACTTGGTTGTATAAGGCCAGAGGGGTTCTAACACCGCTCCACCAACTGGCAGTGCTGAAAGCCCTGAGATTTACTGCTCCCCTTTCTGCTGCCGGGTCCCCAGTTTGTCCCTCAGCTGTTCCATCACCCCTGGGCCTAGTGACAGTCCTACTGGGAAGGTAGCAAAGTGCGGCAGGAAGCTGATCAGCGGCCAGCTCAGGCCCACAGCGGGACATCCATTAGGATCCAGCACTTCAGGGTGAACCCCAGCCTGTCTCTGGGAGCCGAGGGATGGGGACCAGAAGCACCAATCCATCTCTCTGTTCCCTGCGCCAGACCCTGCAAACACACATAGGCTCTGCAACCCTGAGGCCAGCTCTGCTTTTGAGCTCTGCTTCCTGCTCCCTCTTTCTCTGTCCCTGATCTCACCTCTTATTCTACTAGAGACAGAGCCAGCCAGGCCCAGGGGGCCATGTCAGGGACTTGGTCTCAGCTGCTCCAGCCCCTTGATGAAAGGGAAAGGGCCCAACTCAGGCATCAGCTGTTTCACCTGTGAAATGGGTTCAATGAGAGTTTACGTGTCAGAGGAAAAGGCCACGGTTGGACAATGTGCCGGAGGATTGTGACTCCTTATTTAACAATCCTCTATTGTCACTGCACAGACCTCAGTCCCCAAGACTGTGGGCCCAAGCAAGGACTCTCCCAGGGTGACTACACCTTACAAAGCTCCCCAGCTGGCAGAGTCCCTGATGATCAAGACCTCATTCAGGGGGCACAGAGGGTCTCAAAGGAAACAGGAAAACAGAGAGTAGGACCCAAAGGCATCGTGTCCCATGGTGGGAGGGTGTCACTGAGGCAGGAGGGAGCCGGGGTTCTGGGGTCAGAGGAAACTGAGTTTGGAGGGGATGTGGCCACCTGCCAGTGGAAGGGCATTGGACCAGGAATTTAACCTCTGGGGATCTCGGTTGCTCATTTGCAGATATGACAATACACATGAGATCCCAGGAGCGCCCTGTGGAATCACCAGCAAGTGACAGCATGGAAGGCACAGGAAGGGGTTTGGAGGCAGAAGCAGGTGCGTTTGCACTGCAGCTGGTTGACTGTCTTCCCACGTGACCTTCAGCTAGTTACCTCTGGGCTCAAAGCTGCGTCTTCTTCATCTGTAACATGGGAGTGATTGTCACATCTCTCTCACAGGGTGGTTTGTGCAGGTTACAGATGGTTGTGCATCCTTTAGAACACAGAGGTGGCACCCAACAAGTGTTCCTTGTAACTTCCGTGGCCTGGGCACAGTGCCTTGGCACAAGAGAGGGGTTCAATAAATGTTTTTTCAGGCCAGGTGCGGTGGCTCATGCCCGTAATCCCAGCACTTCGGGAGGCCAAGGCGGGTGCATCTCCTGAGGTCAGGAGTTCGAGACCAGCCTGACCAATATGGTGAAACCCCGTCTCTACTAAAAATACAAAAATTAGCCAGGCATGTTGGTACATGCCTGTAATCCCAGCTACTCTGGAGGCTGAGACAGGAGAATTGCTTGAACCCAGGAGGCAGAGGTTGCAGTGAGCCAAGATAGCACCACTGCACTCCAGCCAGGGCAACAGAGTGAGACTCTGTCTCAAAACCATAAATAAATAAATGTTTTTTCAGTTTATTATGGGTGTGGGTGGGGAACAGGTTTATTATGGGGGACCCATGAGGTAACCCAACTGAATAGTGAAGGGTGGACTCTATCTGCTCAGGCCAAGAACATCTGCAAACACATTTGTAGACACCGATCATTTCTGGGTCCCCAGAGAAGAACAGGGACTTGGGTCTCCATCTGGCAATTAAAGAAACTGACACCTAGAGAGGTTTGGTGAATTTTTTTCAAGGTCTCCCAGAAAGGGTGAGTCAGAAATGTCAGAGGCATGTGAACCAGAGCAATTCCATCTTGAATAGGAGGTGGGTAAAAGGAGGCTGAGACCTACAGGGCTGCATTCCCAGATGGTTAAGGCATTCTAAGTCACAGGATAAGACAAGAGGTTGCTACAAGATACAGGTCATAAAGACCTTGCTGATAAAACAGGTTGCAGTAAAGGAGCTGGCCCAAACCCACCAAAACCAAGATGGCGACAAGAATGATCTCTGGTCGTCCTTACTCCTACACTCCTAGCAGCGCCACGACAGTTTACAAATGCCATGGCAACATCAGGAAGTTACCCTATATGGTCTAAAAGGGGGAGGCATGAATAATCCACCCCTCGTTTAGCATATCATCAAGAAATAACCATAAAAATGGGCAACCAGCAGCCCTTGGGGCTGCCCTGTCTATGGAGTAGCCATTTTTTTTTTTTTTTTTTGAGATGGAGTTTTGCTCTGCTGCCCAGGCTGGAATGCAATGGCATGATCTTGGCTCACCGCAACCTCTGCCTCCTGGGTTCAAGCTATTCTCCTGCCTCAGCCTCCCAAGTAGATGGGATTACAGGCATGCGCCACCATGCCCGGCTAATTTTGCATTTTTAGTAGAGACGGGGTTTCTCCACATTGGTCAGGCTGGTCTTGAACTCCCAACCTCAGGTGATCCGCCCGCCCTGGCCTCCCAAAGTGCTGGGATTACAGGCGTGAGCCACTGCGCCCGGCCTGGAGTAGCCATTCTTTTATTCCTTTACTTCCTTAATAAACTTGCTTTCACTTTATGGACTCCCCCTAAATTCTTTCTTGTGTGAGATCCAAGAACCCTCTCGGGGTCTGGATTGAGACCACTTTCTGGTAACAAAACTAATGCCAGACCACCCAGTGCCACCCGGTTGGGACTCCAGGCTCTGGAGCAAGCTGCCCCCTCCTGCCTTCCCAGACAGTTCATGATAGCAGTCACCACTTACTGTGTGAGTCCCTATGCCCGGGGCTTGGCTAAATACTATAAAGCGCTTATCTCATTTAGCATGCTCACTGGCTATGAAACAGCTTTTTCCTCACCCTCATTTTACAGATAAGGAAACTGAGGCACAGGGCGTTAAGGGGCTTGTCCAAAGTCACTCTGTTCACAAGTGACGGGGCCTGAACTATAAGCTCTGATATCTGAAGCCTGTGAACTTGATCTCTAACTGCACCAGCAGAATCAGAGGTAGTCTGTCCATCCAAACACAGGCTGGTGGTTCCCTGCATTGGTCAACCTGCCAATCCCCCTGCCTCGCTGAAGGGCCAACCCTCAACTCTTCTCAGGCTCAGGCCTACCAGGTGTGAAGGGAGCCTCAGCTCCTGACCAGCTCCTGAGTGTCCCAGGGAAGAAGGCAGCACGGGCTCCCTGTGTCCTGCCACCCTGGGCTTTCAGAACCCGCATGCTTCCCACAGTCTAACCTAAATCCTTTCGCTTCAGGGGCAGTCCTGGGCACCTCTCACTTCCACCATCATTCTTGTCATCCACCCCTAACCTAGTACAGCCTCTAAGAAATGGGGCCAGTGGCCCCACTGGGAGAAGGTGCCTGGTGCAAGGACTGGACCTCTCCCTGCCCTCGAGTCCCCACAGTAATGCCCAGGCTTTGTAGTCACTGGGCCGGAGCTCCCACCCTGGTTCCATCTGCATTCCTTAGCCCATGTGACACTGAGCAAGGAGATTCCTTCACCTTCCTGAGCCTCAGTTTCCTGCTCTGTAAAATGGCACCAATCATCCTTATTGTCATGAAACTCAGACGTCACAATGGGCTGGAAGGTCTGAGCAGAGTGCTCCTGGAGCACATGGCAGGATCGCAACCAATGCTGCTCTCTGCCTTCTCCTCTCCCTCCTCCTCCTCCTCTACCTCCTTCTCCTTCTCTTCCCATTGTATTTCACCCACCAAGAAACTCCAAACCCAAGCATCTTTGGGCATCAAGCTCCTCCTCCACCCTACATCCTCCCTGATTTCTCCCTGCTAGGGAGGGCAAAGGCAGGTGTGTGGTGACCCTTTCTTTTCTTCCCACCTTCCCCGGAGGCCTCAGTGGGGGTAACTGAGGGTGAAGTTGGTTCCAATGGAACGGAAGGCACAGCCTTGAGGATTGGGCTGTGTTTGAGGGTCAGAGGGTCCCTCTCCTAGGCTACCCAGCAGCCTGACAGGGGCTGTGGTGGGGAGACACAGTATGTCACATGCAAGAGGTGGTAGATCATTTGCTCCTCCACTTTATAGATGAGAAAGCTGAGGCCTAGCAAAAATAAGAGGCTCAGCCCAGGACACACAGCTGGGAGGAGTCTGGGCTCAGCTGGAGCCACCAGCCTGCCTCAGCGAAAGTAGAAAGTTCTTGTGCTTCCTGCTTCAGAATCAACATCTTTACTCTCCAGTGTGGAAGACCAGCTCCTCATCCTGCCAATCTGAGCCAGCTGGCATTTCAGAGGCCAAGACAACTGGCCTTAAATCGTAAACCCTAATACAGCCATGACTAAAATTGCCCTCCACCCAGTGCAGACCCTCCTTCAGGTCAGGTCCTGCAGAGGAAACCACACATTTGATTGCTCTCCTGTATGCACAGCTGCAGGTCAAATTGCATTACGCCAAGAGCCATTATAACAAAAGTGACAGGGCTACCAAAACTTTGCCAAAACCAGCCCAGGAGGCATCCACCAGCTCCAATACTGCCTCCTTGAAGTCTCGGGAAGAGTGCTGATCTGCAGGTCCCCATATGGGAGCTTTATGGCTCAGAGAGGGCACACAGAGAGGAAGTGGTGAACAGCCCATGTGACTCTGGCCACAAAACCTCCAAGGCTCCTTCCATGCCCCAGTCCTTCTTGAGCCACACCCTGACACAAGTACCTGGGACAGAGGGACTGATGCACTCCGAGAGGAACACACAAGGTGGGCGGGGCTTGTACTTATGTGCCCTGGCAAATGTGCCCTGGCAAATGTTACACAAAAGTGGAACACGGCGCCTCCATCAATACACACGCATGTGGCCTGTACACAGGCACACACTGTCATGCACACACAGGCATTAGGGCAGCAGTTCTCAACCTGGGTGCACACTAGACTACTGTGGAGCTTTAAAACACACCTGTGTCCAGCCCCACCCCCTGGGATGCTGATGGAATGAATGTGGGTCACCTATTGCTGCATACCAAATAACCCCCCAAAATTTAGCACCTTAAAAGAACAACAAACATTAGCTCACACGGTTTCTTTTTTTTCTTTTGTTTTTTAAATTATTTCAATAGTTTTGGCAGAACAGGTGGTGTTTGGTTCCATGGATAATTTCTTTAGTGGTGATTTCGGAGATTTCGGTGGATCCATACCCCGAGCAGTGTACACCGCACCCAGTGTGTAGTCTTCTATCCCTCATCACTCCCGCCCTTTCCCTGAGTCCCCAGAGTCCACTGTTTCATTCTTATGCCTTTGTGTCCTCATAGCTTAGCTCCCACTTATAAGTGAGGACATACGATGTTTGGGTTTTCCACTCCTGAGTTACTTCACTTAGAAGAGTGGTCTCCAATTCCATCCAAGTTGCTGCGAATGCCATTATTTCTTTCCTTTTTATGGCTGAGTAGTATTCCATGGTGTGTGTGTGTGTGTGTGTGTGTGTGTATATATATATATATATATATCTCACATTTTCTTTATCCACTTATTGGTTGATGGTCATTTAGGAGCTTACATGGTTTCTGAGGTCAGAAATCCAGGAGCAGCTGAGCCAGGTGGTCCTGACTCAGGATCTCTCCTGAGGTTGGAGTTCAGACGTCAGCCCAGGCTGGAGCACCTGCTTCAAGATGACTCAATGCCACCAGCAAAAGGCTTCATTTCCTGGCCACATGGGCCTCTGCACAGGGCTGCTTGAGTGTTTTCATGACCCGTCAGTTGGCTGCCTTCTGAGCAAGAGATCCAAAGCAGTGCAGAGAGGAAGCCTCAGTACCTTCCCTGCCCTAACCTCCTAAATCACACCACTTCCGCTGTGTTTGTGTTTTAGAAGGAGCCCACACTCTAGGGGAAGAGAATTAGACTCCATCTTCAGAAGGGAGGAGGCTCAAAGGATTTGTGGATCTACTTTAAAACCATCACAGCATGTGAGGTGAGGCCAGGGCACTGGGATTTTTAAACACCCACAGGTGACTCCAGCGTGCAGCCAGGGCTGAGACCTACTGTCTTGCAAAGTCACCAATCAGAGGTGGAGACTACAGATTCAGCAAGACATGACTTCAAGGTACGCCAGCCACCCAGGCCCTCCATCCCCAGGGAAGCTCACTTCAGTGGCCTCAGCCCAGCTTCCATCCTTCCCTGGCCCTTCCCTGACCCCTCGCAGCTCACATCTCCTGGAGACCTTCTCAGAGACCCCCACCCCCAGGCTCCAGGCCATGTCCCAGCCCAGCAACACCCCTGCACTAGCTGTTCCTAGGACTGGTTTCAGGCCTGTGCGCATGTGTGGGTTTGTGTGAGTGCCCATGTATGCACACGTGTATATGCATGTACCCACACAGGCCCATCTCCTCACAGGCCAGGACTCCCTGACAAGGTGACCACATCCTCTCTTCTCCTCACCCCTCCTCTGTCTTCTTCTCTTCCTTCCTTTTTTTTTTTTTTTTTTGAGATGGAGTCTCACTCTGTCGTCCAGGCTGGAGTGCAGTGGTGCGATCTCAGCTCACTGCAACCTCCACCTCCCAGGGTCAAGTCCACCTCCTGCCTCAGTCTCCCAAGTAGCTGAGATTACAGGTATGCGCCACCCTACCTGGCTAATTTTTGCATTTTTAGTAGAGACAAGGTTTCACCATGTTGGCCAGGCTGGTCTTGAACTCCTGACCTCAAGTCATCTGCCTGCCTCGGCCTCCCAAAGTGCTGGGATTGCAGGCGTGAGCCACCACACCTGGCCTCTTCCTTTCTTTCCCTTTCTCTCCCCGTCCTTCTCTTCCCTCTCCTTTCTTTTCTCACTCTTGACTTTTCCCTTTCTCTGTCTCCCGCAGGTCTCTCCTTTCTGATCTTGGGATCTCACACCCTCATCCTCTTGGCCGCCAGGAGGCTCCCCGGCTCATCTGTGATGATCCTGATGCTGTAACATGCACAGGAGCAACTCAGAGTGACCAGGGAGTGGACTGGGACCTCCCTGCCTGCTGACCTCCAAGGACTTTCCAGGCCCACTCTGCTTGTCCTCCAGCCCCAGCCACTCCTCCAGGCCACCCTGGGGTCTCAGGTAGGGCCACCTTCCTCCTATATCACCTGCCTCACCCAAGGCCCCCCACTCCCAGGAAGTCAGGAGCTGAGGGGCAGTGGCAGGAGCCGGGAGAGGAGCCAGTCCACTCCCAGACGCCTCTGTCTCTCTCTAGGGTCCTGGCCTGCCGGCTTCCCACGTGCTCCTTCCTCTCCATATTCCCTCTCTCTCTGTTTCTCTCTGTCTTTCTGTCTCTGTCTCCATCTGTCCCTTTCTTTCGCTCCAGCTTTCTCTTGGAGATCTCCTGGCCAGAGCTCCTAAGGCTGCAGAAATCAGAAGGCTGCCCCTCAAGAGGACAGCAGCTCTGCCCTAGTAATGAGGAGGAAGGATAACTCTTCTCAGGAATTAATGAGACCACCAAGAACAAAAGAGGCGACCAGCAGAGGCCAGAGAGGCAGGGCCGCGTTAAGCCATCCCCGCAGAATCGCATGCCAGCAATAATAGAGTCAGGAAAAATGGAGTCGAGATCCCTGTGGTAAAAACTATTAGAGGAGGCGAATTATAAAACTATTAACCAGAATGTAACTCCCAATTAAAAGATGATTTAACACTGGAACCTGATGGATGAATTTTGATTAAATGGAGAACTATTAGGAGCCCAGGGATAAGGCTGTTCCTGCCAGTTCTAAAAGTTAAAAGGCAGTTTGATATAAAAATTTATAAATTAAGGTTAATTACTTTAAATAACACGGCTGGAAGCAATGAAAGGAAATTTGTCAGAATCTCCAGAGTTTGGGGCAAGATGGATACAGATGTCTGGACTGGCCCCAGGGAGCCTGGAGGTCAGGGCAGGGATGGTCAAGGCCAGCAAAAGGGCAGGTGACGTCCGTGCTCCTGCAGAACCCCACCAAGAAGTGAGGGGCTGGCTGAGGCACCAGACTGGGGATGCCCCCAATATTCCCCACCAGACCCCACCAGTGGGAATCTCCAGGCCTTGCCCCAGGATTTCCTGAGCACTTGGCATGGGTGGTGGGCAGGTCACTCTGCCTCAGTCCTGCCCCAGCTGAAGAGGCGTCACCACCACCCCCATGCCCAGCCATGTCCTGCCAGGCCTGCTCCACACCCTCCATTCCGGTGACACTGGCCTGCAGGATGAGGAGGATCTGCAGGGGGCAGGCTGCTCTTCTCTGATGCTCCAGGGCTGTGGGCTATGACCACCCCACAGGGCCATACTCCTGCCTCCACGGCGCCCTGCACCAGAGTCCCAGATTCTCCCTGGAGCTGCAGATCTGTGCTTCAGAAGGCCAGGGCACTGCCCACACTCGATATCTGACCCTTTACAGGTCAAGGCTCTGCCTGGGTACCTCATCCCCTTCCCAAAACCCCATCCCTGCCCCTAGGCGATTTCTCAGCATGCCAAGGGGTGGCCCTGTGGTTGGCCTGGTCCTGTCCTAGCAGTTGGGAGAGAACCATACTTGGCTCACAGCTACAGCCAGACCTCAAAGGGTCCAGGAGAAATTGATGTAAGGCTTGCCCAGTGATTAGGGCATGGGCACTCGAGCCAGACTCCTTGGGTTCAAGCTCCAGCTCCAACCCTTAGCAACCTACGTCTTCAGGACTTGCAGTTCTTCATCTGTAAACTGGAGATAATACCCTCTCCTTGCAGGATGGTTGTGCAGATGAGAGGTAAAGCCCTCACAGGTAGTATGTGCTCAATAAATGGCAATGATTCTCACCATCTGTGTCTCATCTTAGTAAGAAATGCAATTGTCTGCCAGGTGCCACTGAGAGCTTCCTGCATGCAAGCACATGGTAACCACGTGGCAGGCATAAGGGCAAAATACCTTATTTCATCTTCTCAGCACCCTTTGAAGTCAGTCATGTCATAATTCTCATTCACAGAAGAGAAAACTGAGGCACAGGGAGGTGTGGTCACAAGCCTCAGGCCTTGAAACTGGCAGCGGCCAAGCCAGGACTTGGGTCTTTCAGCTCCTGACCCCATCGCTCCTTGCCTTCTAGGGCACTGTTTGGCAGGCATTTACATTTACTCTGGCTGTGCCTCTCACTATAAACCCCAGATGGTATTTGGAATGAGAGCCAATAGGAAAGAAGGGAGACATAAAGGGGTTAGAGGAAGGAAGGAAGGAAGGGAAGGGAAGGAGGGAGGGAGAAGGAATGATCTGTGCTTCAGGAGGCCTGGGCACTGCCCACACTCAACATCTGACCCTTTACAGCTCAAGGCTCTGCCTGGGTACCTTGTCAGAGGAAAGAGGAAGGGAGAGAGGGAAGGAAAGAGGTAGCCAGGCTTGGTGGTGCACCTGTAATCCCAGCTACTCAGGAGGCTGAGGCAGGAGAATTGCTTGAACCTGAGAGATGGAGGTTGCAGTGAGCCAAGATCATGCCACTGTACTCCAGTATGGGTGACAGAGTAAGACTCTGTTTCAAAAAAAAAAAGAGGGAAGGAAAGAGGAAGGAAGGGAGGGAGGAAGGAAGGAATGAGAAAGAGCAGGGCAGGACGGAGGGAGGAAAGGGAAAGTCTTGTGGATTGGTTTGTATGTTTTTAATAAATCTCTCTGAAGGTGTCATGTTTCTGAGACAGGTGCTAATAACACAGATATTTTTATTTTGTAAAAATTCATCCCTCTGTGTGTACTCACTCATGCTCTTTTCTTTATGTAAAATATTGATTATAATAAACAGTTTTCATATAAATATAATGGGTGAATTTTATGGTACACAAACTATACCTCAATAAAGCTGTGTTTTAAAAAATAAATATAGTACACCAAAAAAAAAACCCAACCCTTTGCACAGTATATAATATAGACTAGGTATCAAAAGACCAAGAGAGGCCCCGAGTAGCTAAGTGGTTGCCCTGGGATGAGGCCATCAGAGAGGGTTTCTCAGAAGGGAGGTCTATAGAGCCAAGCCCTGTGGGAAAGGAGGCAGGAGAGGCTGGGGCAGGGCATACCACATGCCCCTGGCCAAATCGCTTCCCCTCCAATCCTCTCTCACTTTCCTCCAAGAACAAGGCTGGGAAGGGGAGAAAGGGAGGACAACCTGAGAAGGACAGCCCAGGCAAAAGGTTGGAGCAGAGAACAGAGGTGATCCAGGCACAAGGAACGTGAACCCTAAAGGCTTAAACTGCCCTGAGCACAAGAAAGGAATCAGGGCACTTAACATCGGGGGAGAATGAGGAGGGCAATGTCCTGAAAAAATTCCCAAATAACATAGGCAGAAAGTAACATTGCAATTGAGGCAAAGCTTATAATGATAATGATGGTGATGATCCCTTTTTTTTTTTTTTTTTGAGATGAAGTTTCACTTTGTTGCCCAGGCTGGAGTGCAGTGGTGCCATCTCGGCTCTCTGCAATCTCCACCTCCTGGGTTCAAGTGATTCTCCCACCTTGGCCTCCCAAGTAGCTGGGATTACAGGTGCCCACCACCATGCTCAGCTAATTTTTGTATTTTTAGTAGAGACATGGTTTTGCCATATTGGCCAGGCTGGTCTGGAACTCCTGATCTCAAGTGATCTGCCTGCCTCGGCCTCCCAGAGTGCTGGGATTAGAGGCATGAGCCACTGCGCCTGGCCCCCCAACCCTTTTTTTTTTTTTTTGAGACAGGATCTCACTCTGCCACCCAGGCTGGAGTGCTGTGATGCGATCTTGGCTCACTGCAGCCTCCACCTCCTGGGCTCAATCAATCCTCCCACCTCAGCATCCTGAGATGTTGGGACCACAAGTGTGCACCACCATGCCTGGCTAATTTTTAAATTTTTTGTAGAGACAGGGTCTCCCTATGTTGCCTGGGCTGGTCTTGAACTCCTGGGCTTAGGCAATCCTCCTGCCTTGGCCTCCCAAAGTGCTGAGATTACAGGCATGAGCCTCTGCAACCAGCGGATGATCCCATTTATGATGTTAGTAACATTGCTGCTGTCTTCATGATTGTTGTTGTCAGAAAAGCAGCAGGATGAAGTACATTTCCCAAAGTGAGCTCCAAGGAACACTTCTCCCCCAAGATTCTTTCTCCTCAACTAACTTGTTCACAGCAAAGATTTTGTTCATACTAACTCTGCTCTGCTCTTGGGACTACCCAGTGTGCAAAAGTATAATAAAGGCTCTGATAAGTTCTGCAGCAAATAGTCTGTTTAACTTTGTTGCAAACAGCCTTCCCTAAGCAGAGTTGATCACAGAAACCTCCTTTTTCATACTTATTATCACCCCAGGAATTGAGGCTTTGTGGCTCACACTCTGAGGAAGGAGGAGGAGAGCCTGAGCTCTGAATCAGACAGGCTGGGTTCCGTTTCAGCCTGTTTCACCGTGGCCTTAGGTAATTTGTTTAACCCCTCTGTGCCTCAACTTCCCTGGCTGTAAAATGGAGGAAATAATGCCTGTCTCATAAGGTTATGGTGAAGCTTCAATTAAATTTGGCACATTGGCCAGGTGCAGTGGCTTGCGCCTTAATACCACCACTTTGGAAGGCCGAGGTGGGCGGATCACTTGAGGTTAGGAGTTTGAGACCAGCCCGGCCAACATGGTGAAACCCCGTGTCTACCAAAAATACAAAAATTAGCTGGGCATGGTGGCAGGCACCTGTAATCCCAGCCGCTCTGGAGGCTGAGGCAGGAGAATCACTTGAACCCAGGAGGTGGAGGTTGCAGTGAGCCGAAATTGCGCCACTGTACTCCAGCCTGGGCGACAAAGCAATACTCTGTCTCAAATATACATATATGGCACATGACAGGTATTCAACAAATGTTTGTTCACCCATTTTACAGATGAACTCACTTGCCAGGAATGCATAAGCAGCGAATAACAGCCAGGGCTGGGATTCAAGTCTAAGTTTTGCTGTTTGGTGGGGAAGGTGGGGACCCCTGCCTGCTGTTGGATGTGGGACTAATGAGTCTTTGTAGCCAAGGAGTCACCCTCTGAAGCATAAAGGATTCAGGATTACTTCCTGAAAGCATAACACAGCACAAGCCCTGGACCATCGGGGACTGAGTCATGACTCTGCCACTTACAAGTCACTTAACTGCTTAAGAAAGGTCACTTAACTCCTTGGGTTTCTGATCAGTAAAGTGGGGATAAAAATAGTACCTTTACATGGAGTTACCGTGAGGCAGAAATGAGTCAATGCAGGTAAAGTGCTTAGAATAGAGATTGACATGTGGTAAACCCTCAATACATGTGAGCTTTTGTTATTATTTCTGTTACTATTCTTTGTGGGGCCCCCAGTCAATTGACGGGAGATAGGGATGCAAAATATTCTTTTTCCCAAGGGGTCCTGGAAAGCAGGCATGACAGTCCCTGTCTGCTAGGATCCTGTCTCCTGGCTCCATCCTTCTACAGATTCCAGCCCTGCCTGAGCCCCTTCCTTCGGCTATGGGGATCTCACTAATGACATCTACCCTGATGGGGCTGCCCACACCAAGCATGAGCATATTAAGCCATTCTCGATTTGCTATAAAAAAAATACCTGAGATGGGGTAATTTATAAAGAAAAGATGTGTAATTGGCTCAGAGTTCTGCAGGCTGTATAGGAAGCATGGTGCTGGCACCTGCTCAGCTTCTAGGGAGGCCTCAGGACACTTACAATCATGGCAGAAGGTGAAGGGGGAGCAGGCACGTCACATATGAAAGCAGGAGCGAGCCAGAGAATGGGGTAGGGGAGGTGCCACACACTTTTAAATGACGAGACCGCACGTGGACTAACTGATCCAGAGCTTGCTTATCACCAAGGGGATGGCCCAAGCCATTCATTAGGTATCCGCCCCCATAATCCAAACACCTTCTACCAGGGCCCTATCTTCAATACTGGGGATTGCACTTCAACATGAGATTTCAGCAGGGACAAATATCCAAACTATATCAGTGAGCCTGTGACTGGCCCGTCCTCAGAGGCTTCATCTCGCTAAAGAGCTACTGACCCCATTCTCACCTCCAGCTTGCATTTGAACAGTGAACTTGACCCTTCAAATCACTGTCATGTCTGCAGCATCCTCTGAGAGGAGCAGAATGGGCATTTGCATCCACAACTTATGAAGGAGAAACTGAGGCACACAGTGACGTTCAGGGACTCCCCTGCAGCCAAATGGGGCCTAGAACCCAGGTTTCCTGACCTGAAAGCCTGGGCTGCTTCCCACCGTATTATGCTGAGCCAAGCCCCACCCCTCACTCACTAAATGAAGTGATTCTTAGTTAATAAAGGTGCCCACTTCCCAATAAGGCTACCCATGCCAACGGGAGGAGGCTCACTGGTACAGCAATGGAGGTCATCCATGGTGACAAGTCCTCATGGTCAGCAATCCAATGGCCCCGGCCCACCCTGCTGCACGTCTCCCAGACCCTCCCATTCCCTCCCATCTCAGGCTTCACAAGAGGGCTTCCCCAGGCTAACGAATCAAACTGTCATCTGGCTCCTAATAGCTACAGAGACCTTGGCCTGGGTCACCTCTGACCCCAAGGACATAGCTAAGCTGATATACTCATTTTCTAGCCCAATGAGCCTACTACGTCTCCCACAGCAGGGCACTCAATGGCCATGGTGGCCCCACGCTAAGATGTAGCTCTCAGATTAGAGGTCAAGAGTTACAGTTCTGAGTCAGGGCCAGATCTACCTTTTTCCCTCTCTTCCTCCTCCTCATTCTCTCCCTTCGGTGTTCCTAAATTCTCTGAAGCTTAGTTTTCTCATCAGTTCAGGTGGCATCCAGTTCAGGTTGCTATGTGTAAATGTAGCTCCTGGCCCAGGGCAGGCATTGGCCTCCCCTGGCAGGCATTGGTTATGCTCAAGTGACAGCATAACCTGTGTAGTTCTGGGTCACCCTGTGGCCAGTCTCTATATGGTGCTGCATTCAGAGAAGACATCAGTCCATCACCACAGGACACTGAAATGCAGCTCCAGTTCTGACCAAAGCATCTATAAATGGGCATTTACATTCCTAAAACAAATCCCAACTTCTTAGAGTCCTATTTTTCCATCTCCTGCTCCCTCTGGCAGCATGGTCACGGTGTCTCAGTCTCCCCACAACCTTCACCAGCCTCAGCCCCAACAGCGGCCTGGTTCTCCCCGCGCTCCCTTCTGCCTTTATCCACTTCTATCCTTTTCACCTGGGAGAAATACTCTGCTTTGCCTGATGGAAACTAATCTGAGATTTGGGGGCTTCTTTCAATTTTCCTCCCTCCCCAGCAACTGGGGCCCACAGCAGACCAAACACACAGAAACTTCCTTGGAGGGAGACGCAGCACAAAGGCTGGGAATCCTTGGATGTGAATTGTTTTGGTACTGAATAGGTGGTTGTTATTAGCAGGCACAGACACACACTTATCGCTGCCATCCACGATCTCCTCCTCCGGGAGCTTACAGTCGAGTTGAGGAAAGAACTTGAAATAATTTGACAACTTGGAACTCTGAACTGCACATAACAGACACACCTCTGGAAGGAGTGGTCAGGGAAAGTGCTCCAGGCTGGGAAAGACTTGAGCTGAGTCACACACACACACAGTAGGCATTCGACTGGGGGTTGAGTGAGGGATTCATGGAGAGGGCACACGCAGATGAGAAAAGACACCAGGAACAGACTTGAGAGGCAAGGCCAGAAAGGACGGCTGGGATCAGATCACATCGGGGCTGGAGAGCAGCCTTGAGATCTGGGCTGCTGCCTGGCGGGGGTCACGCAGAGCCATGGAAGGTCTTGGAGCACAGGAATAAAGCAATCGAATCTGCTGTAGGAAGCTAACTGGTGGCCAGAGGAGGAAGGTGGGAGGCCGGGTGAGGGGGCTGAAGGCCAGCTGAGGGCAGGGCTGTGGGGCTGGAAGTGAAGGACTGGGTTCAAGTGTTGACCATGACCGGACAGGGACAGAGGTGGGGAAGGGAAGGGGGAGACCTGGTTCTAGGCAATGACTGCCCCTGCCCACCTGCCTCTGTCAACTTCTGTGGCCCCACTTCCTCAGTCCTTTCCCAACTCTAGCTAAACCCTCTAGACCTGTGTGCTTCTCCCACCCCCCATCTCTCCCTTGGGGACCCCGGGTACTTGTCAGTGGCCTCACTCCTCACCACACTCCACACTCACTCTTTACTGCCTTGAAAGCTCCGAGGAGTTTCTCCAAAGCTAGCGGCGCCCAGGCTGTTGGAGCTGGCCATGAGGTGCTGCCCCTCCAAGTCATGTGGGGAAGCTGAGCCCACCCAACTCACAGGTAATCAAGGCCCGTGTATGAGAGTTCAGGGGTGAGAGCATGGGCTTCAAAGCCAAACCACCTACGACTGGGTCCTGACTCTGCCAACTGCTAATTATGTGACCTCAGACAAACTAATTAACCTCCCAGACTCAGTTTCTCCATCTGTACAATGGGGGCAGTGGCGGTTCCTGACTCAAAGGGCTGTTGTAAGCATTGAAAGAGTTAATAACATGCGAAGCCTTTAGCACAATTCCAGGCACGCAGCAAGTACTCAATAAATATTGACTCCTTTGTTGGTTTTTTTTTTTTTTTGAGACAGAGTCTCGCTCTGTTGCCCAGGCTGGAGTGCAGTGGCATGATCTCGGCTCACTGCAAGCTCCGCTTCCCCGGTTCACGCCATTCTCTTGCCTCAGCCTCCTGAGTAGCTGGGACTACAGGTGCCCGCCACCACGCCCGGCTAATTTTTTGTATTTTTAGTAGAGACAGGGTTTCACCTTGTTAGCCAGAATGGTCTCGATCTCCTGACCTCGTGATCCTCCCACCTCAGCCTCCCAAAGTGCTGGGATTACAGGCGTGAGCCACCATGCCCAGCCTAATATTTACTCCTTTGTATAGAACAAGTCCCGTGACAGACACTAGGGAGACACAATGTATAAAGCAGGTTCCCTGCTATCATAGAACTAACAGGACATGCAAAGAAACAAATGCCTTGCAATTTGGAACAAACGATGAGAGAAATAGGAGATATCAACTCACCCTCAAGGAATCCCCAGTCTTGGGAGGGGGGTGTGCACAGGGGCTCAGCTTCTGCCTTTCAAATCTTAGTCTGATGGGAGAGACACACCCTCCTCCCTGACCCAGGGAGCTTCCAGCCTGTTGGGTAAGGATGGACTCTCACACATCAAGGTGTCTCCTCCCAGGCTGCCTCTTCCTATTTGACTACCTGAAATTCCTACTCTTTCTTCAAATGTCACCTTCTCCAAGAAGACTTCCTTGATCCCCACCAGACAGGGAGCAGCCCATCCTTGACACTCCGAGAGCACTTTGCTCCCTCCTCCATCAGAGCACTTCTCACTCTGCACTGAAGGAGACTGTGTGTGTCTGTGTGTGTACGTCTCCAGGCCACCTACCCACAAACCCCACATTTGTGAAGGTGGAGACCAGGTCTGACTAGTGAGAGCCAGGTGCACAGCACGTGCAGAACAAGTGTGTGCCGGCGAAGTGATGAATGAAAGGATGGACCGGCTGGTAAACAGAGAGACAATCTGGAGACACTGGTCTGTTAGGGAAGACGGACACCGGGACAGGCTATGTCTCTTCGTCATAGAATAGGATGATGACAACCTCGCTAGGGCCCCAGAGAAGCTCTGGGGGGGCACGAACAATGGGGATTCCAGGGAGCAACCCTGCTTCCCAGCCTGCACAGCACCAGCCTGCCCTCTGTTACCCACTCTCAATGATCACAGCAGAAGCCAGGCACGGTGGCTTACACCCATACTCCCAATATTTTGGGAGGCTGAGGCAGGAGGATCACCTGAGCCCAGGAGTTCAAGACCAGCCTGGGCAACATAGTGAGACCCCATCTATCTTGAAAGAAAGAAGGAAAGAAAGAAAGAAAGAAAGAAAGAAAGAAAGAAAGAAAGAAAGAAAGAAAGAAAGAAAGAAAGAAAGAAAGAAAGAAAGAAAAGAAAGAAAGGAAGGAAAGAAGGAAGGAAGGAAGAGAAAGAAAAGAAAGAAAGAAAGAAAGAAAGAGAGAAAGAAAGAAAGAAAGAAAGAAAGAAAGAAACGAACGCAAGAAAGCAAAGAATCATGGGAGCACCCTCCGTCCCTGGGACTGGCTGTCTTCCCCACCTGGGCAGCATGCCCTGGAAAAACACCACAAACATAACACAAACCTGTTACTACACCAGAAAGTGGGGGCATATAGCCAGAACATCACAATGTCTGTCCCAAAACCCTCTAGATGCAAGCCAGGGTCTCTCTGCCCATACCTTGGTTGGTTTACTCAGGCCAAAGCCAATGGCAAAGTGAGTGTTCAAAACATGTTGGACAAGTAAACGTCTGAGCATCCAGGGGACAGAGAGCTGGCTGTGCTCCCTTCCTCCTACAGGGGCTTCCCCCAAGAGCCCAAAGAGCAGACTCTGGAAGTGCCGGGTTCACGTCTTGCCCGCTGCACGATCCTGGGCAAGACATTTGGCCTCTCTGAGCCTCAGGCTCCTCCTCTAGAAAATGGGTACGATCAGAGAAAAAGCTTCATAAAGCTCTTCCAAATGCAAGTTCATATTTTGTTCTCACTTCTTGTGTGTGAGAACAAAATATGAACTTACATTTGGAAGAGCTTTATGAAGAATAAAGGGCTGCACAAACAAGGGACTTGGAGTATTTGCATTGTTTTTTGTTTTGTTTGTTTGTTTGTTTTGAGACAGAGTCTCGTTCTGCCACCCAGGCTGGAGTGCAATGGCGCGATCTTGGCTCACCGCAACCTCCGCCTCCTGGGTTCAAGCAACTCTCCTGCCTCAGCCTCCCAAGTAGCTGGGACTACAGGTGTGTGCTACCATACCTCGCTAATTTTTTTGTATTTTTAGTAGAGACGGAGTTTCACCATGTTAGCCAGGATGGTCTCGATCTCCTGACCTCATGATTCACCCACCTCAGCCTCCCAAAGTGCTGGGATTACAGGCATGAGCCACCGCACCCGGCCTTGTATTGTTTTAATATTATTGTTATCACAGCAAAAGAACAGAAACTCAAGCCCTTGACCCTGGATCAGTGCTGTGGCCCTCTAAGGCATCCTCAGCATCTGCTCTGAGCTGGAATTTTTGATTCAAGGTCCAACTGAGGCATGGAACAACTGGGGTGAGGAGAGGAGAAAGGTAGGTGTGTATATGTGTATGTGTCTGTGCAGGTGTGCACTTGCACGTGTGTGTGCCTCTGCATGTGCATGTGTGTGTCTGGGTGCACATTTGCGCGTGTGTGTACATGTGTGTGTCTCTGCATGCACATGTGTGTGGGTCCACATTTACATATGTGTGCATGTGTGTGTGCCTATATGTATGCATGTGTGTCTGGGTGCACATTTGCATGTGCACGTGTGTGCCTATGCACGCACATGTGTGTGGGTACCCATCTACATGTGTGTGCACGTGTGTGTGCCTACGCATGCATGTGTGTGTCTGGGTGCACATCTGCATGTGTGTGCCCACGCTTATGCAGGTGCATGTGTGTGTCTGGGTGCACATTTGCATGTGTGTGCATGTGGGTGTGTGCCTGTGTGAGTGTATCTGTGTCTGCCCTGGGGTGGGGAGAGGTGGGGACAGAGGGAAGAAAAGGGGAATAGAGGAGAAAAGAAGAAAAGCAGAAAAGCACGGGGAAGAGGAGGACTGAGGTATTCGGTTACATGATCTAAATTCTAATCAAACATCATTTAAAGCGTGTTTTATTTCAGCCTCGGGAGAGCCGGTCCCTCCTGGCTGCTCACCATGGCAACGGGCCGCTCATTTCAGAAGTGTCATGCCACATTATCATCCTGCCGCCTCACAAGCTCTCGCCGCCTGACAACTTCGCTCTGCCCCTTGCGACAACCATCCCCGCTCCGCCGGTTTATTTTTGGTGTCAGCCGGCCCCCCCTTCCCTGCCCCCTCCCCATCATCAGTGGATTGAAAGACAACCTCAGCCCTCCAGCCGGTGAGCATCGCAGCCTGTTTGGTGATAAGAGATAATTTGAGAAGATATTTGCTTACATGTGTATGAACAATTTGCTGCATTAAGACAATTCTGCCTGGTGCGTGGGGATGGGGAGGGGGTGGCCAGTGCTTCAGCTGACAACACCCCAGGAAAGAGGAGGGACAGTCTTGTGGGAGCTCTATGCGATGATCATCTGGCTGCCTCCCCCAGCATCACCAGGAGACAACAGGCCGGCCACCAACTGACTGTGACCTTGTGCAAGTCACTCCCCTTCTCTGTGCCTCCCTTTCCTTATCTATCAGAAGATGGGGTCAGAACAGCTGGAATCTGAGATCCCTGCCAAGTGTGGCACTGGGTGAACCAATGATTCTAAGAAAGGGGGCAGCAGACGGCTGAGGACCCAGAAAGAGGATATTCCCCCAGTCCTGTCACCACTGTGAAGACAGATGAAGGGAAAGAGGTTCGCATCCCACTTCTATCCATATGACAGTCCCAGCTCAGAAAGGGTGGGAGTGAGGAACCTGAAGCTCCCCACTCTGTGAAGGCTGGAGAGATCCCTGACCTAGGATCGGAGCCTGTCCTGGGAGGGGTTTCCTAGGACACCCTTCCCTGCTCTCTGCCGGGCCTTCATCACAGAATGAGACATCTCTGAAGTCACCCACTCCACCTCGATCATGTTCACATACACACATGTGCCGCTACAGGCATCTTTCCAAGATCAAGGGCCAAGATGGAGGCAGAAAGGCAGATTCCGAAGAAGCTGGGAGGGAGGTGTGCCCTGAGGCCCCCAGGTAAGGAGATGGGATCCCTGGCTCTCAGAGCCAAGCAAGGAGACAATGGGTTGAAAGGCAAGTTGGCCCCAGCCTGAAGCTCTACACACTAAAGGCCAAGAATAATGACAAGAGTTTCCATCTGCTGAAGACTTCCAGGTGCCTGGCCCTGTGCTGAGATTAAAAGGGTTGGAGCCCCCTCCCCAAACGCTGTGCCCTCCTGACCCAGGTGGGTGGAAGCGGGCCTGGGAGAGTCTCAGCTGATGGGAGCCTGCACCTCTGTTTATTCATCTGTCAAACAGGGTTAATAAAAGTTCCTACTGGATAAGATAGCTGTCAGCGTTAAGAGAAGGCTTAGCACAGTTGGGGCATATAGTAGGTATTCCATAAATGTCAGCTATGAGAAGTGAGGAACTCAGGCTTTCTGCACCACTCAGCCTGCTAGGCACCTGGGCCCTGTGGCCTGTTTGGCTCCCACGCAGGGGCCCTGTTCTGGGGAAAGGAGACTCTACATCTGCCTGCAACCCCTACTTAGTTTCTCTGGCCCAGCCAAGGTTTCTTCAGGTCATGAAGGATGACCTCTCTCCCGCCCCTGACAGCCTCCTCTGGTCTTCAGGCCATGAAGGATGACCTCTCTCCCGCCCCAGACACCCTCCTCTGGGACCCTCAGACCCCAGGAACCTTCAGGTCACTGCCCACAAAGTGACCCTCTTCCGTCTGCCTTTGACTCCTCTCTCTGCCCATGTTTGGGGGTAACATGGGGTGAGGGGCCCACAGAGCCCCTGAAATTAGAAGACCAGCTGAGAACTTAGACCTCCACTTACCTCACCCACCATCCCCTTCTCTAAGCAGGGTCCCGCCCCCACTCCTCAGGAGAATGGTCCCAGGAAAACCACATCGATGCGGTAAAGGCCAGTCTCCTTCACCATCCAACTCCAAGCAGGCTCCCCCAGGCCTCGGCAGACCCCTTTTCTCCCCCAGGGCACAGACAGTGGAGTAGAGAGACAGTGGCTGCAGGAAGAAGAATCTCTTTAGGGTCAGTGGAACCAGGGTCCAATCCCAGCTACACCACCTCTCAGCAATGGGGTCTTAGGCCAGGGGGCTGACCTCAGTGTTCCTATCCATAAAATAGGGACAACGATACATACTTCATAGGGCTGCTGGCATGATTAGAGGTACGCCACCCACGTAGTAGGTTTCCAATAAAAAGCAGCCATTATGAATAACAATGACCAAAGATGCCCCAGTGGAGCCAGGGAACGATTTCCCTTCCATCTGCTGCAGGCCTCCGTGTAGACTGGCACTGGCTGGAGACTTCCATGGCCAGGACCTTGTGCCCTGAGCCCCTCCACCCTGCCTTGTTCTGCCACCCTGCTGGAGCCTGGAAAATGATGGGCTGGGGGCTATCGTGCCATGTTATGCCTCTGCGCAGGCAATGTTTGCGTGCCCTGGTATGGCTCTCTTTCTTTTTTCCTCTCTTCAGCAACACAGCGAAATGAATCGAACAATTCATCTCAGCATTCCACTCACATCTGCTTTACCTAGAACGGGAGGGGTCAAAGGGCTCAGCACCTGGCAGGAGGGGCAGGGCCTCAGGAAGGAAGCTTTGTCCCAAAGGAGAAAGGGTTCTCAAATCACATCCACATTTCTGGATTTTTTTTAATGTGAAGAGCATGTATTATTATTTTTTTGAGAACAGGGCCTCACTCTGTTGCCCAGGCTAGAATGCAGTAGCATGATCATGGCTCACTGCAGCCTCCACCTCCTGGGCTCAGGCGATCCTCCTGCCTCAGCCTCCCTAAGTGCTGGAATTACAGGCCTAAGCCACCATGCCTGGCCATTGTATTATTTTTATAACCAGGACTTCCACACACAACAGTAGTGAGGTCGGCCAGATGCCAACCTTTCCCACACCCACAAGCACCCCCCACCTCACCCCACTCCAAACCTCTTAGAGGCAATAGAGCACAGGAGGCTCAGGGGCCTGGGTCCCCAGCCTCCTCCACCCCTTCCAGCCGCGTGGCCTTCTGCAGGTCCCTCGAGCTCCCGGGCCTCGGCTCCTAATCTGCACCATGGGGATAAGGCAGGCCCCGCCTCAATGGACCCTGGTGAGGAGTAGAGGAGGTGACCTGGGGAAGCTCCCTGCGCGTGGACTAGCACCCCGGAGGTGCCGCCGCCCACCCTCTCCTGAGAGAAGGTGGCGCCCCCAAGTGCCAGAGGCTTTAAGCACTTGCTTCTCAGCTTCCCTCTGGAAGCAGCTTTGGGAGGAGGCCGGGGCGACGGGGAAGTGAGGGAAACAGCCCCCCAAATAGGAAGGGGTCGGGAAAGGCAGCTCTAGGGGTCTTGCTCACCCCGCAGCCCGGCGCAGCCCTCCTGTCCTGCACCGTGGGGGCGCCGCCCTCCCAGGCGGGCCTCGGAGCGGGTCAGAGAGGGGAAGCAAAACTCCCGCCCCCACCGGCCCGGGGCCTTGGGGGAAGGGCCAGGGCGGGCGCCTCCGGCTCACCTCCCGACGGTGAAATGTGGCCATTTACCTTCACGCTCCGGTGCCGGCACCTAAATCACTGCCTCCGCGACCGCGCTCAAGGTTGCTCCCGAGCCGGCCGCCGCCGAGCAGCCGCGGGAACTCCGGCCGAGCCCCCACCCCGAGCCAGGCCGCCTCCGCAGGCCGCCCGCTGCGTCCTCCGCCCCGCGTCCCTTCCCTCCCCTCCCTTTCCTTCTTCTTCCTTCTTTCTCTTTTTTTTGGCCCAAGGACTTAACTCAGGGAGTAAGGAGGCCACAGTCCCGGGCCCAGACTCACCGAGAGCCTCTAAGGCCCGCTTCTGTCGCAGACTGAGGTCGTTAGGACCGCCCCTGAGGGAAGAAGGCTCCGTGAGGCAACTTTGAACTTGGGTCCCTCTGCCCAGCTATGTGCCCCGAGAAAGCAGGACAAGAGTATTTCAATCCTGTGACTCCCGTATGACTGGTACGCAGAATGCATCGTGTGTGTGCGCGCGTGTGCGTGTGTGCATGCGTGTGTCCGTGTGTGTGTGCGTGTGCGCAGTGTGCGGGTGTGTGCGCGAGTGTGTGTGTGCCTGTGTGTGCGTGCGCCTATGTGTGTGCATGCATGTGTGTGCGCAAGTGTGTGTGTGTGTGTGTGTACCTGTGTGTGTGGAAAGTGCTACTTTGTAGAAGGTAAACACTCGTCTGCCCTTGTGACTTGTGACTTTGGCACCCTTTCATCAGGCCCTATGCTCATCCTTCAGCTCCTTCTGCCTTCCTGGTCTTTCTCCTTCCTCTCCCCCAGGGACCCCCACTTGTCACCTGTCCAGAGAGGAGGAAAGAGAGTCCCAAGGCCGCTGGAGGCTTCTGTGGAAAAGGGGGAGCCGGCTGGGGCTGTCAGCACCAAGAGGAGAAGGTCTCTACCTCTGCCCTGGCCAGGGTGTTTCCCTCCGCAGACTGGGAAAGGGGCAGCCCGGGGGAAGTTCAGAGACCACACATCTAGGAAGGGAGAGAGAGGCAACGAACAGGGAGGGACCCCCAGTCTGGCCCTGAGGCCCACGCAGGCCAGGGCTGATTCTCCCCTCGTGCTCTGAGCTCACTGTCTGCCCTGTGCACTTGCTCTGCCTGCCTGTCATTCATTTGCACCTTATTTCTGTTTTCCCTGTGTGGATCGGTGTCTCCCTCATCTGACTGAGGGTTCCTCCAGGACAGAAGTGACGTTTTCTTCATCAGACCAGAGACTCTCTAGAGCAAAGACATATCCCTCCGTCAGAGTGGGTGCTCCCAAAGCAGGAGCTCTGTCCCCCATTTGCTGAGCTTCCCTTGGCAGAGGATCTGACTTCCCATCAGACTAGGGCTTCCCAGGTTAGAGGTTGGAGCTCCCTCAACAGACTGGGAACTCCCCTAGTGCAAGGCTTGTGTCTCTCCCAACAGACTGGGGACTCCCACAGGTCAAGGGCTGTGTCTCTCAAGGGCTGTGTCTCTCCCCTGCAGACCAGGAGCTGCCCCAGGACCCTGCTGACGGCATCTGACTTAATGTCCAAAGCTCCAGGGTCCTGCCCCACGCTCAGCCACTGTGGTTTAGGAGCTCTCGGGTCTGGGTGTAACCACAGCTTCATCATATCATAGCTCTGTGACCTTGAACAAGTTGCATGACCTCTGGGTTGAATGCTGCCACTACTCAGGGTCTTTGAGGCTCCAGTGAGACAGCATTTGGTGAAAAGGCCTAGCCCAGGGCCTGGCATATAGTAGGTGTTCAATAAATGCCTGTCTCATTCCCTTCCCCTCATTAGACAGAGAAGTATATTCCAAACCTGCTCTTCCAGCTTGGACCAAGGAGACAGAGGGGAACCAGAGTTGGAAAGGAGTGCCCACAAAACACACACACACACACACACACACACACACACAAGCAACTGGGTAGTGGCCTCCTTCGCTAGGGGATAGGGCGGTGGCAAGGAGTTAAATGTATTAAGCAATTTACAATTAATATAGAAGTCATTCCAGAGATAGCTACTAGAAGGAGTACAACAGGGCAATTAACCCACTAATACACTAGGCTATTACATCGCTATGTCTCTTATTTTAGCCCGAGGTGATTTGAAACGCATTGGATTAGAGGATATTACAGGAGATAGCATGAAAAATAGCTTAATGTAATGAGCCATCCCGTGATGTCTGCTATTAAAGATGATTTGCAGTTGAAAACTACAACATACAGTAGTTCAGCTATTTGAGGACCGAGAGGGTGGGGGCTGGGGTGGTGCTGTTAACCCTTCCCTCCTTCCAGCTGCCCCCACCCCACCAGGCCCTCCACCACCTTCATGCCAAGATTATCAAGTGCATCTTATTAGGCGACAATAGCTTCGTTGGGAGATTGGAGATTGGGGCCTGAGGTTGATAAAGAACCAATAATCTGCTAATAACCTTTAAAAAATAGATTCCCCCAGGGAGCTGTACTAATGGGCTGAGGCTGGGGAGGGAGGCTGATTGGCAACTGGATGTGGAAATGGGTGTGGGATTAGGGTGGAGGGAGACTTCCCTTGATAAGGGGAAGTTCAATGTGACAGCCCCAATCCCAGCTCCCCTGAGTGAGCAGGCAGGCAGGTGTGTGCGTTATGGACTGCTTATTTAAGAGGTATGCCTAAGTATGTGTGTGAATAATTACAATACACAAAACTTTTTTTCTATTTAGCCAAGCTTCATATAGTGCATCACAACTTTCAAAAGGTATTTCAGGCCAGTTGCCATTACTCACACCTGTAATACCAGCACTTTGAGAGGCCAAGGCAGGAGGATCACATGAGCCCAGGAGTTTGAGACCAGCCTGAGCAATATAACAAGATCTCATCTCTGCAAATAAATAAATAAATAAATAAAACTAAAACATTAGCTGAGCATGGTGGCACATGCCTGTAGTCCCAGCTACTCAGGAGGCTGAGGTGGGAGAATTGCTTGAGCCTGGGAAGCGGAGGTTGCAATGACATTGCACCACTGAACTCCAGCCTGGGTGACAGAGTGAGACCCTGTCTCAAAAACAATAAAAATTTTAAAAAAGACTATTTCACATGCATTAGTTCTCTGAACTTTACAGGCATCCAGAGAGGTAGGTAGTATTATACCTTCATTGTACAAGAAGGCATATGAGCTCAGAGAAAGTAAGTAACTTACCTAAGTTCAATGCAGCCAGTTATACAATAAGACAGGAATCAAAGAGATGTTTTCTGATTTCAGAGCTTGTGCTCAATGATATGCAATTCCAGCCTATGACTATGTTCTACCCAAGAAATCTCTGCCTACCTCAAGATCCCAAAAGTCTTCCCCCATGTTTTCTTCCAGAAGTTGTATTGTTTTACATCTTGAGTTAATTTCTGTGTATGGTGAGAGGTGAGGTTTGGTGTTCATTATTTTTGGTTGGACTATGAATGCATTTGCACATCCATGTGTTTGGCTAGGTGTAGATGGAGTAGAGTACACACTTATGAGCTGGCTGCCACATAGAGACAGTGGCCTCTATGCAGAGGTCATCTGAGGCAGACACACGTAGAGTCACACTGAAGATGGTGGATACATCAGCACGGTGGGCTCGAGGAGTGGGTATTGTACACTGAGGTGTGAGTGCCTGGGGTGAGCGTGTGAGTGCATGCTTGTTTTGGTGAGCGACACGTTTGTCACATGTGTGTGCCGGTGTATGTCTATCACTGTACATGCATATTGGTATATGTGTGTGCAAGTGAATGTGTCCCTGCGCCTGTATCAGGCTATGTGTATGTTCACAGCTTTGGGTGTCACCCAGCATGTATGTTTGTGGTTAGCATTTGTGGGCATGTCACTGTTGCAGCTAAGTCTGTGTGTGCATGTCACTGTGTGTGTGTGTGTGTGTAGCTGTTGTCATGGATGGTACTGTGTGTCTGTGTCTGCATCTGTGTGTGTATGTCATCGTGCATGTCGCTGTGCCCGTGTGTTGCTGTGTGCCTGCGCCTCCCCTGGTGCGGCAGGGCCAGCCGGGAGCAGCCCCCGCGCCCCCCTCACCGCTGTCTTTTATCATCATTTGCAGCGATAGGGAGCCCAGGAGGATGGTGATAAATAAGGGCCACTTAAAATACGAGACGACCACTCTGACTTTGGGGAATATTTCTTCTGTGGAGCAGCTGGTGCCGCCTCTGTCCTTGTAGAAAGGGGTCCCAGGGGCCGCCAGCCCCTGCCCAGCTTCCTTGGGCTCCCTCTCCTCCTCCCACTCCCCCCTCCCCTGCCGCTCTCCTACCAGCTCTGGCTTGGAGGCCTTAGGAGGCCTGGGGAGGGAAGCAGAGGGGGCCCCACCTCAAGGCCAATGGGGCAGGGCAGGGCCCTCTTCAGGGTCTCCATGGAAGATTGAGTATCATGGTGAAAGAGCTATGGACCAGGAAGAGGCTGAGAGGAGACTGGAGGAGATAAGCCCTCAGCCCTGTGGGATTCCCTTCTAATTCCCTCTCCCTTCTAAGCTCTGGGGAAGGAATGGCTGGGGAGTGCCAGAGAGCCAAGACGCACAGAGAGACACACATAGACACACAACCCAGTCACACCATCTTGAGCACCTATGATGTGTCAATCCCTGAAAGAATGCCACGAGAACACCCATCCCATGTAGCAATAATAATGTACACACATACTAAGGCTGCTACACAAAGACATACAAAGGCATGCAAAGAGACTGGTGTGTAAGACTTGTCACAGTGAGTGCTGGGAACAGGAGGAGAAAGAAGGAAAAGGAATTGAAAAGGGAAGGGAGAAAAGGGGGAAATATACACATGTAGATGTGAGGGATACACAACAGCATCAGTATAGAATGGCCCCTCAGTGGGAGGAAGAAGAGGGAAAAGGGGTGGAGGACTGCCCTATATGGGTGTGCAGGTTGCTCACTGCACAAGGAGGAAAGCAAGGGCTAAATCCACCCTTTGCTCCACCAACTAACTCGTGCCCTGGTATGAGGCTTCCCCATCAGAAGGAAAGATGCCTTTAATTGTTCATAGAAAGCACCATCAACCAGCCACACCCTGTACCCACAGGGCAAGGTCCTTCCAGTAGGTGCCTAATTCTCACACAGGTGCCTTAAGAGCTAGCTAGGCCCTGGGGGCCGGTTGGGGGAGGCTCTTGAAGTCTGTCTGTAAGACATTATTTCCTTAAAAATAAAAAAAGAGGGCAGGGCATGGTGACTCATGCCTGCAATCTCAGCACTTTGGAAGGTGGAGGCAGGCGGATCACGAGGTCAGGAGTTAGAGACCAGTCTGGCCAACATGGTGAAACCCCATCTCTACTAAAAATACAAAAATTAGCTGGGCTAACCCCTGTAATCCTAGCTACCCAGGAGGCTGAGGCAGGAGAATTGCTTGAACCCAGAAGGTGGAGGATGCAGTGAGCTGAAATGGCACCACTACACTCCAGCCTGGGCGACAGAGCAAGACTCTGTCTCAGAAAATAAAATAAAATAAAATAAATAAAATAAAATAAAATAAAATAAAATAAAATAAAAAAATAAAATAAAATAAAATAAAATAAAATAAAATCATAAATAAGGCCCAGTGCAGTGGCTCATACCTGTAATCTCAGTACTTTGGGAGGTCAAAGTGGGAGGATCGCAGAAATTCAAGAGCAGCCTGGGTAATGTAGCAAAACACTGTCTCTACAAAAAATTTAAAAATTAGCCAGGCATGGTGGTATGCACCTGTAGTCCCAGCTACTCGGGAGGCTGAGGTGGGAGAATCACTTGAGCCCGGGAGATCAAGGCTGCAATAAGCCGACATCGTGCCACCACACTCCAGCCTGGGCAACAGAGCAAGACCCTGTCTCAAAAAAAAAAGGGAAAAGAAACAGAGGAAAGGAAGTAGAAACTAAAACAGAAGAGAAGGAAGAAGAGAAAAAAGAGGGAGAGAAAAAAGAGAAAGGGAAAGGAGAGAAAGATTTGAAAGAGGAGGGAGAGGGAAATTAAACCATAGAAAGAACTTGTCACTGTCACTCTGCTAGTTGAGATGCCAGGACTAATCTGGGTCCCAGGGCAGGGGGTGGTGGGACAGGCGAATCAGGAATAACAGGTCTCTCTCCTTTCCTCCCTACTTTCCTCCTTCTCTCTCTCTCTCTCTCTCTCTCTCACACACACACACACACACACACACACACACACGCACCTCCTATGCCCATCCTGTCTCCATTCTCAGCCTATCCCAGGTGGCCAGGGACCTGTCACGTCTCATTTCCTTCTCCTAGAACCAGTGATGAGGAGCTGGGGGAGAGGTAGGTAGGGGGACCACCTGAGCTGACCTTTTCTCCTTCAATTTCCCTCCCAGGCTCCTTAGCCATCAGCCATGGGTGTGCTGACACCCTCATTTCCTGTGACCTCCCCAACACACACAATGTCATGTCCCCACTCATCCGGGCTTAGGGTCCTAGGACCAACCCATACCTTCTCCCATTGAGCTGCAAATCCCTGGGCACCTTCCCTGGCCCCATTCCTCCCAAACATTCTCCAAGCCCCTGGGACGTTTTTCTGCCCCGCCCACCCTGTGGGAGAAGAAGGAGAGAAGAACTAACATTTTCTGAACACCAATTGTGCGCTAGGGACCCTGAGCCCTGGCTGTATCATTTGATGCTCACAAAAACCCTTTGAGGTGAGTTTTAACTCAGAATCTCCAATTGACAGAGGAGGAAAGTTCAGGCCATAGATGGGAAAGCCTCATGGCTCATAACTAAGGCTGCAGGAAAATAAACCCGGGCTCTTGACTACAGATCCTGCTCTTTCCACTACAGCATCAGACGCTTTTCTTGAAATCTCGCTCTATCCAATCTTCTCAATTTGGTTATCGAGGGCATACAGTGTGCCAGGCACTCTGCTAAGCACCATGCCACATTATCTCATTCAACCTCACACCCACCTATGGGGAAGATTCTATCATTACCCCCATTCCACAGATGGGACAGTTGTGGCTCAGGGAGGTTGAGCGACTTGCCCAAGGTTACACAGCCTTGGGAAAGCAGAGCCAAGACTCAAATAGGGTCTCCTGCCTCTTAACACACTGCCCAATGTGATGAGATAACACGGATTCCGCCGCTATCGCCTGCAGCCCGGAGCCGGCAACAAGACCGACAGTCCAGGCCTAAAGGAGTTGAAGGTGGGGTGCTTGGGCGCAGCAGACAAAGAGGGTCGAGAGCTGCACATTCTCAGTCTTCCCAGGAGCACTGGCCCCATTGTCCCCACAAGTGCCCCCAGATTGTCAGAGCCAGGGCCTCATCTGGCCCTCAGAATATATGGCTGCAGAATAATATGACAGTTGGGGGAGGAAGGGTGGAGGCTGGAGTGGAGGGGCAAATGAAGAAGGCTCTGCACAGCCCCCAGAAGGAAACTTAATAGTCTAGGGGCTCCCTTGGGTCCTTCTCATTAAAAAAAAAAAATCTCTATTTAAATGCAAATTTGTGCTGGAGCTGCGATGGGTTGGCAGGAGGAGGCAGAGAAGCATCTAGACACTGATGACGTAGACCAGCCATTGGACCCCGCTCCCTGGCTTGCCTTGTAATCTGGGATTCTGCTCCTGGAAGTTAGCTTTATCCTCAAAGATCGCCCCCTCCCCACTCTCTGCAAAGCCCCCTCCAGCTTAACCCCTCGCTACCTGTCTCTGCCTGTGTGCATCTGTCTGTCTCTCACACACACACTCACTCTCTCTCCAGACTCTGTGTAGAAATGTGTTGTGGGGTGAGCTGGCAGCTGTAAGCCGCGGTAGCAGTTTCCCTCCTGTGTCTAGGAAGTGGGGGTGTCTGACATGACACCCTCCTCCACATGCCCTCCTCCAAGGAAAGAACTGAAGTTAGAAGAGGGAGAAGAACCTGAAGTCGGGTACCTGGTTTTGACCTACCTCTCCCCAAACTAGAAAACCCGTGAGACACACACACACACACACACACACACACACACGCACACAACCAAGTTTCAAACCAGACAATAGAAGACAAACTGGCCTTCAGGTTGGATTCTTGAGAGAAATCAGACTCCAAGCCAGGAAAAACTGCCACACATAATCCCCTCCTTCCCCTCCCCCAGCCCCCAGGTCAGACTTCCAATGTCACTGTGGGAAAAGCAGACTGGGATGCGGGGTTGACAGCTGAGACCCACACCTGCCCAGCGCCCACATTCTGTCCCAGCCCACCTCCCACAGTGGGGGAGATCCCTCTGTTCCTCTTCCTCAACAAATCCCTCGGCCTGAGCTCCCCTCTGCCCCTCAGTGCCCCCCACCACCTCTCCAAGCCCATTACCTCCAGGGATAATTATGTGGGTGATTCGCTGGCCCTGGAGAGCTCTTCAGTGGCATTAACTCGGGATGAGGGAGAGAAAGGAGGGTTGCCCCTGGTTACCACCCTTCTCCCCCTTCTTCCCAACCCCCACCATTGAGGGTGTTCATTTAGGGGGAGTGAAGAATGAGATGTTGTGAAAATCCATCTAGGACACAAATACAAACACCTGTCTCAAAACTTTCTACTTCCATTTCTGGCTTTGTCAGGGGAAACTGAGTCAGGAGCCTTGTCCTCGGGGACAGATGGTCTTGGGGTTAAGAATGCCAGCATTCTGGCTGGGTGCAGTGGCTCACGCCTGTAATCCCAGCAGTTTGGGAGGCCAGGGTGGGTGGATCTCTTGAGATCAGGAGTCCGAAACCAGCCTGGGCAACATGGTGAAACCCTGTCTCTACTAAAAATACAAAAATTAGCTGGGCCTGGTGGTGGGCACCTGTAATCCCAGCTACTCGGGAGGCTGAGGCAGGAGACTTGCTTGAACCCCGGAGGCGGAGGTTGCAGTGAGCTGAGATCTTCCTACTGCACTCCAGCCTGTGCAACAGAGTGAGATTCCATCTAAAAAAAAAAAGAATGCCAGCATTCCTACTGGCCCTGCCACCTCGGCAGCCACTCATCTCCTCCTTCCTGCTCCTCTCCTTCAGCCAGCCCCTTGGGCCTTTACTGATCTCATACCTTTATGGTTCCAGTTTGGCTGGGATGAGCCATCTTTGCCATTGCCTATGGAGATCTGCAGGGAGAGGGTGTCTGGGATTTGCAGGGGTTACCCAGAAGACTCCTTAAAGCTTTCCATGCAAACCCAAATTCCAGGCTTGCTGAGAAGAGGGCAGAGCCATGACCGGCTCACCGCTGCCTGCTTCCCATATTTGTGGCCTGAACTGCGATGGCCTCTGGACACTGCAGGACCTTAGCATTGTGAAGAAAGGCCTCTGGACCGAAAGTGGTTAGAGGAAGCGTGGGGACCTTGAGTGCCAGGAGACAAAGCAGGGGCTAGAGGTCAGGAAGAAGGAGAGATCCCCTTCGTGCCTCCTTCTAAGAAACCCTGAGTGAGAAGACCATAACCGCGAGAAGGGAAGGTAGAACTCAGAGAGACTTGAGGCCATCAGAGCTTCTACCACGAGAGAGACCCACAGCCTAGAGAGGGTGTGGAGTTGCCTCAGCTCACACAGATTAACACTGGGAGAAAGCTGGAACCTGGGCTCTTGACTCTGAAGCCATAGGCTGACTTCAATTGGAGGGAAAGAGTGGTATTTATACAAATATAAAATCAGTTTGTGGCTGGGCTCGGTAGCTCACGCCTGTAATCCCAGCACCTTGGGAGGCTGAGGGAAGATTTCTTGAGCCCAGGAGTTCAAGACCAGCCTGGGCAACATGGTGAACCCCCATCTCTACAAAAAATACAAAAATTAGCTAGTGCGGTGGCGTGCCCCTGCTACTCAGGGGGCTGAGGTGGGAGGATGGCTTGAGCCTGGGAGGTGGAGGTTGTGGTGAGCTGAGATCACGCCACTACACTCCAGCCTGGGCAACAGAGCAAGACTCTGTCTCAAAAAAAAAAAAAAATCAGCTTGCGACACCCCATGTGCAGCAGTGTGCCTACAGTGTGCACAAGTCTGCATGCATTTGTGCACACAAGTGAGGTAGTGTCTGCATGTGGTAGTTTGTCCACCTACAGGTTTGTGATGTCTGTGTGTGCAAGCACATCTGTGCACATGGGGGTGGGTCACACACATAGGCACGTGTGTGCCAAAGGGCAGGCACATGCTACTGCCTGTGGGGCTGGTTAAGGAGCAGAGGCCTCCCTGGCCACACCTGCAGGGGTGTCTGTGTTCAGAGCTGCCCTCACGAGGCAGCTGAGCCACGTGGGCCTGGGACTGACCCCACACCCTCAAACAAGCCCAGCCTCTGATGCTGAGCAGCTTCCTTCTGGAGGATCCTCCTGGAGGTGGCACTGCTGAGGCAGGAGGCAGGACCGCAGCCCCCTCCCCACCCCTTCCTTACAAGCTCCTGATGTGATGATAGAAACAATTAACTGGAAGAGACAGCTAATACCCAAGGGAAAACATTTCTACATATGATATTACAACCTTGCTTCAAAAATGGGACTTTACCATGAGGAAATACAGTTTATTATTAGACACATTTTCTTTAATTTAATTATATAAGCTTTGACTTAAAAAATAAAAAAGTATATGGAAAGGGGGAAGGGCTGAGATGTTTAAATCAATCCACTGCATTTCCCGTGCACTCACTGATCACCCGGGACAAATGGCTATACATGGGAGGGTCACTCGGGAAGTCCTGGGAACAGGTCAGTCCCAAACCTATCTTCCAGCCCCCCATAAAACGTGGTCACAGGAAAGGCGACTTCAGGAACCACCAGACAAGAGAACCTGGAGGGGTGACCACAGGCCAAGTTCACTGCCACCTTCAGGGGCAGCGGGGACCCAGGCCTGCATCAGGCAATCCATCTCATCCACCAAATCAGCCATGGCACCCTCACAGTGCTACACTCTGCCTGACATGCACACGTACACACACTCTTACACACACAACCTCACACACACATTCACAGAAACTTACACCAGGGAGTAGCCACATAAGCCAGACAGATACCCAAAAGCCAGACCCCAACCCTGTAAATGGCCCCAGGAGAAGAAGGAAAATAAGGCTCGCTCAGTTGACCACCCATAGTCTGCTTGGCTTTGGGCAAATTGCTGACCTCCCCAGGGCTTCAGTTTCCCCATCTTTCAGGGAGGTGAGTGAGATGGTTTCTAAGACCCTTTCCAGCTTTAAACTCTTCTGCCTTAAATCACCATCCTCACTACCTGCCTCCTTTCTCCTATTCTTCCTGAGGGGGTGAAAAAAGCAGGTTCTGGGGTCGGGGGAGCATGGACTTCAATCCCCACCTGCCCCTCCCTAAAGATGTGACCCAGGGCAAGTGGCCAAGTCTCTCCATGCCGCCATTTCCCCATCTGTAAAATGGGGAGAACAACCGTGCTATCCACCACACCCCCTGCCCATGGTAAGTGTGAAATTCATGGTTTCCATCATAGTTATAAGTCCCTAGGAGAGACTGTGAAAGGCCCATGCCTGCTTCTCAGGAATGAATCCCTGTGGGTAGAGACGTCCTCACATGCTGGCAGGAAGCAGACACATTAACAGATCCCCATGTCCTCCTCAACCCACTGCTCAGCTGTGCCCTCTTCCACCCTCTTCCCCAGGACCACTGACCCTATGGCCAACTGCAGTCCCCTCCACCATGTCCATCCCCCTCCCCAGGTCTATGGGCCAAGACTACCAGACATTAGGGGACACAGGGGTGGCCACGGAAACCCAGGTATCCGTGTCTGTGGCCCAGTGTGCCTGGTGCTGCCCAGATGGAGCGGCCCCAGGTGGCAGGGTAGCTACAGCAGCAGCAAATCTCCGCACTCAGGTACTAATGCAGTAAGTCCTATCAAGACACAGTGAAATGGGGCATAATTTTTGCGGAAAACAATGTGGGTGATGTATGCCCACGACTGGCACACAATAAAACTGTAGTAGAACGCAGAAAAAATGCACCCAGTCAATACAATAAAATCAGCACAAATACACTCGTGTAAGGCAAATAAATCTCCCAATCCAAATATTTTACAGCATGCGTACAAGGAGGAAGTGGAGAAGTATGTGTCTGCACCATTCAAGTTTTCCTCAGAAATCTCTAGGGGAAATAAACAAAACGACCAATGAGCCCCTCCTGACCCTCCAAATAAATAAATAAATAAATACCAAGGATCGGGGGCTGGTTTGCATTTCTGGCCTCAGATTTCTTTTGTCGAGGTGATTGGGGGCTGGAGGCCCCCAAATTACCATTCACCTAGCCTTGTTGTGGAAATTTTCAAGGGATTTGCAGTAATTATATGACAAAATGCTTGCAAATCTCACTCATTGCTGAACAGAAACAGGCGGGTCAGGGATTGAACACTTTCAGCTGGGTAATTTGTAAATGTCAATCAGGCAACGGGGCAGAGAGAGAGAGGGAGAGAGAGAAGAGGGGGGAGTGGAAGCCAGGAAAATACTGTAGCAACCTCAGTGCAAGAGGCCCCTTTATCCTCCCTTAACCCAGGAATGGAAAGGCCCAGGCCAGAGGCCAGGGAGGAGGGAGGAGAGAGTGGGAGGAGGGAGGGAGGAGGAGGACTAAGAGGAAAGATGGGGAGGAAGGGGGAGAAGGAGGAGGAAAGGGACGGAGCCCAAAGCAGACACAGAAAGGAGGGTAGGACCAGAGGGGAGGGGGCAAAGGTGGGGGGAAATGGAGGAGGAGGGGCTCTGGATGGAGAAGTGAAGAGAGTGAATCAGGAAAAACAGTTTAAATAAAACGAGAGGAGATTAAATTAACTGATACATACGTTCCAAGAGGTAGGTCGCAGCAACAGCAATAAATACCAGCTCCCTATCTCCCCTGCTCAAGACAGCGGAGAGAGCGAAATAAAATTAAAAGATATAACAATAAAAATTACAAATGCATCTTGAGGGTCCTGCACTCAAGGCCCATAATGGAGGCTCCGAGCAGAGTAAGCATGGGGCACAGCTCCCATTCAGGCTGGGGAGCCAGGCAAGGTAGGAGCCAGCAGGGACTGTTACATTTTCTGATGGGCTGGGCCAGTTGACTTGCAGAGAGCCCACTGCATGTACGTAAAGAATTTGATGGCTGATGCTTACCATTGTGACAACTGATTTGGCATTCGCTAATTAACAAGCTTTTTCCTGGTCATCATCACCCCTTGACAGAGATGGTTTTACTTCACCTATTTTATAGGTGAGGAAACTAAGACTTAAAAGAGGTCATGGTTTGGCGCAAGATGTCTCTCTAGTTCACAAGTAGAGCAAGGGTTCGAACCTAGGCCCCCTGACTCCACACCCTTTCCACCACTGCCTTCCTGCAGTCTCATCTGAGAGACTGAGTATACTTTCTGATCACATATACAACATACCATCACCACACCATGTGAGTAGTTAACCTGGCAGTTGTGAACACACGAAGACAGCATCCTCTAAGCAGGAGTGTCCAACTCTCCAGATTCCAAAGATCCTTTTTAGCATCCAAAAGTTACTCACTACCCCACCAGCCACATGCAGTCACCTGCACACTAGTGGTTGTACTTCTAACATCTGTTGATTGAGGAAATGCCTGATGACCCAAAGCTACAATAAATCCAGGAACACTTTTAAAGAATTTTAATTTACTCTTCACAATAGTCTTGGAAAAAATAAAAATAAAAACACAGACATCAACACGACAGGGCTTCTGTTGGTCTCCAAGTATAGTTAGGCAGACCTAGTGGTCGAAAGACCTCCATGCAAGAATTCCAGGGCCCCCTCCCGCATGAGGGTCTGCAGTGCAAGGGTCCAGGAACCTCTGATTGAGACTGATCCTTTAAGTAACAGGATCAGGGGGTTATGGATTTGTCAAGGTTGGCCCAGGAAGACTCCCTTAGAGAGGCAAACCCTGAGAAGGGCTGGCAAGGGGAGCAACAAGGCCTGTGTGGGACAAGGGCTAGGGGGGAGGGGGCAGGCTGGCCACAGCACTCCGGCCTCAAAGCCACCAAAGGCTCCAATTTATCCTTTTATCATAATCTCCAAATGGGGTCTGTTGACAGCCACAGGGATACCCCAACAGGGTTGAAAGAAGGTGTTTCTCCCATAGGTTTAAGCTGGAGTCTCTCAGCCCATGCTAGAGTGCATCATTCACTCATCAGAGCAGCAGCCAAGATGATGGGGCACCTCCTGCGTGCCAAGCACTGCTCTAGATGCGGGAGCTACAGCAGGGACCAAGACAGGGGATGAGTACACCTGCTGCCCTGGAACTTACCTTACATTCACCATCTTTTAAGCCTTGAAATGATCCTGTGAGTGGTACAACTATATGCATCGTCTATTGTTGAGTTAAAAGTGTTAACTTGTGGAATGCAAATCAGATGACACTTTTGCAACCCTGCCTGGTATCTCTTCATTTTTAAATGTATTAGAGTCTCAGAAATAAAAGAGGTCTACAAGCCCCTGGAAGGCTCTGAGCAGGGCAGGGGTTGGCACTTGATTAAAGTTGCCATCTATCAGTAATCACTACCATCCTGGATGCCAGAAAGCCTGAGGGCAGCAGAGACACTCGTGCCAGTGCCCCCACCATCCTCTCCACCCACAGCTGACCCACATCCCCTTCTGCCTTCTCCCACTCTGTCAACCAAGATCACAGCTCTGGAATTAAGAGCCCCTGCTCTGTTAATTTATCCTCTGGACTATTTGCTCTTCCCACCCACCTCCTTCCAACAAAAAAAGAATTCTGAGAGAGAGAAGTCATCAGGAAAATGTGCAAATAATCCGCTTAGCTGTGACTGTGGTCGCAGAGTACCACAGATGAGGTCACCACAGAGTACAGTAGCCTTGAGTCTCTCCACCCCAGCACTGCCACTTATTCTGCAAATGGTTTCATCTGTTTGTGCCTCTGCTGCCTCATCTGTAGAATGGTAAACACTAGTAGCTACTCTGGCAGGGCTGTTGTGAAGATTAAAGAACATAATTGTGTGTGTTCTATCAATATTAACTATTATGATGATGATACTCTTCCCTCTGAGACCATAACAGGACATTAAATTTGGAGGCAGGAAGGAAGCTGAGGGCAAAGCTAGAGTCTGCGGCCATTGCCTGGAGACAGCAGAGAGCAGTGGAGTGAAGCGGTCTGCCTGCCCCTGATTCTGGAGTGGCACCTCTCTGAGCCTAGGTCTTCCCATCTGTGGAGTGAGGAGGCTGGACTGGGACATCTGGAAGCGTTTCTGATTCTAGGAGTTAGTGTTGGAAAGAACCAGAGAGGAAGGGCAGCGAGGGAACTGGGGACAAGCCTAGATCAGACACAGTCTGTCACCAAAAGTGGGCCGCTGCCTGAGAAACAGCCAGGAATCTCTGAGGCAGGTTTCCCTGCAAATCCCACATCCCAGATGAGAAACCTAAGCCAAGATCACCCGAGAGACACCGTGCCTCCGCCTCCACCACCGCCGCCACCACTACCACAGCCACCAGCAGTCATTAAAACGCCCAGTAACTGAGGAGGGGCAGAGGGTGGAGAGAGTGGCACCCCGCCTGCTCCCCCTGCCATCCTGGAGTCGGGTATCTGCTCCCGTCATGAGCTCCACCCTCAGCTGAATTTAATGAATCTGAGAAAAATTATGAAGTCCCATAAAGCCACAAGTATCATAAAAAGTATAATAAAATTGAGAAAAGCTATTAAGTTATAAATACAACCAATGCATGCAACATCACTCAGTCGGGGAGGAAGTCGCTATAAAATAAAGTCATTCCACAAGTGACTAAATCTCTTAATTCACAAGGTACACGCTCCCCTTTCCGCTGTCACCCCAGGAGTTTGTGTCACGCGAAGTTTCCGCGGCGGAGAGCGCTGCGCGGGGAGACAAAGGGAAGGGACAGGGATCGCAGGGACAGGGACAGGAGCGGCTGCCGGGCTCTGGGTCCCCGATCGCCACCAGACATGTCTCCGAGCAGCCGAGGCAAAGGGAACGGATGGGAAAGGAAAACAGAGGAGCGGCCCAGAAGGGCGGCTCGCTGCGGTGGTGGGGCGCGGACTCGGGAACTCGGGGCGGGCAGGGCACGGGCGCACCCCCTCCTCTCCCCTCCCTCGCTCGAGGCCGGCAGCGCCCCCCGCCCCGCGCCATGCACACCCATTGTGGTGATGAGAGCTCGCGCCCCGTGCCCGTCACGGTCACTGTGCGTCCAATAAAAACAAACACTGCCGAGGAGCCGCCGCGATGCGGGGCGGACGCGCGGCCCGGAAAGGGGAGGGGGCCCTAGGAAGAGCTACACCCGCGAGCCGGGCCTGGGCCAGGGGCGAGGGGAGAGCGCCAAGACTGCCCCGCCGCCGAGGGCGCCGATGGAGGCACAGGGGTTCCCGTGGGGCGCCCCGAGAGACACCGTGCCTGGCCGGCGGGACGTGGGCTGGCTTCTCACCCGACGGAGAGAAGCGGCACTCTCATCTTCGGGCACCGGGTCTGGGCTCCGAGCGGGGGCTCCTGGAACACAAGGCAGTGGGGGCAGACGGGCCTGGGCCCACCCCAGGCTGGGAAGGGGTCTGAGCGGGGCGTCCTGACTGGACCCGGCCCTGGCGGACCGAAGGCTCCAAAAGATCTTGCATTCTCAAAGACTTCTGCAGATCGTCACCGCCTAAGGCGCCCCAGGCCCGGCTCCACTCATGGGAAGGGTAGGAAAGAAAGCTGGGAGCGCTCTGGGGCGCGGGGCAGAGACAGCGGTGTTGGAGGCGCGCTGTGGAGGCGGCGGGTTCCAGAGGGGAAGGCAGGCCGAGCCAAGGAGAAGAGCCAGGTGACAGGGCAGGATGTCGAAGTGGGAGGTAAAGTCCACCCAGCGACCTACTGGGAGCCCAAAATAACTTTAGTGGAAAATGGGGCAGACAGAGGTTAGGGAAGATACGCTTCCCTAACCTCTGCCTGCCTGGAATGAGAGCACCAGCCAGGGAAGCCCCCCCGCCCTCCGCCCCCCGCGCATCCCTGAGGGTCAGCATTCTCACAGCCTTCACCAGTCTGGAAAACTGAGTACCCAGAGCTTAAGGAACTGTCTCAAACTGGGTTTATCTGGGGAGCTGTTAATGGGATGGATTCCTACGGAGTCCAGAGCCCAGGGGAAGGAGCCTTTGCACAAGTGATTTGACTGACTGAGGTGGCGAGGCCAGGGTGGCTCTTCAGGAAGATGGGAATGACGCCGGGAAGCACCAGACCTGAGGTCAGAAGTTCAAGACCAGCCTGGTCAACCCTGGTGAAACCCTGTCTCTACTAAAAATGCAAAATTAGCCGGGCATGGTGTCGGGCCCCTGTAATCCCAGCTACTCAGGAGCCTGAGGTAGAACTGCTTGAACCCAGGAGATGGAGGTTGCAGTGAGCCAAGATCGTGCCACTGCAGTCCAGCCTGGGCGACAAAGCAAGACTGTCTCAAAAAAAAAAAAAGAAAAGAAAAGAAAGAAAAATACAGATTTCTTATGTTCCTGCTAAGACTTGCACAGAATTTTCAGAGCAGCATTATTCATGATAGCCAAAAAGTGGGAGCAACCCCAAAGTCCACAACTTTGGGGTGAATAGATAAGCAAAATGTGGCACATCCATACAGTGGAATACTATTCAGCAGCAAAAAGGACTGAACTGATGATGTATTGTTACAACATGGATGAACCTTGAAATTTTGCTAAGTGAAAGGAGCCAGTCACCAAAGACTGCATGTTATATGATTTCTCATTTATATGAAATGCCCAGAATCTGTAGAAAAAGAAAGTAGATTTGTGATTGCCTACGACTGAGGGGGCTAGGGGAGTTTGGAAAGAACAGCTAAGAGGTACAGGGTTTCTTTTGACAGTGTTCTAAAATTGGTTGTGATGATGGCCACACAACTCTGTGAATATAAAAGCCGTTGAATTGTGCATGTTACATGGGTGAATCGTATGGTATATGAATTACATCTCAATAAAGCTGTTAACAAAACTTTATTCTAAGTGAAAGAAGCCAGACCCAAAAGATCATCCAGAAAAGGCAAATCTATAGAGACAGAAAGTAGATTGGTGGTTGCCTAGGGCTAGGGGACGGGGAGGGGACTGACTGTAAACTGACCCCTGGGATCTTATTGGGATGACAGAAATGTTCTAGAACCGGGTTGTGGCAACAGTTGCACAATTCAATACCTTTACTAAAAACCATTGACTAGTATGCTTAAAATGGGTGAATTTTATGATATGTAAATTATACCTCTATAAAGTTGTTTTTAAAAAACACAATGGGTGGATTCCACCCCCAGAGTTTCTGATTCAGTAGGTCTGGGGTGGCTAGAGAATTTGCATGTTTAACATGTCCCTGATGCTGCTGGCCAGGGAACCACACTTGGAGAACCACTGGCCTATGGAGGTGAAAGGCCAAAGCCAAGAAGAGGGAAGTGGCCTGTTTAAAAAAAATAAACCACTTTGGGCACCAGCTCTCCACACCCACCCAGCACCCAATCCTCCAGCTAACCCGGGCAGGTAATAGGGTGAGGGGCTGCACTGGGCAGCAGGGAGCCGGCTGCTCTCCGTGCCTGGCAGACATTCCTCTGCATCAGACAGCAGCAGAGTTAATTTAAAGGCAGACTTTCCAACATCAACCGAAATTGGCAGCATAAATAGGAACTGCTGTTTATTTGCCACTTACCTCTGTCTTGTTCCGCTTAAATACTGAGGGGAAACCAGAGCCATTAGGGTCAGAAGAAAATTACAAACACATAGGGTCTCTGTGGGCGGGTGAAAATGATATTAGAGATGGGGGCGGCGGTGGGAGAAGCAAAAAAAAATAGAGGAAGAAAGAAGGGAGGATGGGGGAAAGAAAAAATGCCTTGTACCAAGAGTGCATGAAATAAAATAAAATTAAGTAAAGATCTGTTTGGCGGGTGGGGAATCTTCATCCCAAGAAATATGGGTGGAGTTTGGGAGGAGGGATTTCTGGAGTTATTTTTAAAGCTAGATCAGGGAGAGTGTGAATTCTGATTTCTGTTTTCTGGCCTGATTAGCATGGTTGGGACTGATTCTCTTTCTCTCGGCCATCAGGAAACGAGTCCAGGGAAGGGACAAAAACCAAAGCTAGCATCACTTCCACCATGAGGTATCTCCCCCACCTCTGTGGTCTTAAAGCATCCCTCTTCCTGGGGCTTCACATCCAGGGCAGCCACCTCTTCTCTACCTACCCCCGCCCCCTGGAAGAATTAATTGGAGGCAAGAGGAGCACCACATTTATTACCTCCCCTCCTGCTCCACACTAAATCTTGTGGCAATGCTTCTAAAAGTCAATAAAATGAGAAGGAAGATGCGATAAAATTAAGGTGGAAAGTGCGATGGGGAGAGGAAATGGGAATCTTCTTTTTAATTTAGCTTTAATTTTAATTTTTTGTCACCTCTCCAAGCAGCCTTCGTGCTGCTGCAATGGAGAGGGAGCTGGGGGGAGGGGCTGGTTCTTTTTAAGGACTGGGTGAAGCCACACACTGGCCTGGGTCTTGGTGGCAGGGGTCACGTCTTGGGGGAGCCACAGCTGGGAGCCGGCATGGAGTGGAGGGGCTGCCTGTCAAAATTCTACTGCACTCCCTTCTTTGGAGCTCCCAGAGAAAGCAGCTGATTATGCACTCCCTGAAAGCAGGGACTGTGTCTCGGCCTTCACTTTACCCACAGTGCCTGGCACACAACAGCAGGAGTAGCAGTAATGATGATGATGGTGGTGATGATGAGAGCAAATAGATACCAAGCACTTACTATGTTTCCAGCATTGTTCAAAGCACCCTACACTTACTATTTCTTTCTTTCTTTCTTTCTTTTTTTTTTTTTGAGACAGAGTCTTGCTCTGTCGCCCAGGCTAGAGTGCAGCAGCACGAACTCGGCTCACTGTAACCTCTGCCTCCCAGGTTCAAGCGATTCTCCTGCCTCAGCCTCCCGATTAGCTGGGATTATAGGTGCTCACCACCACAGCCCACCAATTTTTGTATTTTTAGTAGAGACGGGGTTTCACCATCTTAGCCAGGCTGGTCGCAAACTCCTGACCTGGTGATCCACCCGCCTCGGTCTCCCAAAGTGCTGGGATTATAGGCGTGAGCCACCATGTCCAGCCTACTATTTCATTTTACTTGTTACATTAACAATATTCATTAACTTGTTGCATTACAATAGACCCATTTTACAGACGAGGACATTGAAGACAGGAAACTGAAGCACTTTGCCCATGGTCACAGAGCCAGTAGGTCAAATAGGCAGTGGATACTTCTCATGTATCGAGAAATAGACAGTGGATACTTCTCATGTATCGAGAAATAGACAGTGGATACTTCTCATGTATCGAGTGGATTAATAAACGAATGGATAAAAATTGCATAAGAGGGGTGGGGTGGAAGAAAAAAATGGCATAAGAATGCCGACAAAGTGACAGCTATGTAGGTACCAGTGATTCTACGGTGCCCCATCTGCCATCAGTCCATGAATGCAGAGGGGTGCTTAGCAATGCTGAGATAGGGGAAGGTGGGCTTAGTAGGAGGCAGTCAGAGTCTTCCTGGTATTGGTGGGCAAGCCCTTGAAGTTAGACCATCCTTTCCTGTCATGTGATTTCTTTCCCATTTTTAGGAAAGATGAAATCACACACACTCCCCCATCTCCACCCCCAAAACCAGAAGATGTTCTCTCCAGAGTGGCTCAACCATGACATAGAGGGTCTGTGGCTCCAGCTGTGACCCCTTCCCCAAGAACAGGGCCCTGAGGCAGCAGCAGCACTGACCCTCCTTCACCCCAGCACTAGCCAGGTGTCCTGAACGTCTGTAGCCAGACCCAGCTTGGCCTATCAGAGAAGTGCAGATCTGGGAGCTCTCAGGATACTTAGAGATTGCCGAGTGCAGCCCTGCAGTTTACATGCAAGTCTCGGGCAAGAGGACAGGGCTTCCCTTGGGTCTCACAGGTGGCCAGTGGGAAGGCTAGGTCTCTTGGCCTCTCTTCTGTAACCCTGAGGTCTGTCCCATTTCTTTCTACCTGATGGGAGCTCCATCTTCAGTATTTTTTGACTTCATACGTGGGCTCGTATCTCAGTCCTTGATGACAGTCCACCAGGAGGTGAGCAAGAGATAGTTGCTGCTTCCTCTGCATACAGATGGGGAAACTGAGGCTCAGAAGGCTTCAAAGATGTTTCTAGGACCATGTACTAACACCGGTATCAGGCTCTAACCATGCCCAGTGAAGGATTCTGGCTGCTGTCCACCCTCAGCTGAGTATGAGGAAAAACTGTTTTCAGTAGACATTTTCCTCCATCAAGCTCAGGTTCTGAAGCAGTCCTGCCCCCTTCTCTGCCCCACTTCCTGACCACAAGGACCCACCAGGTAACCCGCCCCACCCCAGCATCACCTTCCCGAAGACCTTGCAGCGTTCCTAACTGGGGGAGGCAAGAAAGGATGGACTTCTTTCCTAACAGAGTCCCCATTGCCCCAAATAATGTTCCCCTCATTAAAAAGCCATATTCTCAAAGACCATTTAGTGCCATGGAGAAGAGCACATGAAGTATCTGTAAGTTAGAAAAAAAAATGCAAGTTACCAAATGCCATGCAGAATACTATCCTAATTATGTTTTGTTTCAAATACAGTTCATAGGCCGGACACAGCAGCTCACGCCTGTAATCCCAGCACCTGGGGAGGCCGGGACGGGAGGAGTTCTTGAGCCTAGGAGTTTGAGACCAGCCTGGGCAACATAGGAAGAACCATCTCTACAAAAAAATCAAAGAATCAGCCGGGTGTGGTGGTGTGTGTCTGTGGTCCCAGATACTCAGGAGGCTGAGGTGGGAGGATTGATTGAGCCTGGGAGGTTGGGGCTGCAAGGAGCCGTGATCTTGCCACTGCACTCCAGCCTGGGTAACAGAATGAGACCCTGTGTAAAATAAATAAATAAATACTGTTTATGCCTATATTTATGTATGCATGGAAGAAAAGTCTGGAGCATATACACCTCCAATGTATATTTGTTTACAATATACATTGTTTACAGTGTTTACAAAATGTTTACAGTGTTTACAAAATGTTTACAGTGGTTTCTGTTTTCTTCCTTATATATTTGTATATTTTCCAGAGTTTCTGCTGTGAATGTGTCCTTTCACAACGGTATAAAAGGAAATTATTATTATTATCTTTTTTTCAGAGATGGGGTCTGGCTCTGTCGCCTAGGCTGGAGTGCAGTGGCGTTATCATAGCTCACTGCAACCTCTACCTCCTGAGCTCGAGCAATCCTCCCACCTCAGCTGCCCAAAGCACCGGAATTACAGGTGTGAGCCACTGCACCCAGCCAGGAAATTATAAATGAATTTTTAAATTCGGCCTTATTAGGTTTTATATTAAAAAAATACAGACCCCCTTCTAGCTTGCTGGTTCTGCTGCCTTGTAAGCAGCAGCCAGGAACGATTCATATAGGAGCAAGTGTGTGTAAGTGTGTGTTGGGGGTCCCAGCTCCCCCACCCTCTCCCAGTGACTGCTGTTCATCATAACCAGGACAATTAACCATCCCCTTATTATTCACACGTCATGATTACTAATCACCCTTATTAATATCCATGCTTTGCGAAACCAGGAGGCAGCTTGGCTCAGATGCTTGGAACTCCACAGGAATCCAATCCTGACCCCAGGCGAGTCCCTTCCTGCTCTGTGCCTTCACCTCCCCCTGGATCAGGAGGATCTGCTGCTTCCTCATCCCTTCAGTGACCAGGGCCCTCTGCTTCCCTCCTCTGCCAGCTCTTAGAGCCCCACATCCCCGGAAGGCCATCTGAATTCCTAACTCCACTCGCCACCTGCGCCACCAACCTCCCTTTACACTGGAACTGAAACAAGGGTCTCCTCCTGTCTTTGATCCTTTTTCCCAAATTACTCACTTTGTTCATAAAATGTACGCTTTCCACCAAATAGAGATGCTATGGCTAAAGACTGAACTTTATGGTTATAACATTTAGTCTATTCTCTAAGCCTTGTTACTTGTTTTGAGAAATCCATTAGCAGTTTCTGTGTTAAGCCAGTTAATGATAACATTGGCCATTTGACTAATATTAAATTCCCTGGCTAATGTTTGGTGCAGATTTATACTACGGGTCCTTTCACCCCCCAGATTTTGTGGTGGTGGTGGCTCTGAGTAACATTGAAATAAACCATGTTATGTATCAATGAAGTGGGTCCAGACTTTGCCACATGTGCACATGGAGAATTTACAGTGCATCAATGTGCCAGCCCCTAAAGGGGGCATTGTAGCTTCTTCTGGCTGGAGGTGAATCCAAGGCAGCCCCAAGAGGTGGCTGCCACCCATCCCTGCTTTGATCATGTTCTGGGTCAGTACGCTAGGTACTGACCACCACCCCAGACCCTGTTGAGACAAAGAGTCCTGGTTTCCATTCCTGAACGTACTCGTGGAACATACAGGGGATGAAGATAACAACAGTAATTTGAACAAAATACAGCAGTTGCATTTATTATAGCAAGAAATTAGACACCTCACACATATCCAACGATGAGGGAGTGACCAAACAAAATGATCCATCAACATGATGGAATGCCATGTGGCCATTAAAACGACAAGACAGGAGGCCCTGCCACCCCGAAAATGACCGTGTGAGTCGATGTTAGGTAAAAGCAGGAAACCCAGTGGAAGGGCAGTGACACTGGAGACATATATCCCAGGGGAAACAGCTCTGCACCAGCACAGGGGGAACCAGGTTCAAACCTAGGCTCAGCTGTTAACATGCCTTAGTTGCCCCATTTGTAAAAGAAAATCAACACCCCTGGGCCCAGTGTTGTGGGAGGGCTACAGCAGGTCGCAGATGTGAAAGCCAGTTCATAGCACTCAGGATCTTTCAGACACCTGGTAACAAAAATGCCCGGAAAATCCAGAAAGAACTGATCAGAATGGAAACATGTACAAGTTCTTTCGCTCCTTTTTGGAGTAAGTCCATGTAATAAAAAAGACAGGAAATGGTTTGGGAATAGGGGCTCTAGAGCTTTGAAGATTCTCCATGGAGGATGTAGTTGGTGGCCCATGGAGGCTGGCTGGGCTCTAGAAGAATGGGGGAGAGAGAAAATGTGGGCTCCCCACCCACCCTAGGGCCCCAAAGAGGACCAAAGCCACATCTAAGTAACTGGGGGCTGAGAAATCCCAAGCTCAGTCTACAGTGAGAAGGGACAAACATCACCCCCAGCGCGCAGCTCCCAGGAAGCACAGTGGAGCCCGGAGAGTCACCTGGAATTCATCTCCTTCAGAGACCATGAGAGAGACAGAGGAGGAGAGAATCAGAGGCAGAGAGATAGAAGGAGGCACAGCGGAATCAGCCAGGGAAACAGGCCTAAATTATCTCCTCCTTCGGCCCATGTTCTTCATTCCTGCTGCTATCGGGGACTGCTCTGCCAGCCTGCTCCAGGAGCAAGAAAAATAAAATAAGCAGCTCTGACAGCTGGCTGCCTACGCCTCCTCCCTCTCCTCCCCTCCTCCTTCTCCCCTTCCTCCTCCTCCTCCTTTTCCTGCTCTTTCCTCCTCTTCCTCCTCCCCTTCTCTTCTTCCTCTTCCTCCTCCTCTTCTCCTCTTTGTCGTCTTCTTCCTCTTCCTCTTCGTCCCCTCCTCCCTCTCCTCTCTCCCTCCTTCCTCCATCCCCCTGCCCAAACACCATCTCCTGGTATCTGTTCTTCGAAGGAAGAGGGTGTGAGCCGGATGTAATGCAAATACTCTACAGGAATGTTTCTGGCAGGGAGCAGAATCCTCTTCCCTCACGGACCCAAGGATGAAACAGGGCCCCAGACGCCAAGCTGAGGCTGCTCCTCCCTTTCTCTGAAGACAGTCTGGGGACCTCAGATAGGGGGCTCCCCCTCCAGTCTTCCTCCAACACCACCTTCTTCCTTTGAGGAGTGGGAGTGGGGTTAAGGAGGCAAAGTGACGACCTGAGGGAGAAGGGGAGACGGGAGGGGCTCTTCTCTGGGGACATTCCCCTCAGGGTTTCTGAAGCCTGTGATCCCCGCGGTGAAGGAGAAAGGAGGCAAGCCACCCACAGGGAGCAAAGCAAATCGGGGATTCAAGGGAACAGTTTTGTAATTATCCAAATAATTCAGCCTCCTACTCTTTTCCCAATATATCCCGCTTTTGTTTTAATAATCCAGGAATTGGGAACAACGCCCTTTCCGTTTTACCGCACTTACCCTTTGCTCTAGGAAAGCAGCCTATTCACAGCCATTTTACGGCTGTGTGCCCAGCTTTCTCACTGAAGGCCTTTGCCCATGCCATTCCTCCCACCGCATCCCCTTCCCTTCTCCACCTGTAAGTCTGAGCCCACTGAGAAACTCGGGTTAATGCTGCTCCTTCTTCACAAAGCCTTCTTGGAATCTCCCAGCCAGAAAAGCTCTTTTCGTCTCTGCTGTCCTGGAAAGGACATTTACTCTGGGATTTTCAGCTCACACCATATCTCCAACTGGATGGCATCCTCTCCATGATCCTTTCACCCAATCAATCAATCAATGAGCTGAGAAAGAATTGGGGTGGGGAGATGGCAGTGGGGGGGAGCACAAAATTGCCCAAATCCTCGTTAACTGAGACTTGGACAGGCTTGGACTCACAGTTGGAGGCACCTGACACAGATTATCCCATGAAGGTTGCATGCCCACCCCACAGGCTAGGTCCTCTTACCATCCCATCTTGCCCCAGACACCCCCAGCTAGTGAGGATTTGAACCCAGCCTGGCCAAGTCCAACACCCACTCTCTTTCCACTCCACCACACTGCTTCCTACTGCCCCTTTCCTGGGGAAGAGAGGTTAGAAATGGGTATATGGCCGGGAGCTGGCTCTCCTGGCTCTTTGCTTCTTCATCCTCAGGCCCAAGCTGCACCCTGCCTGGCTCCACCCCTCAGTCAGCTGGTTGGGGAGATGGGGCTGGGGAGCCCTGGGCACTAACAAGTATTCATGCAGGTAAGCAGGTACCAGGAGCCAGGAGGGGCACATCAAAAACCTCTAGAACAGGCCAGGTGTGGAGCTGTAATCCCAGCACTTTGAGAGGCCAAGGCGGGCGGATCACCTGAGGTCAAGAGTTCGAGACCAGCCTGGCCAACATAGCAAAACTCCGTCTCTACTAAAAACACAAAAATTACCCAGGTGTGGTTATTTTTCCCTGGGTTGTTCTGTAGCTTGGCAGCAGGAATTAAGACTAACAGGAAAGGGGTCAGTTGTGGAGAGGTGCATGGAGAAGAGGATGTTGGAAGAGGGGAGCAAGGACCCCCAACCTCTGCAGACAACCTTGCCCAGCCCAGAGTTGAGGTAGGGGGAAGGGTTGATCCCATCTCCATCTCTGAGAAAGATTTATTTCTTCACTTCCCTAAGGTCTTTGGAGAAATGCTGCAACTCTCAGCCTGGCCCTCATCTCCACACCTCTGCCAGCACCTCAGTTCCAGCCCCAGGGCTCCAGGGACAGACTCCTAACATGAACTGCCAGGATACCATATATCCATCCATCTGACAGCTTACCTGAGCTCAGACGGCCTGCAAACTGGCAGGACAGGAGGGATGCCCCGCGTTTGGTGTGCTGAGTGCCTTTGTGTGTGTGATCTCATTCAAGGTTCCCAACTCTGAAAGCAGACATGATTAGCCCCTTTCACAAAAGGAAGCAGAGGTCTTAGTGACTTGCCCAAGGTCACATGCCTAAACAGGGACACAAACCCGCAGGAAAGATGGAGCACAAATGCTGGGGTCTCTGATAGTGGTGCACACATGCACACATGTGCACAAATACATGCACACATGTGTACCCCAAATCATTTAAATGGACCATTCCCCTCTGTGTGTGATGTAGTTTACAGATCCCCTGTGCTCCCATGCATTATCTCAGTTGGTTTAACAACAGGGTCCCGTGGTAACAGGCAGGGCAGATGTCATGAACCCATTTCTCAGATAAGGAACCCAAGGTTCAAAGAGGGTGAGCAATCTGCTCAAGGTCACAGTCTCCAGAGCTTTGATCACAATAATACTGACAAACTCCACCTCCGTTCACGTTTGTTAAATGCAGGAGCTGGGTGCTAAGCACCTTCCATGCATCTAACATTCATGGTCATCCCGTGGGGGAGACATTGTTATTATTCCCATCTTACAGATGATGAAACTGGGACTTAGAGGTGTTAGATGATATGGGGCAGCCACATAGAGTTAAGCCCCAGCCAGCCTGATTTTTACTCCAGGAAACTCGCCCAGGACGGGAAGCTTATTCACCTGGGCCCCCGAGTCCCAGCACCTAGACCAGTGCCTAGCCCACATGAGGTTCTCACTGAGCGTTTGTGGAACATTTGTTAACCAAATAAATCTGCCCCCAATGCCCTTACCCTCAACTTCCTCCTCCCAGACCTTTCCCTGCCCATCTCCTAACTCCTCGAATGTCTCTAGCGAACCATTCGAGACCTCTCCCCCAGGAGTCGAGGGTTACAGACCCCCTCAGTCCCTGCAATGGGACCGGGAAGTCAATTCACCACCTCACTCTCCTATCCCTATTAGCATTCAGGGATTTGTAGTTTGTCCTTAAGGTTCTCCCTTGCCTCAGTTTCCGCCCCTGGCACCAGATGTGAGGGAAGTAGGCAAGCAGACTGCTGGAGAAGAGGTCCCCTGAAAAGCCCACCCCTCTGCTTTCTTGTCCCACAAGCAAGTGCTGGGGATTTCCTTTCTTTCTCTCTAGATCCCGCAGAGCCCCAGACAACGGACGAGACAAAGAGCGGGCAAGCGGAGCAGTCAGGCCCAGCTCCAAGGCATGCATTTCCAAACAGGGAAAATGTGGACATCTGAGGACGGGGTCTCTCAAGGATACTCCCCCAAGTACAAGGTTTGGAGGCCCCTTTTGGAACACTGCCAATTCCAGCTGCCTCCACCCCCAGGCACCAATCACTCAACAGCACCGAGTGTTTACTGGGCCTGCAGGCAGGGAAATAATGCAAGATGCCACTTCTGCAAACTGGCAGGACAGGAGGGATGCCCTGCATTTGGTGTGCTGAGTGCCTTTGTGTGCATGATCTCATTCAAGGTTCCCAACTCTGAAAGCAGAAACGATTAGGAAGCAGAGGTCTTAGTGGCTTGCCCAAGGTCACATGCCTAAACAGGGACACAAACCTGAGGCCTTTAGGTCCTGTGCCTGGGTCTTGCTCTCCAAGCAAAGCTGATCCTTCAGTCACATCTGCCAAGGCTTCCTTTCCTACCAGCTGCAGGCATTGTAAACAAGCCCCCATGCCTCTTACCCAGCCCCCTTGTCCAAGGGCAAGGCAGATGGCCAAACCACTCCTGGGAGACCCCAGGTCTACAGCCCTAGGCTTTAGTGGTCAATGAGAGGACAACCTTCCCCAGGCCCTTAACTGGCTGAGGGGTGCCGGGCTGCCCCACCAGGGCCTGCTGATGTGCCCCCCCCCACCCCATCCCTCCCCTCCAGCTGCCCTCTGGTCCCTCTGCTCCTCCCACTGCCCCGCTTTCAGCCCCGACCCAAGAATGACCAGGAGTCACGGGTGGAGGAGCAGAGTTCCTGGTCCCCAGCCTGGCTTCTGACATCTCCGGCGCCCCTTGGCCTACCCTAGGTCGGGGTGTCAGGTCCAGTGAGACCAGCCTCCCCTCAAAGCCATCCAGCCCTGCCCTCTGGCCACTAGGCAGCCACATGCTCAGAGGATTGTCCAATGTCAGAGCGCCATCTAGTGTGAATGATGGGCACTGCACCCCTGCCTGCCGCCGCAGCTCACCCACTTGGCAGGACCTCTCATGGGGGTGGCCGGGTGCAGAAGGGGAGACGCCCTCAGACTCACAGAGGGCGCCAAATCTAGACTTCTGACATAGTGTCCAGATGACACTTTTCCTCCAGTCATGGGAGAGACCCTAGAATCCAGCGAGGGCAGTCCCCTTGCAGTGTGAGAATGTAGGATGACACTGCCTGGAGGGCCCTGTCACTATTTGAAAGGCTTAAAATGACCTTTCGAAGAGCCTAATCTCTTTGCACTATTTTGTGTGCACTGGTGAAAAGTAAACTTTCTAAATCGGCCATAATTTGGGTGACCTCTTTTTGGCAAATCTTAAACAAGAGCCTCAAAGAACAGGGGCTAAGGCATTGTCAGACCCAGAAGAGGCCCCACCGTGTGCATGAAGCCTGCACTCCATGCCTTGCTCAATCTGTTTCATGGGTCTCTCTCTCTCTCTTTCTCTCTCTCACTCACTCTCCTCTCTCTCTCTCTCCATCCTTGATCAGCCTGATGGAGTCCAAAGACCACTAAGTCCAGGCAGGGAGGTCAGGCTGATCTGGGTTTGAATCCTGGCTCTACATGAGCTGTGTAACCTTGAGAAATTCACTTGAAATTTCTAAGCCTTACTTTCCCCATCTGTAAAATGGGGTTGTGATGAGCATTGTGTGAAATAACAAGTTTGAAGCACTCAGCAAAGTGTCAGCTGCTTATCAGAGGCTCAGTAACTGCCAGTCTCATCCTCCTCATCTCTCTCAGGGCCTCCATCGCTGAGTCAGTGTCTCTCTGGGGGTCCGCTTCTGCAGCACCTGGCACAGGGTCTCCATCATTCTCTTGGTCTCGGAGCACTGGCCACACTGCACCTTGCATCTCACACTGCATCCTGCATGTCCATTTTCCATGGTTATATCCATCTACTCCCACCCACCTGATCCATGACTCGGAGCTTCCTAGGGTCTCTGTTTCTCTCTTCTTCCCCTCCGGAAGCCCAGCCCAGTTTTGAGCCCATGGCAAGTGTGTATCTGCCTGCAGCTGAACTGAATGTTCCCAGGCACAGTTAGAGAAGCCTGTTCTGCAATCCAGGAGCTGAACCAACACATGTTTCTAGCCCTGCCAAAACATACATTTTGGCCAGGTGCAGTGGCTCGTGCCTATAATCCTAGCACTTTGAGAGGCCAAGGCCAGAGGATTGCTTGAGGCCAGGAGTTTGAGACCAGCCTGAGCAACATAGGGGGACCCAGACTCAAAATATATACATACACATTTTCTCTCTCAGTAAAATGGTATTGAAGCTCCTGACTTGCACAATTGTTAAAGGGATTAGAGAGAGGGCATTTGCAAAGGCATTCATAAAGAGTATAAAACACAGTAGGCCCTCAAAAAATAGAACTTATTACTATAACAGCTAGGGAGGCCCTGTTGATGTTCAAAAATATGTCCAGGCTGGGCGCAGTGGCTCACACCTGTAATCCCAACACTTTGAGAGGCTGAGGTGGGCAGATCACTTGAGGTCAGGATTTCAAGACCAGCCTGGCCAACATGGCGATACCCTATCTCTACTAAAAATACAAAAAAATCAGCTGGGCGTGGTGGCGTGTGCCTGTAATCCCAGCTACTCGGGAGGCTGAGGCAGGAGAATTGCTTGAATCCAGGAGGCGCAGGTTGCGTGAGCCAAGATTGCACCACTGCACTCCAGCTTCAGTGACCAAGCTGGTCTCAAAAAAAAAAAAAAAAAAAAAGAAAACAGTGTCCAAAGAAGACAGGATGAGTAGTATAATCTCAATTGTACAACTTCAAAAGAGACACCAGGGCAAGGAGGCAGAAGGCAAGAAGGGAATGGTGGGACACGATTAATATTGGCCAAGATTATAACCCAGTCAGGGTCTCGTCAACAATTTAAGAGTAAGGCATCCCACAGGCCAGGGGTAACCAGGTGGAGAGAATCCTCTTTCCACCGGATAGGGATGGGAAACAGGCAAAGCGGGATGGGGAATGAGAGGCGAACAGCCTCTTTATTAACACAATTATTTTATTTGCCGAAAGGTAATCATCCTAAGTGAGGTCAACGGCGGCTGGCACAGGACTGGCCCTGCAGGCGGCTGGGCCACGTTGCCATGGTGACGGAGCCCGCTCACTTCCAGCAGCTGCAAGGGCTGGAGAATCCTGAGGAAGGAGACCCCAGGTCTCTTTTCTTTCCCCCAAAAGGGGCTGAAGGAGACCTGCAGGTGTTTGCATTCCCCGTCCCAGCCCCCAAGAGACAGACTAAGAGCCCCTGGGGAAATGTCCCAGCCCAGGTTCGCAGGGGGTCCATCCTGGAGCACAGGGGTCTCTGCGGGCATCATCTCATTCTGTCCTACAATAACCCTGTGAGGAAGAGGCTACGCATCACCTGACCATTTCACAGAAAGCTGTGGCTCAGACTGTCCGCAGATGCGCAGCATGTGGGGATTTGGGGGCTGGGGTCTGAGGCCTGGGGCACCATTTACATTTGCCTCAGAGTCAGGGCTGTGACAATGACAGAATTAAACCTACATCTTGAATAATCAGAAAAACTGATGTGGAGAAAAACACACTCACCCGGCAGTCAGAAAGGCCTGGGTTCGAGTGTCAACCCTTCCCCTTACAGGCCACGTCACCCTCAGCAAATTTGCTCTAAGCCTTAGTCTGTCCAGAGCATTCTGCACCTGTGACTTTCCAGTCTCTGAAAGACAGAGCCATGATCAAGGTGTGCTTCCCCATCTGTAAAATGAGCCAACTCAGTTGGGTGCAGTAGCTCACACCTCTAATCCCAGCACTTTGGGAGGCTGAGGCAGGCGGATCACTTGAGGTCAGGAGTTCGAGATCAGCCTGTCAACATGGTGAAACCCATCTCTACTGAAAATACAAAAATTAGCCAGGTGTGGTAGTGGGCGCCTGTAATCACAGCTAGTCAGGAGGCTGAGGCAAGAGAATCACCTGAACACGGGAGGTGGAGTTTGCAGTGAGCCGAGATCACGCCACTGCACTCCAGCCTGGCAACAGAGGTAGACTCCATCTCAAAACAAACAAAAAAAGCCACTCAACCCTGCCCTGGGGACCCAGAACGTCAACAGTGACTGGGAAACTCACGCACTACACAAACAAGAGCAGCTGGCTCTGTCTTTTCACCCAAATCTTCAGGGATGGCAGCTCTGCAGAAAAGGGACACAACATGCACTGTCCCCAAGTCCTCCAGCCCTGAAGTCCAGCGGTGAGGATGCCAGGCTGGAAGTCCAGGGGACAGCATAGCAGAGGCAGGATGGGTCCGGGGGCGGGGAGGGGAAACGCAGCCAATCCTGGGGCCATTTTGCTTGTGCCCGCAGTGTCTGTCGCCCTCTGGTGGACGCACCTGACACAGACGCAAGGAACAGCTGTGCAACCAGAGGGAATTCAGGTTGGGGGGTCGGCGGGGGGCATGGCTGGAGGAACTAGGAGCATCAGGGGAGGCTTTAGGGGGTGATGAGATTTGAGCTGGGCCTCCCAGAAAGTGGCTGTGGGGAGGGAGTGGGAGGGAAAGCATGTCAGAAAATGGAAATTGATCCAATAAAAGCCTACAGATTGTCAGGTGTTGTGGGAGTTTGGGGAACAGGGCATCATTTGGGTGGGTACAGCAAAGGGACTTCAAGAAGCCCAAAAGGGGCCGGGTGCAGTGGCTCACGCCTGTAATCCCAGCACTTTGGGAGGCCAAGGCAGGCAGATCATTTGAGGTCAGGAGTTCAAGACCAGCCTGACCCACATGGCGAAACCCCAACTCTACTAAAAATACAAAAATTAGCCAGGCGTGGTCGTGGGCACTTGTAATCCCAGCTACTCGGGAGGCTGAGGCAGGAGAATCATTTGAACCCAGGAGGCGGAGTTTGCAGTGAGCCGAGATCTTGTCACTGCACTCTAGCCTGGACAGAGTAAGACTCTTTCTCAAAAAAAAAAAAAAAAAAAAAGAAGGAGGAGGAGAAGAAGAAGAAAAGGAGAAGGAGGAGGAGGAGGAGAAGAGGAAGAGGAAGAAAGAAGATGAAGAGCGAAGAGGAAGAAGAAAAAGAAGAGGAAGAGGAAGAAGAAGAGGAAGAGGAAGAAGAAGAAGGCGAAGGAGAAGGAGAAGGAGAAGAAAGAAGAAGAAACAACCAGACTGGGGCCAACTGTGGACAGTGTTGACCATTATGCTCTGTACTTTATCGTGGAGGCAATAGGGAGTTATTGAAGGTTTCTGAGCAGGGGTAGGCCATGATAGGATTTACATTTTAGGCATATCAGGTAGAGAGAGAGCAGAGGTGAGGAGCCTACTGGAACTCACTCCTCCAGCACATTGTTACTCACTAACAAGAGCAGCACTTCTGACCTCGCTGGAGACTTTACAAAGCCTTTTTCTTACCTTTACACACCAGACTTCAAGCTAGGTGGGTTCCCTGACTCAAGCAGCTTTGGGGTGAGGTGAAGCTCTGGGCTCTGGTTCCCACCCCAGCTTCCTTCACGTCAGCATCCTAGCATTGATTAAAACAGTGTGCAAGTCCACCTGAAGGGTGGAGGGGTGGGGAGCTGGAAGGAGCAGGAGTGGGGAGGGGAGGGTGCCCATGTACTCAGAGCCTGCTCAGTTCCTAGCCGTTTCCTGCGCTCCTCACTGTGAAGGAATTATCCCTGTGCTACAAGAAGGAAAACGAGACCTGGGAAAAGAAGAGCCCAGGACCCCCAGGGCCGGGACACAAGTCTGGGTGTGTCTGACCCCAAAGCTCCTCATCCCAAAAGCAAGAAGAGAAGCAGGCCTCAAAGAAGCCACACCCCTCATCTCTGAAGGAGACGCTGAAGGCCCCTGTCCTATCCAGCATCCCCTCCACCAGTCACAGCAGACACCAGCCTCCTATGACATGCGTGCTCATGGATGCTCATGCTTTGAGAGACCCGGTTGTACTGATGACATTCACAAAGAAGAAGTTCATCTAACGTCCCATTTTGGATTCATCAGCCTCATCTGAGACTGTCAATCAGAGTCTCCATCCTGTGGCCAATGACACTGAGCAAGTGGCTGGAGATGGCAAGGGGTGCTCAGGGTGGGGTCTATGCACAGAGCTGCCTTGGGGGACCCCAGGTGGGGCAGCTGACAGTCAGGAGGACTTCTGAGGAAGGGGTGGATGGCAGAAGGTAGAGTTCTTGGGAAGGTGATCACCTCTCCCCCGTCAGCTGGTCATACCAGGTAGGCCCCTGAAGGGTGACAAGGGCAGCAGGTCTGAGGGAGGCTCCAGGACAGGGGAGAGACTGGACACAGAATCAGAGACAGGGTGAGAGACAGAGAAAGGGAGGTGGCGGTGCTTGTTTCACAGCTGGACTTGGCGGTGGTGCCCAGGGTGCTGGCCACACTCCAGCAGGGTAATAGCATCAGCTCCAGCCTAAACTTTAATCAATGAATCCAAGGCTTGGCCACAATCAGCAGTGAGGAAGATTAGCAGAATCCTGGGAGGGGAGAGGGACGGAAGTGCCCAGCCAAGGAAGACGGTGCATGGGATCTATTGCAGGTCCGAGCGGGGGCTTCCAGTGCCCCTTCCCACCGGGCATGAAGTGGAAGCAGAGGTGGGAGTCAGACAGCTACATCAACAGCAAGGGAATGAATCTGGCCCACTGAGGCTCAGCGAGACCCCAACACAGGCTCCAAGCCACTCTCCCCCAATCCCAACAAGCCTCAAGTGAGACACCAAGAAGAACTTACCAACCAGGGAGCCCCCAGGATGCCTGAGCAGGGGCAGCGCAAGGTGTTCACATCATCCCTACCTGGGCAGGGGTCCCAGCATAGGAGCTGGAGTGCCCCCACCCTCCCCTTCAGGCTGGGCTGCACAGAGGGATGAACTGAATGGGTCACATTCTTACCCCTCAAGTGCTTTGGAGAGAGGGTAGAAGGAAGGAGGAGACAAACCAGTTATCATCTGCCCTACATAACTTATTAGCATCCAGGCGAGATTAATCAAGCCCAGAAACCTCGAGCACACCCCTAATTAGTTGCTGCTGATAACTATATTTGTCATGCTTTCCAATTATTCCACTGTAAATTTCAGAGTTTAATTGCACCTTGTTCTTCATTGAAGTGTCACTGTTTGCACACGCTCCCCTAATTCTTTAGCAAATTTGACAAAATTCAGCATTAAATATAGATTATCTTTAGATTTCCATAATTAACACAACCAAACTGTCTCAGGCCTAAATATTTCTCCCAGTATCATAAATCTGGCCTGTCCCTGGAATCCGAAGGGCTGCTTCCAGCTCCCCGGCAGAGGCTGCAGGGAGAACACACATGCACAGCCATGAACTCACATGACACGCCTGTGCAGGGCTGGGGCAAAAGGCGGCAGTGATACTTCATTGAGGGCACACAACTGGGAACATACCCCGTGCCCCATATCAGTAGGGGCTCCATCAAGATGCCCACCCTGGGGCGTGGGGCAGTGTCCCAGGGCTTGGAGGGCCAATTCAGGATCGCAGCTGACCTCTGCGCCTAGCGAATGGGCTAGAGGGAAGAGGCTCGGCCTACAACCAGATCACAAGCCTCCCCACCCAACAAAGGCCAAAGGGCCCCTTCTGTGACTTTTTTTTGTCCCTGTCAAGGCTGACCTTGATGTTTGACATTACCCCAGGAGCATGACCCAGGCAGACATGAATGCCCTCATGCCATACCCCTGCAGGGCACCGCCACTGCCCAGCCTTCTCTCTTAGTCCGCTCTCTCCAGACTCACCAGGCAAGTATATGTCCATCCAACTCTAACTGTCCCCCACCTGGGACCCTTTAGTTCAGATTAGGGGATGAAGGAATCCGACATCAGGTTTGAAATGATGCCCCCATATGAGGTTTGAATTTTTTTTTTTTTTTTTTGAGACGGAGTCTTGCTCTGTTGCCCAGGCTAGAGTCCAGTGGCTTGATCTCAGCTCACTGCAACCTCTGCCTCCTGGGTTCAAGTGATTATCCTGTCTCAGCCTCCTGAGTAGCTGGGATTACAGGTGCGCACCACCATGCCCAGCTAATTTTTGTATTTTTAGTAGAGATGGGGTTTCACCATGTTGCCCAGGCTGGTCTTGAACTTCTGACCTCAGGTGATCCACACACCTCGGCCTCCCAAAGTACTGGGATTACAGGTGTGAGCCACCACGCCCAGTCTGAAGTCTCTTCCACCAGCCCCCAAAACCCCAAATCTAACATCGCAAGGAAATCAGCAGGGTGTCCCATTTCCATAGGGACAGGAGGGGGCAGGAGGCAGCAGGGAAGCCTGTGCCCTTTTCAGATCCCAGCCCAGCCTCTGGCCCCTGGTGGAGGAGAATCATATCTTGGGTTTATCCCAAGTCAAGCCCCTTCCCCAGGCTGGCTATCTCATGGGCAGCAGAGCATCCAGAGTTCAACTGCAAGCCCAGCCCCCCATGCCCCCTGCAGTCACGCAAACACACCTGTACACACAGAGGCAGATGCACAGATGCAGAAATGGAAAGACACAGATGCACAGAGACACACCACAGAGATACACACAAAACACAAACTGACACACAGACAGATACACAATGCAACACACAGCCCAAGCCCTGTAGGAAGACGGGGATAGACAGACGGGGAAATACTCCCTCCCCAGAAATCAGTGACATACCCAGGGTCTTGCCACATTGAAGGGCCAAGGGGGGCTGGGGGCCCCCTTGCCCTCCATGCCACCTGCCAACCCTGACACCCCTGTTTCCCCGGCGTAGCTGCAGGGGTAGTTGAGGGGCTGAGGTGGGAGCAGGCAGGAATACAGAAGAGCCTCAAAGTGTACTCACAGCAAATTTGGAAGAAAATCGATGGCCTTTAATGAGATTTGATTTTTTCTCCACAATGGGCTGGGCTGGTGGTTGTGGGGGGATCTCTGGGTGCAATGTGCAAGGAAGTGAGCAGGGGCACAAGGTGCAGGGCTGAGAGGGACTGGGAAGCCGGGAGTGGGGAAACACCAGGGTCAGCAGCTACAGGGACAGGAAGAGGCAGAGGATAGACAGACAGGCAGGATGTCAGTGTCAGGCCGTCACTTAGCCCCACCTGTCAGAACAAGAGAGGGGCCCTGAGCTGGCTTGGGTGTATACTGTGGCCCTGTTGGGTTCTAGATGCGGAGTCTGCACTCCCAGCCCTCAGTAGGAGATAAAAGGCTGAGGTTCATCCAGGTTATGAGGCTGGCAGGGACCAAGCCATGGGGAGCAGTCACAGGATGGGGTATGTTGGGGGTGTGGCTGGCTTGGGTCCTTGGCTTCCAAGGGTGCTAAAAGGAAAATTGTAAGGAGCTTAATTCTGATCAGTGCAGTTAACTGAGCACCTGCCAGGCTCCAGGCCCCTGTTATTGTTATTCTGCAGGAAACCCCACAAGAGAGGTGACAACCCCTTGCTCCCAGATGAAGAAAATTAGGATCAGAGACATTAAAGAAATTGCCCAAAGCCACTCAGCCAATGGCTGAGGCAGCAACTGAACCAAGGTCCACCAGATTCTAAAGTCTGTTTCTTCCGTTCTGCCTGCAAGCAGCACCTGGCAGGCGATGGAGGCACATCTTAGTCTCTCTTCCTCTCTTCCAGTCCAGGTCTCCAAGACCTATGGATGGGTTGGGCCAGGGCTTGGGTTCAGGCTCCAGGGTGATGGCAACTTAAGGGAATCTCCTGCACAGCTAGGCTTCAAAGCACAAGACTTCCCCAGGCACAGAGGAGGGCATACCTATCAGCTGCAGCCCCGTCCATCCCACCCTGCTGGCTGAACCTTTGAGCTCCCTCCTTCCTTATGGAATCATAGAAGGGATCAGAGGCCATCAACCCCAAACATATCTTCTGTCTGAAGCCCCTGTGAAATATTCTGAGTGATCAACTGAGGTCTCGCACAACTCTAGTGACAGGGAGCTCACTACCTCCAAGGTATCCTCTTCCACTTCTGGAATCTTGCTAGATTGAGCTGCTTTTTGCCTCCCTGGGCCTCCTACTGGTCCTGTTTCTGCCTTCTGGGTCATCACTCTGCTCCACGAAAGCCCCTCTGTAACTGGAATACCACAATCACTGCCTTCCCACCACCTGGGGGCTTCCATGCTCCTGGCTAAACACGTCATCATTCCCTCAACTGTTGCAATAGTCCCTGACCATTCCCTCCCACCCACCCAAAGGCAGAATTATTGACAGCATAAAGGAGTGGTTTGGCAATGATTTCTTATGACATCAAAAGCACAGGTAACAAAAGCAGAAGTAGAAAAATAGGATTACATCAAAATGTAAACTGTGCATCCAGGAATACAACCCGCAGAGTGAAAAGGCCACCTACACAATGGGAGAGAATACTAGCAAATCTTATAACTGATAAGAGGTTAATATTCAGAATATATAAGGAACTCCTACAACTCAATAGCAAAAAAGTAAACAACCTGATGTAAAAATGAACAAAGAGCACGAATGGACATTTCTCCAAAGACGACACACAAGTGGCCAGCAAGCCTATGAAAAGATGCCCGACATCACAAATGACCGGAAAAACGTAAATCAAAACCACAAGGAGATGCCGCCTCGCATCCATTATGATGGCCACCATCAGAAAGACAGAAAATAAACAGTCTTATTGAGGATGTGGAGAAACTGGAACCCTTGAGCACTCTTGGGGGCAGTGTAAAATGGTGCAGCTTCTATGGAAAACAGTATGCAATTCCTCACAAAATTAAAAATAGAATTATAATCGGATCAGCAATCCCACTTCTGGGTATATATTCGAAAGAACTGAAGGCAGCGTCTTTTTTTTTTTTTCTTTTTGAGACTCACTCTGTCGCCCAGGCTAGAGTGCAGTGGTGCGATCTTGGCTCACTGCAACCTCCGCCTCCTAGGTTCAAGCAATTCTCCTGCCTCAGCTTTCCAAGTAGCTGGGATTACAGGCATGCGCTACCACACCTGGCTAATTTTTGTATTTTTAGTAGAGATGGGGTTTTGCCATGTTGGCCAGGCTGGTCTTGAACCCCTGACCTCAAGTTATCCATCCACCTTGGCCTTCCAAAGTGCTAGGATTACAGGCATGAGCCACTGCACCTGGCCCAAGGCAGGGTCTTGAAGCGATATTTGCACACCCATGTTCCTAGCAGCATTATTCAAAAAAGCCAAGAGGCAGAAGCAACCCAGGTGCCCATCGATGGATGGATGGATAAACAAAATGTGGTGTACACAGACAATGAAATATTATTCAGTCTTAAAAAGGAAGGAAATTCTGTCACATGCCACAATATGGACAAACCTTGAAGACATGATGCTAAAATAAGCCAGTCACAAAAAGACAAATGCTGTATGATTCCACTCTATGGGGTATCTAAAGTCATCCAATTCATAGAAACAGAACAGAGAATGGTGTTTGCCAAGGGCTGGGTGGTGGATGGGGAGCTGCGGTTTAAAGGGTAGAGTTTCCGTTTTGTAAGGCAAAAGAGCTCTGCAGAGCTGTTGCACAGCAATGTGAATATACTTAACACTACTGACTGGTACACTTAAAAACAGCTAAGACAATAACAACAAAAGCCACAATTCTGGAGTCAGACTTGGGTTTGAGTTCCAGCTCTGTCACATGGCCTGGGGCAAGTTGTCAAATGTCTCTAAGCCTCAGTCTCCCCAGCTTTACAACAGGGTAATGATAGAACCTAATTCACACGATCTCATCGACAAAGCAGGTGAAGTGTCTGGGACCTGGTCAGTTGGCTCTGGAACCATGTTCTGGAAGCTACCCTTGTACGGAGGCTGCGCAGGTTGGAGTTGGGCAGCTTCCAGCCCTGGGCTGTCCGCTCCCAGTGGCACCCAGCCTCTATTTCCGTGACCTCTCCGTCTGTCCCATTTCCTCTCACTGTCCTCCCTCCTTACCTCTCTCCAGCCACGCTGGCCTAGAGCACACCAGGCACACTCCTACCCAGAAGCCTTTGCACTTAGAGTTTCCACTGCTTGAAATGCTCTCAGGGACTCACTTCTGCCCTTTCTCCAGGTCTTTGTTTACAGTCCCCCTGTTTAAAATTGTGCCCTCCCCCAACCACGGGGCTCTATGTCCCCTTCCCCTGCTCTACTTTTCTTACAACATACTATATAATTTTACTTATTGGTTGTCGCTGACTTGCTCACTGCTATATCCCCAGCTGGCACAGAGTAGGTGCTCAATAAATACTTGATGAATGACAGCCTAAGCTAAGCCTTGGCATTCTGTCCTTAGAGGCCCTCTGCCCCCAGCCCCAAATTTCATCATTGTGGTGTCTGCCCCCTTAAGGACTCCCACTCCCAGGTCCCCTTAAGGACTCACACTCCCAGGTCCCCTCAAGGACTCCCACTCCCAGGTCCCCTCAAGTGTGGGGGGAGAACCCCACTTCCCCCTAAAGCCCCAGGCTGCCCAGCTGCTGCTCCACTGGGACCTCAGCACCAATTCTGCCCATCAATATCAGCCTGCAGCAGTCACACTTGAACACCCACCCCAATCGATAACCAGCGGCTGCTATCGATCAGCCCCGAGGGCACAGGAAGCCGGTGGGGAGAGGGAAGGAGAGGACCAGGCATGGTGTGCGGACACAGCCTCAGAGAGGGAGCAACAGCAAAGAGCCCCCAGTGACCCGGCCAGGGCAGGCAGACAGGACAGAGCTCATCAGAAACCAGAGGCAGAGGTGAAGGGGGAGGAGAAGCCAGACCCCAGGCTAGGAAGGGCAAAGGGGCAGACACAGAGGGAGGCTGCTGAGAAGAAGGAAGAGGCAAGATAGGAAGGGTTGGCCAGGCGCAGTGGCTCATGACTGTAATCCCAGCACTTTGGGAAGCCAAAGCGGGTGGATCACTTGAGGTCAGGAGTTCGAGACCAGCCTGGCCAACATGGTGAAACCCCGCCTCTACTCAAAATACAAAAATTAGACAGGTGTGGTTGTGGTGGGAGCCTGTAATCCCAGCTACTCGGGAGGCTGAGGCAGGAGAATCACTTGAACCTGGGAGGCGGAGGTTGCAGTGAGCAGAGATCAGGACACCGCACTCCAGCCTGGGTAACAGAGCGAGATTCCGTCTCAAAAAAAAAAAAAAAAAGACGGAAAGGAAGGAAGGGTTATTGAAGGTCTACCATATGCCAAGGGCATCATCTCTCAAGCCTCCCAGCACAACCGTGGGTGAAAGCAGTTATTGGCTCTATCTTACAGGGAGGAAACTAAGCTCAGAGGTTAAGAAACTCACCCCAGGCCTGAGCCTTCAAATCTGGGAGCAGAGCCAGGATTTGAACCCATGTCTGGAGTCTCTGTGGGGCCAAGGCTCTTTGCAGCACCCCACAGTAGCTCTGAGCTGTCACTTCTGGGCTTCCAGCCTGGAACACCACCTAAAGCCAGTGGGAAACTGGATGGAGGTGCCTCCCAGCACCTCCACTGGAATGTCCCACTTAGAGCTTGTCAAGGTAGCTCGGAAAGCCTGGGCGGTGGTTCATGCCTGTAATCCCAGCTACTCGGGAGGCCGAGGCAGGAGGATCACTTGAGCTCAGGAGTTCAAGGCCAGCCTGGGCAACATAGGGAGATCCCATCTCAACAACAACAAAAACGTTTTTAATCAGCTGGGCATAGTGGCTAAGGAGGCTACTCAGGAGGCTGAGGTGGGAGGATCACTTGAGCCCGGAGTTGGAGGCTGCAGTGAGCTATGATTGCATCACTGCACTCCAGCCTGGGCAACAGAGCAAGACCCTGTCTATAAAAGAAAACAAACAAACAAACAAAAAGTATGGTAAGGGAAACAAGATGAGGCATGTAAGCCCATGGTAAGTGCATAACAAATGCTAGTACCATCATCATCACCACATCACTCCTCCTCCTGTTCCAAGCACACGGCTTCCAGGTCGCACACTCACTGAAGCGAGACTGTTGTTAAGAGTGTGTGTCGGCCTCAGGGCTCTGATTCAGACAAGATCCAGCCCCATGCACAGTGCCTGACCCAGGCTAATACCTGTATCTATGCAAGGGGCTGTCGACGGAAAGTCTGGCACAGGTGGGTCTCTGCAGAGCTGAGGGGCTGAGGGAGGCTGTGAAGCATCTCCTCAGCCTCAATTAGCTCCCTTGTTTCAGAGAAGCAAGACCAGCTGTGGCTGGGGATGATTTCTGACTTGCCTCCTCTGACACTGCTTGAAAGTGGAAGGTCAAGGCCGGCTGGAGGCGTGCTCAGGGATCTGCCCCTCCAGCCCACTTCAGAGAAGAGGAAGAGGAGGCAATCAGCCTCCAACCTCAGGACTTATTCACTTGTTCATGCATCATTGTGAAACACCCAGCACGTGCCTGGCCCTGTGGTGGGACCTGGGAATACAAAATCAGTAAGGGTGATTCCTGCTTGAAGGTCTAAGTGGGGCAGGGATATTCCTAGAGGGCGGGAGGGGCTTATGTGTCTGCGGTTGTAGGGAGCAGGCGGCCTGCAAGAAAGTTTTGTTGTCGTTGTTGTTGTTGTTGTTGTTGTTGTTTGAGACAGTCTCACTCTGTCGCCCAGGCTGGAGTGCAGTGGCGTGATCTCAGCTCACTGCAACCTCTGCCTCCCAGGTTCAAGTGATTCTCCTGCCTCAGCCTCCCGAGTAGCTGGGATTACAGGAATGCACCATGCCCAGCTAATTTTTGTATTTTTAGTAGAGATGAAGTTTCACTATGTTGACCAGGCTGGTCTTGAACTTCTGACCTCAGGTGATCCACCTGCCTCGGCCTCCCAAAGTACTGGGATTACAGGCATGAGCCACCACGCCTGGCTTAGTTTCCTCTTTCTAAGGGGAGCTGTTTAGCCCATGAATTTTTTTTTTTTTTTGAGACGGAGTTTTGCTCTTGTTGCCCAGGCTGGAGTGCAATAGCGCGATCTCAGCTCACCGTAACCTCCGCCTACTGGGTTCCAGGGATTCTCCTGCCTCAGCCTCCTGAGTAGCTGGGATTATAGGCGCCTGCCATCATGCCCAGCTAATTTTTGTATTTATAGTAGAGATGGGGTTTCTCCATGTTGGTCAGGCTGGTCTCAAACTCCTGACCTCATGATTCGCCCACCTCGGCCTCCCAAAGCGCTGAGATTACAGGCATGAGCCACCGCGCCCGCCAGCCCATGGATTTTTTTCTCAGGTTGCAGATAAACCACAAAGGTACTGCTTCTCATGGAATCTCCCTTCTGATGCCTACAAACCTTACCAAGAAAGCTGGAGCCCGAAGGGGGAGAAGGGCCAGACTGCAGAGAGGGCAGGAGAAAGACAGGCCCAGCCCCTCCTCCCCGGCCCACAGCAGCTGGTGAAGGGTGTCCTCTGAAATGGAATACTGTGACCGAGAGGGCACATGGCAGGGGCGAAGGACAGGCATTTCCATAAAAATCCTTGGAGTGCAGTCAGGAGGAGTCCTGTTTCAAAGCAGCCTTTGCAGAGCCTGAGGTAGAAATCTCCTGGTCCTGATTCAAAGAGCAGCCCCTCTCCCTTTCCCAATCTGGGGAAGGAGCTGAGCCAATTAACTGGGAGGCAGAGCTCGAGCCCTTTCCAGCTTCTCTGGAGGTGCTAATGGTCCTCAGGGCTCTGGCCCTGCTCCCCTTCCACCCACCCCCAATGGGCTACATACAGTTCTGCGATTTAAGAACATAGTTTTGAGAGCAGTTGTTTTGCCCATAAAATAACTACAATATTTGAGCAAATAAATATTTTATTTGCCCATAAAATAACTACAATTATTGAGAGTTTACAATTTACTGGGCACTGTGCTAACCCCCTGTGAGGTATGACATCCTCATTTTACAGAAGAGACAACTAAATGTCCTAGAGGACAAGCATCTTGCCTTGGGCATCCAGCTAGCAAGAGATGGGTGGGATGGGAACCTGAGACTGCGCCCTGTTCACAGGGGGATTCTGAAGGAAGGGAAAGTGGCCATGTTGGGGTGCCCAGGAGATGGGGGATTAAAACCTATGGATTAGAGGTTGAGGGAAGAGGATAAAAGGAAGGATCCGCTCCAGGTGCTTCGTCCCCTGACCAGGTTTCCAGGACCCTCAGGAGAGGGGGACAGTGACAACCTCTGGTCAGCGGCCAACATAAAACTGCCTCTATGTCACCTGGCGCACAGGCCCAGAAGTGAGAGGCACTGAGCTCTGGGCTGGGTAGGAGGCCGTTAGAACTTTCTGGAGCACCTCCCCCAGCAGGATGAGCTGAAGACCACTAGGGAGGTGTTAATGAAACAGGGAAGCTGCAAACAGACCCAGGAGTGATTCCAATCTGACACCTCCCCCTACGCAGCCCCCACCAGTAATGAGCTGGGACTTGCCCTTCCCCCCAGAGAGCAGGGTGAGGGGAGGAGGAGGCGTTCTTGGGCATTTTTTTTTAGCTTCAAAAGCCTCTTTTCATCATCATCGTCATCATTGTCATCGTCATCATCGCATTGAAAAGCTCACATTTATTGAACACCTACTGTGTCCCGGGCACTGTGCTAAGTCTTTTTCATGTATCCCATCATTAATCCTCACATACAAACCTTAAGCCTACATGGTAGGTAGTATTCTTATCTCCATTTTGCAGATTAAGAAACTGAGGCTCAATCAGGGTAAGTGACTTGCCTAAGGTAGGGCCCACATGTGGAGCCGGCACTGTCTGACATCCTGCTTTTGGTACCGGACTTCTGACCCACCGAGAACTCCTGCAGGGGGACATGTTTGTGTGGCCTCAGGGCTGCAGCTGAGTGGTGAATAAAGGCAGCGCGCCCAGTACACATCCTTGAAGTTCAGAATTGGGAAGAAAGACACTGGTAGACTGAGTCGGTGGGACAGGGATGAGTAGGATCCTGGCCTTGCCGCCAAGCCTCCCTGTCTGCTTTCCCTGCTCTCCGCTTCCACATGTGTACACTGAGAAGGGGCCAGGAAGCTCGGGGAAGGAGGAGGAGGGACCTCTAGCTCTGTTCACTGCCTGGGGAAGGGGAGGCAGAGGGGTTCTGGCTGGGGAGGAGGCCTGAAGAAGTGGGGAGAGGTTGCAGGGAAGACCCCTGCCTCACAACCCCAGGAGGGAGTGGCTGAGCGGCTCTGCAGTGGAGCCCCATGTTTGTAAACACCATTAATCAGGGATTAGCAGATGGGCATGCTAATTGCACCTGTGGAAGTGAGAAACCTCAAGGTTGATTACATTTACAAACTGTGGGGATCCCTGGCACCTGGCCCTGCAGGAGTCGGTGGTGGTAGTGGTGGTGTGTGTGTATGTGTGTCGGCGAAGCGGGGGTGGCGGGTGTGCTGTCTAATTCAGGACCCCAACCTAGGGGGAGGGGGATTGACAATTTAGCCTCCTGCCAAAAAAATATTCCAGGCCTGCAGCAGGGATCTGGGGTGCCAGCCTTGATTTAGCTGCTCCGAGAATACCAAGTCACTGCCAATTCTTCTTAGACCCTTTCCATCTCGGCATCTCAGGATCTTGGAGCCCTGACAAAGGGGGATCCTACAAATGTCATTCCAACCCCTCTCCTCCCTCAACTCCCTCCAGCAGTTCCCAGTGGTAAATCATTGTGCACTACAGATGAAAGGGGCCAGAGCCTACAGGAAAACGGAGGCCAGGTTGGTTGGGAAGCACAACCCAGCACCCTGACCTCTAAATCTGGCCCTAGAGGCTTTGAGGAGCAGCTACCATGCTCCTCCAGGCATGGGGCTGAGGGTTTTACATGTATGACCTCTTTCAATCCATACCACCATCCTTTGAAGTGGACACCACTGTCATCCCCATTTTATAGGCGATGAAAACTGAGGCTTGGAATTTAAGGGACATGTCCACATTTATACTTCTAGCAAGCCACAGAGTTGGAACTCAAAGCAAGCACTGTCTAGCAGCCAGGCTCCTGCTCTTAACCACCACTGCTCTCTCCTCTGACTTCATTCCAACTCTGCCCTGCAGGGGATGGACCCCCACCCAGCCCCTTCACACCCACAGCCACAGCCTCCCCAGCTCCCGTGTACTTAACCCACACTTGCTGAGCAGTGTCCACTCAGTGTATAGGCACCGCGCCAGGTACCAGAGGCTGCCTAAAGGAGAATCAGGCCTCATCCTCCTCATCCTTAGGACCTCAGACCCTTCCTCTTTGTTGGGGGACTGCCTGTATACCAGAAATTAGCACACACCTGTGTGTGTATGGCCTGTAATTTAAGCCTCAATCCCCTTTGGTTTAAGTGAACCTGTCTTCCCAGAGGCCAGCCAGCCTGCTGCCCAGGGAGTGAAGCAGGGAGAAGCCCCCTGTACCTGACTAAGCCCAGGAGAGTCTTCTAGATGGCCCAGACCACTGGGACAGGGAAAGCTGATGAACAGCATGCCCAGGGCAGGTTAGATCGGGTTCCAGCCACCATGGAGGAGTCTGTGGGGGGTGGGGTGCCTAAGTAGCCCCTACTCCAACTTCTAAGTTCCATGTTGGCCTTGGTTCTAGAGAGCAAGCTGAACCCTGCATCCCATATGCAGGGAGCACTGGGACGCCTACATTCATTTTCATCAACTGCATTAGGTTTCTCCAGAGAAACAGAACCAATGTGTGTGTGTTCAAGAGATTATAAGGCATTGGCTCATGCAATGATGGAGGCGGGCAAGTCTCAAGATGTGCAGGGTGAGTCAGCAAGCTGGACGCCCAGGAGAGCCGATGGTTTCATTCCAGCCTGAGTTTGAAGGCCTGAGCACCAGGAAAACCAATGGTATCATTTCCATTCAAAGGCCAGCACGCTTGAGATCCAGGAAGAGCTGATATTTCAGGTCTAGTCTGAAGGTAGGAAGGATTCTCTGACTTGGGAGAGGTCAGACTTTTTGTTCTATTCAGGCCCTCAACTGAATGGATGAGACCCACTCACATTAGGGGTCTGCTTGACTCAGTCTACCAATGTAAACGTTAATCTCTTCCAAAAACAGCCTCAGAGAAACACCCAGAATGTTTGACCAAACATCTGGGCAACCCATGGCCCAGTCAAGTTGATACACAAAATTAACCACCACATCAAAGTCTGTATTATTGTGCGCTAGTCCTGGGGTGCAGTGTCCTCTGGTTTACAGAACATCTTTTACCGATACTCTCATTTTATTTTTATAACTTCTGTTGAAAAGGAAGGGGGTAGATAGGGCTGGTAGTAATGGTACTATCCCCAAGATGAGGAGGCTGAGAAGCCATCTCAGTGGAAAGCCATGGAGCCAGGACTGGAATGAGCACCTTCCGGAACCTGAGGGACAGATGAAAGCTCACCCTCACCTAAACTTTCAGGCATGAGCTCAAAAGCACAGGTGTGCATGGGAAGCAGTTTCTTGGACATGAGTGAGTGGCTCAAAGGCCACTGATTCTTGAACCTGGTCACACAATGAGATCAACTAGTAGCTTTAAGAAATATCGGCTGGGCATGGTAGTGCACGCCTGTAATCCTAGCACTGTGGGAGGCCAAGGCGGGCAGATCACCTGAGGTCAGGGAATTTGAGACCAGCCTGGCCAACATGGAGAAACCCCATCTCTACTAAAAATACAAAACTTAGCCGGGTGTGGTGGCACATACCTGTAATCCCAGCTACTCGGGAGGCTGAGGCAGGAGAACCGCTTGAACCCAGGAGCCAGAGGTTGCAGTGAGCTGGGATTGTGCCACTGCACTCCAGTCTGGGCAACAGAGCAAGACTCCGTCTCAAAAAAAGAAAAAATAAAAACCAACACATGGCTCCTTCTCCAGAGATTCTGATTTAATCAGTCAGGTGCCTCTGGGCTTCTGAAATATTAAAAATATTCTCCTCCTTGACCCCAATGACAAGCCAAAGTGAAACATCACTACACTAGGCACTTGGCCAAGAATGAAGCAGGGATGGGTCAGAGCCTGCGTGGCAGTCAGGGACAGGGAGCTCAAGGGGGGCAGAAGCTGATCAGTGCAGTTTATGAAGGAATTCTGTCCTCTTTCTTGAGAGGAGTAACTTTGACTTTAAAAAGATCTTAGGCCAGGCGCAGTGGCTCACGCCTGTAATCCCAGCACATTGGGAGGCCGAGGCGGGTGAATCACGAGGTCAGGAGATCGAGACCATCCTGGCTAACACGGTGAAACCCCGTCTCTATGAAAAATACAAAAAATTAGCCAGGCTTGGTGGCGGGCGCCTGTAGTCCCAGCTACTCGGGAGGCTGAGGCAAGAGAATGGCATGAACTCGGAAGGCAGAGCTTTCAGTGAGCCGAGATCGCGCCACTGCACTCCAGCCTGGGCAACAGAGCGAGACTCCGTCTCAAAAAAAAAAAAAAAAGATCTTAGGCCCTTTTTAGGCCAGGTTCACACCTGTAATGCCAGCACTTTGGGAGGCTGAGGCGGGCAGATCACCTGAGGCCAGGAGTTTGAGACCAGCTTGGCCAACACAGTGAAACCCCATCTCTACCAAAAAAAAAATATAAAAATTAGCTGCGCGTGGTGCACGCCTGTAGTCCCAGCCACTTGGAAGGCTGAGGCAGGAGAATCACTTGAACCTGGGAGGCAGAGGATGCAGTGAGCCAAGATCGCGCCACTGCACTCCAGCCTGAGCGACAGAGTGAGACCCTGTCTCAAAAAAAAAGGAGCATAGGCCCTTTTTAAACAACTTTAAGTGTTGCTCTAAATTGGCATTGCCATTATTAGAATTGAGACAAATCCAATGCAGATGGATTCCAGAGAAAAGTGGAGTACTATTTATTGAGCACCTAATACATGTGAGTTCCTATTGCCCTCCATATTCTCCCAACAATCCAGGAAGGTAGGATTATTCCCCTTTCGCCCAGGAGGGCACCGAGGCCCAGGTGGGTAAGGAGCGCCCCCCCAAGGTCACATAGCAGTCAGGATTGCAAGTTCGGGGTTGCTATCCTCCAAAGCCATGCTCCAGGAGGGGAGATTTTTGTCTCTTAGAAGCCATCTGGCAACGTCTGGAGACATTTCTGGTTTCATAATGAGGGGTCATGCTACAGGCATCTAGTGCGTATAGGTCGGGGATTCTGCTAAACATCCTACAGTGCACAGGATGGCTCTCACAACAAAAAATTATCTGGCCCAAAATGTCAAGGGTGTGGAATTTGAGTCCACCTGCCCTAGTGGTGATTCTCAGCCTTGGCTGCACATTAGACCAATGGTGGCGCTTTCGAAAGCCGGATGCCAGGTGGCGCCACACCCATCATGTCAGACTCTCTGGTGTCAGTGTTGGGTTTTTTAAAGCATGCCAGGTGGTTCCAATGTGCCACCAGGACAGAAACACTTCTATGCTCCTCACACTGCTGGCTCCTGCTGCTTTCCTGGGACCCGAGGGGAGGAGTGCCAAATCTGTCTCGGTTGTACAATCAACGGCAAGCCTGCTCCCAGTTCCTCCCCTTGAGGGGAACTGACTCAGTCACCCGTGGGGGGCCCCCGTGGGGTGGGAGGTGTTTGCTAATTTCCCGTCGCCTCTCATGGGGCTGCAGCCAGGAGTCTCCCCGCAAGGAGGCTGTGGAAGCTGCCTGAAGACTGGACCGAAGAGCGAGGCTGCCACCTAACGGAGGAATTGGCCAGAATCTCCCACGTGCTGAGTGATGTTTTATTTGAGCCTCACAACAACCCTGTGAGGTAGGTGCAGAGTCCCGCGGCACAGAAAGATGAGGCCTGCGCTCAAGGCCCCAGGGCGGGGCCGTGTGTGGGCCTGAGGTGCGCACTGTCTACTCCACATCAGGGCCCCGCCCTCCACCCCCCACATTCTCATACACACATTTGCCACAGGCAATGACTGGTTCAAGAGGAACGGGTCCCCTGGGCTGGGCTGCCTGCCTCTCTGCAGATGTCTAAACTTTCCCTCAACTTCCAGGCAGGGCCTGGGAACAGATTCCCTCCATGCTAGGCCATCATGGCTTCCCATGGAAATTAACAAATCACCATGTCCTACTACAGGTCCAACATCACAACAGGAAACAGCTTCCTCTGGTGTCCACCGCAGTCCCCTTCCCCCCCCCTCAGACTGTGGTCAATAAACATGGGCCTGGTGCACACTCAGGCAGAGGCTCCCCGCACACTGGAGCCGGCGGAGGCAGGTGCGGCCGTCCCTGACTCCAGCACATGAACACTGTGGACAGTCCACGTCAGCCCTCATTTTGCCTCTCTTTCTCTGGGCCTGAAGACAGCCCTGGGTGCTGAGCCATGCTGAGCCCTTCAGACCTGGCTGAGGGTTCTTGGGGGTCTTGGAGAAGCTGCCTTCTCTCCCCCTCTGTGGGGAAACCCTTCCTCTGGCTGCAAATGGAGTGAAGAAGAATTCCTGCACAGACACAAGGACAAGGGAAGAGAGGACGGAGGAGAAGGATGATGTTTAGAGACCTAGACATTCAGGCAGCCCCTCATCTCATCAACGGGATGTAATTTCCCCATTTTGTACATAAAGCAACTGAGGCACACAAACAGCCAGCAAATGGGATTAGAGGGCATCAAATCCCACCTGCGTGATTAGAGGGATAGAGGAAAGGGAAAGGGGAGTAGACTCACCTGCAGCCACAGAGACGTTCAAGGACTCAAGTCCAGGAGGCAGCTGGCGCCGGGGCAGGATGGTGAGGAGAAGCTGGCAGGAGGCCTGCACCTCCTGGGATAGACCTGAGCCCTCATTCCCTGCAGGGCGTGGGGCTGAGGGTTAGGGTTGCCCAGCTGGACACCCAGTTGCTCGGGAAATGTAATCTGGGCACAAACGCAGGGACATCCACCTACCCAGCACAAGGAGAGTAGGCCGTTCCCAGAGGAACTCCAAGCAACTCATGATGGGGATCTCGGAGGACTGGGGATCCTCTGTGCTTGGGCAGCCCACCGTGCCGGCCACGAGCCAGCCCTGCTGGGCTTTGGTCTGAAAGGGGGAAGAAGATATGTTCTAATTCTTTTTTTATTTTAATTTTGAGATAGGGTCTTACTCTCGCTCAGGCTGGAGTGCAGTGGCACGATCACAGCTCACCGCAGCCTCAACCGCCTGGGTTCTGGTGATCCTCCCACCTCAGCCTCCCAAGTAGCTGGGACTACAGGCACTCGCCACCCCACCCGGCTAGTTTTTGCATTTTTTTTTTTTGAGATGAGGTTTTGCCATGTTGCCCTGGTTGGTCTGGAACTCCTGGCTTCAAGCGATCCTCCCACCTTGGCCTCCCAGAGTGCTAGGATTACAAGCGTCAGCCACCATGCCTGCCTCTCCTATTCTAATTCATCAAATCTTCATCAGAGGCTGTATGCAGTGGCTCAAGCCTGTAATTCCAGCACTTTGGGAGGCTGAAGCAGGCAGATTACCTGAGGTCAGGAGTTCAAAACTAGCCTGGCCCAGGCACGGTGGCTCACGCCTGTAATCCCCAGCACTTTGGGAGGCCAAGGCAGGGGGATCACCTGAGGTTGGGAGTTCGAGACCAGTCTGAACAACATGGAGAAACCCCGTCTCTACTAAAAATACAAAATTAGCCGGGCATGGTGGTGCATGCCTGTAATCCCAGCTACTCAGGAGGCTGAGGCAGGAGAATCGCTTGAACTCGGGAGGCAGAGGCTGCAGTCAACCGAGATTGCGCCATTGTACTCCAGCCTGGGCAGCAAGAGTGAAACTCCATCTCAAATTAAAAAAAAAAAAAAAAAAAAAACCAGGCTCAGTAGCTCACGCCTGTAATCCCAGCACTTTGGGAGGCCGAGGCGGGCGGATCACCTGAGGTCAGGAGTTTGAGACCACCCTGGCTAACATGGTGAAACTCCGTCTCTACTAAAAACACACAAAAAATTAGCTGGGTGTGGTGGCACATGCCTGTAGTCCCAGCTATTTGGGAGTCTGAGGGAGGAGAATCGCTTGAACCCGGGAGGCGGAGGTTGCAGTGAGCTGAGAGCACACCACTGCCTCCAGCCTGGGCAACAAAGCGAGACTCCACTCTGTCTCAAAAAAAAAAAAAAAGACTAGCCTGAGCATCATGGTGAAACTCTGTCTCTACTAAAAATACAAAAATCAGCCTGTAATCCCAGCTACTCAGGAGACACGAGGATCTCTTGAGACCAGGAGGCAGACATTGCAGCGAGCTAAGATTGCGCCACTGCACTCCTGCTTGGGTGACAGAGTGAGACCCCCATCTCAAAAAAAAAAAAAAAAAATTATCCATCAGAGCCCTGGCCAAGGAAGAGCCCAGCCTTGCCCATACATTCATTTATCTGCTGATCCAGTCAATTAGTCAATAGTTATTAAGCACCTAGCATGGGCTCTGTTCTAGGCACTGAGGACAGGGCACTGAACAAAACAAAACAGACCAAAATCCCAGCCTTGTGGAAGGGCAGGTGGGGATGGACTCACTGAGGTGACATTTGAGTGCAGACCTGAAGGAGAAGGAGGAGCACCGTGCAGACATCTGGGGCAAGAACATTCTAGGCAGAGAGATCAGCAAGCACAGAGGCAGGTGCCTCCCTGGCATGTTTGAGAACAGTAAGGTGGCCAGTGGGAAGAGAGGCGTCAAGACAGAAGAAGGAACAAGAGCCACATGAGGTATGGTCTCCAGGGCTACTGGAAGGACTCTGCCTTTGAATCTGAGCGGTACAGAGGCTTTGAAAGGTTTTGAGCAGAGAAGTAACATGGTATGACTTCAACAGAATCACTCTGCCTGCTGTGCTGAGAGCCAAGAGCAGAAGAAAGGAGGCCAGGTGGGAAGTTTCTGCAATAACGGTCAACAGATGATGGTGACTTGCTTGGGCCAGAGTGGTAGCAGTGGAAACAGGCAGAAATGGTGATAATACGGAAATAACTTTAGTTAAGGATGATGCCAAGGTTTTTGACCTAAACAACCAAAGGGATGGAGTTGCTCCAGAAGGAACAAGCGCTCAGTTTTAGAAATGTTAGGTTTGAAATGCCCGCCTGACAGCAAAACAACAACAACAATAACAACAACTGTGCAGTAGGCAACTAGATGAGTGAATCTGGAATTCAGAACCAAGGTCCAGGCTGGAGTATACACTTGGGCGGGAATTTGAATTCAGATAGTATTTAAAGCCATGAGACTAGATGAGACCAACAAGAAATGAACATATACAGAAAAGAGATCCAGGACCAGGTGAGGTGGCTCACGCCTGTAATCCCAGCATTTTGGGAGGCTAAGGCAGGAGGACTTCTTGAAGCCAGGAGTTTGAGACCAGCCTGGGCAACAAAGTGAGACCTCATCTCTACAAAAAAAAAAAGAAAAAGAAAAAAGAAAGAAAAAAATTAGGTGAGATGGTGTGCACCTGTATCTCCAACTACTCAGGAGGCTGAGGTGGGAGGATGGCTTGAGCCCAGGAATTCGGAGGCTATACTGAGCTGTGATTGTGCCACTGGACTCCAGGCTGGGCAACACAGCAAGACCCCATCTCTCTCTCTCTCTCTCTCTCTTTTTTTTTTTTTTGAGATAGAGTTTCACTCTTATTGCCCAGGCTGGAGTGCAACGCTGTGATCTCGGCTCACTGCAACCTCCGCCTCCTGGATTCAAGCAACTCTTCTGCCTCAGCCTCCCGAGCAGCTGGGATTACAAGTGCCCGCCACCATGCCCAGGTAATTTTTGTATTTTTAGTAGAGACAGGGTTTCACCATTTTGGCCAGGTTGGTCTCGAACTCCTGACCTCAGGTGATCCACCTGCCTCAGCCTCCCAAAGTTCTAGGATTATAGGCGTGAGCCACCGTGCCTGGCCAAGACCCCATCTCTTAACAACCGCTCCCGGCCAAGACCTCATCTCTTTTTTTTTTTTGACACGTCACTCTGTCACTCAGGCTGGAGTGCAGTGGCACAATCTCGGCTCACTACCACCTCCACCTCCCGGGTTCAAGCGATTCTCCTACCTCCGCCTCCCGAGTAGCTGGGACTACAGGCACGAACCACCACACCCAGCTAATTTTTTGTATTTTTAGTAGAGATGGTGTTTCACCGTGTTAGCCAGGATGGTCTTGATCTCCTGACCTCATGATCTGCCTGCCTCAGCCTCCCAAAGTGCTGGGATTACATGCGTGAGCCATTGTGCCCAGCTGACCCCATCTCTTAACAACAACAACAAAAGAGATCCGAGGACTAAAATCTGGGAAATGCTAATGCTCGGAAGTCAGGGGGTTGAGGAAGAACCACTAAAAATGTCTCTCAGAGAGGACATGGTGAAGCAGAAGGAAAGCAGGTATAGTGTTTCAAGGAGGAAGGAGTGGTCAACTGTGCCAGCTGCTGCAGATGGGTCAAGTCAGAAAAGAATTGAGAACAGACCCTGGAATGCAGCAACATGGAGGCCACTGGTGACCTTGATGAAGCCTTTGATTCAGTGTGAGAGGAAGAGCTGACTGGTGTGAGATCAAGAGCGTGAGAGGGGAATGTTTGCTTGCATGCTGAAGAGAGTGTAAGAGAAAAGTGGATGCTGCAGGAAGAGGAGGAAAATTGCTACAGCAGTGTCTCTGAGTACGCAGGAAGGGATGGGGCCCCAGCACAGGCCCCTGCTTGGGGCACCTCCAGCTCTTCCACAGCAACAGGCGGATGACACTCTCCAGGTCAGATGCTGATGACAGTAGGGAGATGTGATGCCTGGAGCTTAAGTGGATGTTCTGCAGTGTTTCTGTGTTTTCAGAAGCTACCTGTTCAGGGGCTGGAAGTGATGAGTGGGAACCTCATCTCCTATCAGGCTTGGAGAAAGGGGCTCTCTACAAAAAAGTGAAGCCAAAAAATGCTTCTAGATATGTGCTGTTCAATATAGTAGCCACTAGCTACATGTGGCTATTAAGCAATTGAAAGGTGGCTAATTCAAATCGAGGTGTGTTGTATGTAAAACATTTTTTAAAGGAATGTAAAATATTTCATTAATAATATTTTTTAAAGGCCAGGTGCGGTGGCTCATGCCTATAATCCCAGCACTTTGGGAGGCCGAGGCGAGTGGATCGCTTAAGGTCACGAGTTCAAGAACAGCCGGACCAACATAGTGAAACCCCATCTAAATACAAAAAAAAAAAATTAGCTGGGCATGGTGTGTGCCTATAATCCCAGTTACTTGGAAGGCTGAAGCAGGAGAATCACTTGAACCCAGGAGGCAGAGGTTGCAGTGAGCCAATATTGCACCACTGCACTCCAGCTTGGGCAATAAGAATGAAACTCTCTCAAAAAATTAATAATATTAATAATAATTAAAATGATTACATGTTAAATTGATATTATTTTGGATATACTGGACACAATTTATTTAAAATGTCATCTCTTTACTTTTCAATGTGGCTACTAGAAAAGCTAAAACTACCTATGTTTCTCACACCATATTTTTATTGGACAGCGTTGTTCTAGACAGGTCCCAGAGCTCTCCCCCTTCTTAAGAGGGAAATTTCTCACCCTGCAGTTGGGGTGGGGGTTGGGGGGGGTATGGTCAGAGGGGATTCCATATGCAGAGCAATACTGCCTCCTTGTGTCCAGCAAGGGAAGCACAGCTGAAGACAAACGGATGGGAGAGGGGTTTCCAAGGTTTGTCTCTTGCTAGATACTAATGGCATAAAGATCTTCTTGTTCAAACATCCTTTCAAGCTGTGCCCTATTCGAGGAACTCAGGTCTCCTGTACGCAGCTCCCCACAGCTGAACAAAATGCATTTACTGAAGCCCGACCTAGTAGGCAAATAGACACTGAGGCTGACTTACAGAAGAGGCAAAGTGGTGCATACCTGGGGAAGGGGTGCAGGAAAGGGTATAACGCTAGGAAGAATTCAGCTAATGCTCCATTTGCCGTTTTAAAAACTCCAGGACCCTTCCATCCCCAGAGGGATTTAGAAGGCCAAAGGAAGCGGTGCCAACATGCCCCTTTCTCTCCCTCGCCAGGGGCTAGCTTCGTCCCCTTGAAGAGGCTGAGCTGGGCTCACATCTGTTCCTTCCCCTCTTGCCCCTCATTACCTGTAAAAATCCGGTGAGGTCATCAGTGGAGAACACGTCCATCACCTCCATAGCCCCCGCGCTGGACTTGCTGACTACTGGAGTGAGCGGGCAGCTGCAAGGTTTCCCCGTTCCCCGCATTAGGCTGGGCCATCTCAAGCCCGGCTCCCTACCCTCCCAGGGCTCCCAAGGGCTAGGGGGATGAGAGTTCTGGGACAGGTAAGTCTGGCTAAGGGATCACCCAAGGGCCAAGGTGCTTAGGAACTCGGCTGCGTCTCCAAGTTGGGGCACATAGAGAATGAGGGACGTCCGTGCCTGTTTCTCCGGCTGGTGATGACCTTATCCACTCCGAGGAAGTGTGCGGAACGCAGCACAGCCCCAAAATTCCGGGGATCCTGGATCCCATCGAGGACGAGCCACAACTGCTGGGGGTCGTCGCCTGGGCTCGCCTCCCCGGCCTCTCTCCAAGGCCGGGGCCGCAGCGGGCTCACCTCCATGCAGACACCCTGGTGGACCTGGTAGCGGCACATTGTGTCCAGTTTCTGCCGTCTGGGCCGCAGAACTGGAATGTCCCGCGCCTCGGCCATCCGGAGCAGCTCGGCCCGCTTCCCCTGCAGCCCAGCTTTACCCGCCTGGAGCAGGAGCCGGGCCACAGAGCGGCGGGCGGCCTGCAGAGCCAGGAGACACGGGGTCATGCCAAACAGAAGCTCCAGCCGAGAGGTCGGCACCAGGTCATCCAGCAGCAAGCGGCTTAGCTCCTCCCCACCAGGCCGCTCCCCATGCCGCGCTGCATGGGAGAAATGACGGGTGACGAGGCGACCCCAGGTCGCGCCCCGGACGGTCGAGAGCAATGCCATGGCGCAGCTCCCGCCAGGGACTCGATGCCCCTTGCTGCGTCCCCGGGAGCGGTAACCCGCGCCGCAGTTCGCTCCCAGGCTCCCAACACCGAGGTGAAGGGTACTCGACAGCCGTCTCCGCCGAGCTCTCTCGGACAGGAACAAACAGCCCCGATTACCCACAACTGGACTACCGAGCTACGACCACCCGCTCCCAGGCTCCCACGTGGGTCCCTCGCTTCCGGGTTCGGGAGCCCGCCCCTCCCCGGCCCCTTCCTGACGGTGTTTTGCGCATGCGTGGCTGCCAGGCTGTCCCCCACAGCGCCTCCCTCAAGGCTAGAGGAGCGGCGAGCTGAGCTGGCCGTACTACCGGCTGCGTCCTGTGTTCCTCGAGGTCCCAGGAGGCCGGGGACCGCATTCACCCACGCACCAGTGAAGGGCCCTTTAAGGAGATGGGTTGGCCTTCCTGGTCAACCAATTCAGTCTTGTTGCCTCCCTCCCCACATCCCGGCGCTGGTGATTTTTCCCAGAACTTCTCACTAGCCCATCACCAGCCAGCAGGACCCCAACAGTCACTTCCTATCCCGGGCCGCTGATTCTCTTCCTAAGTGACTCTGAGCCTGTCGTGTTCCTGCTGACAAGCTCACTAACGCCCCCGTCCCACAGGTAATGGCGAGACTCTTGCGCAGCACTCAGCCCCCCAGCGATCCAGGAAGGCAGGAAGGAGCTGCCTCTTCAGCCCCATCTGGCTCCTTGCTCCTGTGCTTAAGTTCTGAGCTGTTCGCACAGCACTGCATGCTCTTCCAGACCTCTCAGCCTTGCACACCTGTCTTCGCTTTGTCAAACTCCTACATGTTTTCAAGGCCCAAACAAACCCATTCCTGCTACCTAAGGTAATCCATACTCCCATGAGTGAGGCCCCCAATCCACCCACCTGGGACCTACCTGGAAGAAATTCTGAGACACAAGCACCCCTGATCACAGAGAAGGGGAAAGAATGGAAAGACACTCCTGAAGCCAAGGCAGATTGGTTGCGATTTTTCTTTTTTAATGATCACCATGAAATCCACTGGGCCAGGCCCTGGTGTTCTGCTGCCATAGTCAGAGTCAGAGTGGAGGGATGACCCCAGGAGGGGACAAGAAGCCAAGACTGGGCTGGGGAGCCGAGAAGGAGATAGATAAGGGGGAGAGGGTGCAGTGGGGCAGGCAGAGGAGGAAGTCTGGAGCCCTGGATAACAACACAGATATAAGGTGAAGGCCTCCCTCTGCCACCCCAGCCCTGAGCCACAGACGTTGAGGTGCAAGAAGATGGGGATTTTGGCCACAACTCCTTTCCCATGTCAAAGGGAAGACACTGAGAGCAGACAAAGGCCAAGTGCCCAGGGGCACAAGAACAAGTTAACAAGTAAAACAATTAGGGACACCACCTCCTTTCCCCAGCCCATTTTTCACATTTACAACTGAAGCAATTTGACAAGATGATATAAAAATCTCAAACAAATTTTCTAGCCCCTGGTCGGGGTGTGGACAGGAAGTGGTATCCCGTGATCCAGAAATCAACACCTAAAATCCAGAGGCAGGAGGCAAGCCATGAAGGGTGGGGAGGGAAGGAGGAGCTCCCACAGTCACTAGGTCACCTGCTCCGTGGGCCTCATCTGGATGTCTCCAATCTGTGGAAGGTACAAGGCATGAGGCAGCTGTGACACTCTCCCCTGGCCCTGCAGGGCTCCCTGCTCCCCTCCTCTGGGGCTGGTTGGGTTCCTCCAGTGAGTAGACAGTCAGGGCCAGACTCACCTGGATGTGTGCGGGGGTGCTGAGGACGTAGATAACAGCCTCGGCCACATCCTCGGGTTTGAGACACTGAGAGCACCAGGGGAATGGGTTGAGACAAGGACAGAATGGACTCAAATTCCCTCCCACCACTGAGCTTCTCTGTGGCATCCACACATCCACCCCAACCCTCCAGGAGGAGCCACAAAGGCTGGAAGAGTGGAGTCTGAAGGCCGAGCTTCCCTCTGCCTTCATTTAGGGAGTCAGTGGCTTCACCAGGCTCAGAGGGAGGCCCCACCTTCATTTGCTCATAGGTGGCAGCTGCCTTCTCAGGGTCCTTGTCGTGGAGTTTGAAGGCGAATTGTGTCTCCACCACACCTGGAGAGATGCACTGGGCCAACAGAGAGGGCCTTCTCAGGGGCTGAGCTTTGCCAGGTCTTGGGGAGGTCGAGGGGAGAGGATGGAGGCCACAGAACCCCAGCTTCACAGTGATGGCTGCCTGATATCCGGCAGCGGCCTCCTCCCTCCGAAGCTGCCACTGGCAGTGACCACAATGATACCTACCATCTACAGAGCCTTTCCTATATGTCAGGTAAACGTTTTACAAAAAAGTGTCCCTGAAAAGCTCATCATCTCCTTTTCACAAGTGAGAAGGCCGAGGCTTAGGGAGGTTCAGTGACTCGCTCACGATCATGCGGCCTTCAAGAGAAGAGCCCAGAGTCCCGGTTTCCAGCCACTGTGCACCTGGTTTCCCACAGTCCCTTGCTTTCCCTCAGGTCAGCCCCCTCCCAGCTCAAAGTCTAAGTCTGGTCGTTGGCTCCTGGATCAGTGAAATGAGGAAATGAAGGGCTGCATAGGGCCATGCCTGGAGCAGCAGCACCCAGTTCTGTGCCCAGTCCACTCCCAGGAGCTCTGAGCGGCACATTCTGAACATGGGCTTCCTGAACGGTGTGTGTGGGTGGGGAGGGCCTGCGCCACCCTGTGCCCACCAGGGCTAGGCCACAGCCTCACCGTGGCTCGGATGTGGGTCTGGGCCTCCCGAAGCTCTTGCCTCAGTCCCTCTGTCAGCGCAGTGACGGCATACTTGGTGGCACTATAGAAGTGGGTCACAGACAGGGGTAACACTCGGTGGCCAGACATGCTGGGTGGGGAGAGGAAGGGGAAAGAGGAGAGAATGAAGTTCCAGGGAGACCAGTGGTGCTCCTGCCGTACCCGGTCAGCCCCACCACCCAGATGCCCATCGGGAAGACTTCTAAAGGGGACCTCTACTGGCCATCCTACAGCTCACTAATCTAATTTTGGTTATTCAAACAGCTTTGGAAAACCCTCCTTTTCCTGGAACTCATCCCTAAGCTGACGACAGAATGCACTCTCCTGGTGGTGCAGAATGTCAGAATTCTCTCCATCTAATCTGTATGTTCACTGATACGGTTCTATTGGGACATCTCAAGGCAGGTAGAGGCCATGTCCCCCCTCAGACTGGGGCTCCCCAGTGGCAGACACTGTACATAGTACTCTTTGTGCCATGAGGTGGGGTTCATCCCCAGGCCTGAGGAATCGAGGCACTTAGTCCCAGGAGAGGCCCCAGGCTTCAGCTGTAGAGGGAAGGGGCTAAGCTGCCCATTCCAGCCAACCAGGGGCTGGTACTTGACAACATTATTCTTTCCCTCACCATAATTGTGCCATTCAGGTATTAAATCTGTATTTTCCCACCAAGGAAACTGAGGTCCAAAGAGGTCAGGTGAGCTGCAGCACATTACCCAGCCTGGTGGGTGAGTGGTACCCATTGGCCACCTGCCCTCACCTATTGATGTTAATGATGTGCCCATCGTCCACATTCCGCTCCTTCATGGACTGGTAGGCTTCCCGTGTGCAGATGCTGAGGGCCAGCACGTTCACCTGCAGGCCAGGGAGGGCAATGAGGTGTCTCCACTCCGGCCCAACTGAGCAAGTGATGGAGCCACAGAATGCTAGGGGGGAAGGGGGCAGTGTGGCATTCCAAAACAGTGTCCAGGTCCCCCCGGAGACCAGCCACAGGCACAGAGCATCTTGTCTTCTACACGAGATGCCCCTCTCCCTAAAGCCGCAACCCCCAGTTGATAACAGAGGTAGCTCCTCACCTGGCTGACCCCCCAAGTTCCTGCAAACAAGAATGGAAACCCTTCAAACCCACTCCTGACCCAGGAGACTCTGTCTTGGCCATCTCCTCTATGAACAGTAGCACAGACCCTCTAATTCCATAGGGAATCATTTCCATTTCTTCCCCCAAATACCCTACTCTTCTCTTCTCTGTGACAGTCTCTGGCCCTGCTCCCTCCTAAACTGCTCAAAATCCTTACCAAAATGGCTTACAAATCTCTCTCCTCCGGCACACAGCCTAGCCTCTCCCTACCTTCCTCAGCTACTCTCTGCTCCTTCCCCATCCCCTCCCTTGAGATGAGTGGAGAAGAGAAGGCCTGACCCTCCTTTCTATGCCTTCCTTTAACGTGGGTTCCATCTACAAGACTAGGCACGGAGACTCTAGAGGGTCAGGTAACTTGCCACTCCTACTCCCTCTGGCAGAGGTGACCCCCACATCCCCACCCTTCAGGGAACAGAGGTCTGAAGGCGTGTCTGCTGTAAAGCGCCTACACTGCCCCACCCGTTGGCCCCACTCATTAGCCTCACCCGGAGGACAAGCAGAGATAAAGCTTTCAGCAGGTCCTCAGGCCTCTCCTCTTAAGAAGAGAGGGAACCAGCAGGAGATTAGATGTTTCTCTTAATCAGGTGGCAGAGCCTGCCATGAGGAACAGAACACCTTTGGTGTGAACCTGTCTTGGTGTTCATGGCAGTAGGAAGAGATGGGTGCCAGGACAGGGAGGTTTCCAGCCGTGTTTCTCATCTTCTTGGCAATGTGGGCTTGTGAGGCAGAGAACTCAGCCCCTGGCAGGTAGAGTGGGAGAAATAGATCCCCTGGGACCAGGTGAGTAAATCTCCCAGGTCTAGGGTATCAGGGGCAGGGAAAGAGAAGATGCCTCATAGGATGATCCTAATAGACTCAGATAATGTTCAAGCTGAAAGGAGCTGTAGGAATTTAATGTAAGTCCCTCATTTTACAGATGGGCGAGTTGAGGTCCAGGTTTAGAGACCCATGTGCTGTGGGTGAGGACCATGGCTCTGATCTCCAAGAAGGCTGAGGGCTTCATTTTCATGGCTTCATTTCCAGGCCCAAGCATCTGTGAGGTGCTAAGTCTACTGTCAGCAGATGGGAAAGGATTGTGGGGAGAAAAGAACACCCCATTCACACACTGCTTTCAACTTCTCAGGATACTTTTATACCCTACTATCACCCCATCATACCATCCAGAAGTTGAAAACCCATGTCCTGAAAGTTGGGTTTGGCCTGTGCACAGTTTCAAAACATTTTAAAAACCCTTCCAACATGTACTGGAAAGTTTCATTTATTCAATAACTATCTTTTCAGTGCTTATGGGATCAAGCCATACCAGAGAATAAAACAGATAAAATACTTGCCCTCATGGAGCTGTCATTTTAGTGAATGGGAGTGGGGGGGTGTCACATAAAATCAGACTCCCCACTTCTCTCAAAGAAATCATAAGATCAGCTGGGCGTGGTGGCTCACACCTGTAATCCCAGCACTCTGGGAGACCAAGGCAGGCGGATCACGAGGTTAGGCGATACAGACCATCCTGGCCAACATGATGAAACCCCATCTCTACTAAATACAAAAAAAATTAGCTGGGCATGGTGGTGCCCGCCTGTAGTCCCAGCTACTCAGGAGGCTGAGGCAGGAGAATAGCTTGAACCCAGAAGGCGGAGGTTGCAGTGAGCCAAGATCACGCCACTGCACTCCAGCCTGGTAACTACAGAGCAAGACTTCGCCTCAAAAAAAAAAAAAATTTCATCAAATCAGGCCACACTGGGCCCACACCACCATAGAGCAACTATGCAGGATTTGAGCAGTGGCTGTGTGCTTCCTCACACACCACAGACCCCTCCTAACCTCCCTCACTCCTTTATGTACCTACCTGGCCCCAGGGGACATTGGAGCTGTGACCCCAGATATTGATGATAGAGGTGTGTTCATCCCAATTAATTGTGACAAGACTGAAGCTCAAGGAAGGTAACCAACCTGCCTAAAGTCACATAGTTACTAGTGAGGCTAGGTAAGAATATCATCACTTGTCTCTCTCTTCCTTTTCTTCCCATAACATCACGTTCCCAAGCACCCAGGCACAGGACTGACAAGTGGGAAACATTCAACAGGCAGCAGTTCTCTCCCCTAACAATCTTTCTTCTAACACAAGGAAATCACTCTAGACTTTAAGAACTACCTTCAGGTCGGGCGTGGTGGCTCATGCCTGTAATCCCAGCACGTTGGGAGGCCAACATGGGCAGATCACCTGAGATCAGGAGTTTGAGACCAGCCTGGCCAACAAGGTGAAACCCTGTCTCTACTAAAAATACAAAAAAATTAGATGGGCATTGATGATGGGTGCCTGTAATTCCAGCTACTCAGGAGGCTCAAGCAGGAGAATCGTTTGAACCTGGGAAGCGGAAGTTGCAGTGAGCAGAGATCATGCCACTGCACTCCAGCCTGGGTGACAAAGCAAGACTCTATCTCAAAAAAAAAAAAAAAAAAAAAAAAAAGAACTACCTCCAGGGGCTCAAAGAAGAGAAGAGCTGATATGGCCATTCATCCACTCTCTATCCCTCTGGTAGGGCAAGAAGCCAAGAGAGAGTCAAGATGCCCCAGGTGGGAACCCGAAGCTCCCTCTTCCTAGATGTCCCGTCCCCAGCAGCACTCTGGTTCACAAACCCCTGGCTCCCCTCTCTCCTCCCCACCCTCCACCTGGAAGATGGAGGCTTGGAGCTCTTACATTGAACATGTCCTTCCAACCACTGGTGCTGCCTGAGAGCAGGGTGTCAGGCCGGGCCAAGCCAGCATTGTTGATGCAGATGTCTACACCGCTGTGCTGAGAACGGATAGCTGAGAACATGGAGAGGATGTCCTCTTCATTTGATAGGTCACATCTGTAGGGGATCAAAGTCCCGGGGTAGCCTGCACTCTTACATTCAGCAGCCAGCTCCTATGAAACCCAACAGGGGTCTGACTGGGGTGAGCAGCTCACTCCCACGGCTCCCTAGCCAGCCTCAGACCCCGACCCCCGTCACACTCATAAAACATGCTCCTTTGGCAGCTGACTTTCAGCCACGAAGATGTTGGACTGCCCATCCCCTAAGTCTGTCCTCTTTGGTCAAAGTCTAAGGGATGACAGTGCTCCCCGAGTGATGAAGGGAAAAGGCTGTTATCAATGGAGAAACCTCACTATAAACTCAAGTCCTGGCTGGGCGTGGTGGCTCATGCCTGTAATCCCAACACTTTGGAAGGCCAAGGCGGGTGGACCAGTTGAGGTCAGGAGTTTGAGACCAGCCTTGGCTAACTTGGTGGAACCCTATCTCTACTGAAAATACAAAAATTAGCTGGGTGTGGTGGCTACTTGGGAGGCTGAGGCACAAGAATCACTTGAACCCAGGAGGCGGAGGTTGCAGGAGCTGAGATCACGCCACTGCACTCCAGCCTGGGTGACAGAGCAAGACTGTGTCTCAAATAAATAAATAAATAAATAAATAAACTCAAGTCCTGGGTGGAACAGGGGCCAGGGACCTAGAGAATGGAGTGCTCTCTCTTTTCTGCCTCTTCCTCAACAGGAACACCTCTTCTGCCCATAGGTAATATGCGCCTCTCCACCACTTCATGCTTCTACACCAGTCCCGAGAGTCACTGGGCTGGTTAACCCAGCTTCTTCTGCATTGTGTCAGCCAGTCCCTCATCTCTGAACTATTCCCCTCCCCTCGCAAACTGCAGCCAACTGGCTCAGAGTTCTCAGACATGCCTTTCAACCAAGCCCAGCTGCCAATCTTCTCTCCCTACCTAAAGGAGGGGTCAGAAAGTCAGGACAGATTCTTTCTCTCTGAGCCCTGGTGCACCACCCTCCCCTCTGAGGTTTCTCAGGAGACTATGAGGCAATTCAGGTGGCAGGTGCCATTGAACACCCCCTGTGCATCTCCAGGCCCTCAGCATGCCAAGAAAGACCTGAGAAGGCAGAGCCACTGAGAGGCAGCCCAGGGGGAAGCTGACATTCAGAGGCAAGAAGAAAATACGTTCTGTGGCCTTCTTTGGAAGCCAGTGACTGGGCACTTGAGCCTTGTGATGGTGACTGTGTAGACGTGGGCGAGGGGGAAGGGGCGTGCGGTGCCCTAGAGGAAGGCCAGCTTGGCCAGCTGCCCTGGCCTGGAGCCCCTTCCTCCTCCCAAGCTGAGCCAGGAATAAAGGACAGGATCGGGTGTCTTGGGACATTCTTTTCTGCTTTGACTTTCTGTGAGTTCAAAAGGTATAGTCCTCTGAGAATCAGAAACCCCCCTTCACCAGATTTTACCCACATTTGATCACTTCAGGAAACAGGAGTTTTCTCTGTAGGAAGCTAGAACCCAAATTCTGCTTTAACATCAATGACTGAATCAATCAAAGCAGACTGTGGGCAAGGAAGACTGCAGCTTTCCCCTCCCCTGGTGTACATCTTCCCGCTTCCTCCTCTAGACTCAAAATTCCTGCCACAAGAAAACCAGAAGGGATGAGCTCAGAATGTATTTCTCCCTGTCACTGCCTTCCTGTTGCCCCACCTGTGCCACCTGATCTCCCTACCTCCCCTCAGTAATGATCTACAACATCATGTCACCCCCTCACAACAGGGGCATTCTCCTCTCAGACATGGAGTCACCCTGGGACTGAGTGATCAGCCTGGGGATCCCCTTGGGGCTCAGGCCCCCCCTTCCTGGCTAGCTTGCGGTAGGGGAGTAGGTGAGAAGGCAAGAGTGGCTTCAGAATTACAGAATCCAGTTGTTTAATCCCTGGCCTGATCCTCTGGGCTCCAAGGCTGGGGCTGGGTCCTGAGCTCCTCAGAATAGGATAAAGGGAGGAAAGAGTGGGGCAGTGATGGAGCCAGGTGACCTTGGGATTATCTGGGTTATAAAGCATACCTTTGGTCAGCAGCAGGGGAGGGGACAGTCCTCCTTCCTGTATACCTTCTCCCTCTGCCCCCACCCAAGGCCTCCTTACCCTTTCCCTGCCTGAGGACTTTGAGCACGGTGGAGATAAAGCCCTGCAGCTAAGCACTAGCCCGACACTGAGAATGAGCTTACAGGGCACATCCAGAGAGAGCCTAGCACAGAAATTCCTCCCTGCTCCAAAATGGCCATCTTGATTTTTCTCTGAGCTCTGAGGGCTCCCAACCCCACGTCAAGAGCAGAGTAAGGAGTTCCAGGTTGCTTTATCCTCTCAAGGTTTCCGCCCGATTTCACCCACTCTGTTCGCCCCAGGAGAGTGGAGGAGGGCCCACTAATGAATATTCCATTCATTCCTCATGCCACTGGGCATGAGTTACCCCCGAGGTGAGGGGGCGGGGCTGAGGCTCTTCAGTAAAGCTCCCACCCCAACCCCAACCTCAGTCCTGGCTCCTGCCCATCTGGTTGGCCAGCCACCTTGCCCTGCGTGGTGGGTGACTTCTGGAGATTAGAGGCACTTGGCCGCCGGGGGCGAGAAGGCCACAGGGGCGAGACCACCACCCCCGACCTCCGGCTTCCCCTTCCTCGGGCCAATACCCTGGGGAGACCCGAGGGGCGGGTGGGGAGATGCCGGGGTCGGAGATTCGGTAACTCGAGCAGGGGCTGTCAGGGCAAACGGCTCCTTCAAAGATGAGACTTAAGGGGAAGGGAGAAGCCTGCCTTAAGGGATCCGAGAGGCCGCCCCGACTAGAGCAAAGGGCCCCGGCGTGGCGGGCAGGTGAACCCGACTCCGGGGAAACGACCCGCCCGCGACGTCCCCGCCCTCGGCCCGGCCTCACCTCGATGTTGCCCACAGTGCGGGCGCAGCCCACCACCTTCAGTCCCTGCTGGACCAGGGCCCGGGCCACGGCCGCGCCGATGCCCCCCGAGGCCCCCGTCACCAGCGCCAGCCGGTCGCGCCACCGCTCCATGCCGGGCCTGGCCATGGGCCCACGCCGCCCGTCCGCCTCGCTGGACTAGCCCGACACGGGGGTCGAGGAGCTGACGCCCGGCCGCTCTCCTGCCGCCGCCGCCGACCTGCTTGGGTCCGATCCGCGCCTAGACCCACCAGAGTCCCGGCCTGCCTCCGGCCGGGACTCCACCCTCAGGCCCCCGGCGATCCGCCGTATCCAGTCGGAGGCCGCCGCGGCCCGGCCGCCCCGCCCCTTCCGCCCCTCTGCCCCGCCCCGGCGTAGGGAAACCGGGCTGCGCGGGAGCGTCCTGGCAGCTGGCGGCGCCGCTTCCCCAGTGAGCGCTGCCCTTTGGGGTCAGGGAAACCGAGGTTTAGCGGGGAGGTTCCTTCAGCCCCAAGGGCGCATACTGAAGCGTCCCGCTTAGTCTCCCTTCTCTACTCCTGAACCCTAATGCCAGGATGAGGAATTAAGGGCACTTAAGGTGACTCCAACACTCTTCCACACCCTCCCAAACCCGCCGGTGGCTGATGGGAAGGGATTCGGCCCAGAAAACGCCGAGTGTCTCCGCCATCAATGCTAGGTGACCTTGGGAAGGACTCATTCACCCTACCTGATCCCTTGGCTTTACTAGCCACGGAGAACTGAAATACTCCTAAGTACACGTGTACTGGGGTATTCTGTCCCTAAATGGCCCACTGTGTCTAACTGCCCTAGACCCCCACGCTTACCCCTACCCCACTGTAGCAAATGTATCATGATATATGCCAAAGATTAAAACAGTATCTAACATTTGCTGCTTATGGTGTAGCAGGCATTTTAAATATAGTAACTAATCTACACAACCGCGCTGAGATGGCACATATTAGTATCTTAATTTTAAAGATGAGTATACTGACGTGGTGAAGCATGGTTTGGACCACAGGCAGTCCAGTCTTACGCCAGGGATGTGCTCCTCAACTGTCTTCACATCATTATCGCTTCTCGGGTTGCTGGTTTTGTTCAGAGTAGAGCTCGCTTTACTAAAAGTGCTGAAAACTGCGTACTTAATATAGCCATTCTCTTAAAGAAAAAGCATCTTTGAATAACCACCTGACTCCCTTCCAGCAAGCAATGGAGTAAGCGGTGAATGTGGCTGGTTTATTCATTCAAAAACACTCATTTGCCTATCCTGTGTTTGGCCCCAATGGCAAAGATTAAAACTAAACTAAATCAGCCTTTCCTTTTAGGGATCTCAAAAGAACATTTGACTCTTAACAGTGGTGAAGAGGGGATTCACCTCTGAGCCAAGGGCTGTGGGAGACCCACAGTCATTTTTTAGATTCTGGGATGAAATCAAAAAGGGTCCAAGAGGAGTCCTTTTACCTCTGCCCCATTCCTATACAACATTTAGATTTGAAAGACAACTCAGGAGGTGGATCCAAGAAATGGCACTATGAAAATTCAATCTAAGTTTCTGCTGCTGCCCACTTGAAATCTAACTCAAAATCTGATTAAAAGCACATAAAATTCACTCCACCTCCATTGCACAGAAGTACTGATTGTCCCATGATTTTATGCTGCCACCAAGTATTATAAACATGTAGACACAAATCTCTAAGCATCATGTGTCTACGGAGCTATTTGACTGGATCTTTTAAATGGCAGCAAAATGCTACTCCTGGGGGGAACTCTCTCCTTTAGTACTCACAGCTGTGACAGGAGTAAACTGTAAGACCACAGTGACTTTGTTACTGGATACCAGATAAGGCTGAACCTCACATGCATTTAAACAGCCCACAATGTGGTTAGCTCTCAGTGCAGCCTTCTGAGCCCAGTCTTACATGTTGAGCAATTACTTATCGGGCAACCCTTGGTTGAAATTCTGCCAAGTTTTGTTTTTATTCTTCTAGGTCAATATGAACCTCTGAATTTAAGAAGTACTTTGTATTATGTATTAGGGAACCTTTAATAATAGCAATTAAAGTCTCATGGGAAAGTAAGATGGTAGCAAGTATTTAAAGTATCTCCTCAAAAGAAAAAGACTGGAAAACTGCTTTTCTCAGTTGTCAATTCTCATCAAAGGAAGATTTTTGTCTTCAACAATCTGTATCTCTGTCCTTCATCCTTTCTAACATCAACACTGGCCAAGCATCAAGTCCACAAGTGGCAAATACTAAAGTACTGCCACATATTAAGTAGAAACATGTACAGCAAATTTTACTGTGCGTATTAATAAATATTCTTTATTTTAAATTTTGCACATTGCGCTTTAACATTACATCCAAACATTTTGCAAGTGGATGTCTACTTTGTAAAACCATATATTCAGCTCATTGTCATTTCTGTACAGAATTATAAGTACAACATTACTTTTTGCCACTAAGTTGCTTTAGTAAGTCTCACAGGAAGAGAAACATTTAATGAAAAGAGATGGCTTAAATCATATGGCAGGCCTGCGCAGCCACGCAACTAAAGACACAAGCCTGAAGAAAGAACTAATGAGGATACCTCCACCGTCTCCCAAAACAAGAAAGAATCACATTGATTTAAGATAAAATTTTGCCATAAGTCACTAAATTAAGAGTTTTTCGAAAGAGAAGGCGCAGTAGTCATCGTGAGTGTTTCATTGAAAGACAGAGCTATTTTATTTATTTAATTTGCTCCAGCCGTTGTCAACCAGCCACTACAAATGGGCCTCTTGTGATCATTTAACCGGCAGTATTTATTAAATTTCTCCTTCAGATGCTGTCGGTATTGTTCTCTATTGCTGTAGAAAGACTGGTTATTAGCCATAAATGACTGTATTTCATCTTGTGAGATAAAGATTTCCTCATCTGAAGTACATTCAGACTCATCCTGCAAATTAAAGCAGTAGTTAAGACTATGACTTAAGAATGCAAAATGTTATGTAATGGAGGAGGACAGCTAAAAATTAAACCAGTCTAACTTTTTAGTTTCACATCAGTCACATAAAGCCTTTAATTGGAGTGTTTGCAGAATAAGCATCATGTCATTCTGCCTAAGAAAGTAGTGAGAATAAAATCCAACTCCTTGAGTTGAAACCTTGAATCTATAATTTCTCCTAGAAGCCTATGAGCCTAGCAAACTACCACCATACCTTGGCCTTGAAAAAATAACTAATTAAAGATGTTACAACTAGTTACCATATTTTAAGTAGCCAGACGTATCTCCAGTTAGTCCTATCTTGAAACAGTCATCTCTACAAACTAAGTAAAAGATAACCATTTTCTACTTAAGAAGTAAACTTTTACAACCATTAAAACTTTTAAACATTAAACTTATACAGGTGGTGGCTCACACCTGTAATCCCAGCATTTTGGGAGGCTGAGGCAGGAGAATCACTTGAACCTTGGAGGCAGAGGCTACAGTGAGCCAAGATCGTGCCACTGCACTCTATCTAGCCTGGGCGACAGAGCGAGACTCCTCAAAAAAAAAAAATAAATAAATATTAAAACTAAACTTTACAACCATAAAAAAGAAAAAAACTAGCTGGGCGCGGTGGCTCACGCCTGTAATCCCAGCACTTTGGGAGGCTGAGGTGGGCAGATCACCTGAGGTTGGGAGTTCGAGACCAGCCTGACCAACATGGAGAAACCCATCTCTACTAAAAATACAAAATTAGCCAGGCATGGTGGCACAAGCCTGTAGTCCCAGCTACTCGGGAGGCTGAAGCCAGAGAATCGCTTGAACCTGGGAGGCGGAGGTTGCGATTAGCCGAGATCGCACCATCGCACTCCAGCCTGGGCAACAGAGCAAAACTCCACCTCAAAAAAAAGAAAAAGAAAAAAGCTAGTATTCCGAAGGATTTGGTTCCATCAGGACTCTAATGAAAAGGACACCACTCTTCTTCCTCCCCTCCTCCAAGGGCCACCTATACTACGCACTGGGTCAGTTGGGGATCAGGTAAAAAGTCTCAGGACTGGAGTCTTACCCTACATGACACCTAAAAGAAGAAAGCAACCTCTAGTTCAAATTGTATATTCTTTCTGGTATGGAAGGGTGGCTACCATAACTTGCCAATCAGAAAGGCAAAGTTTGCTTACAGTAACCTACTTCAAGGAGGCAGACTACTGAATACAATGCTACCTCTATCCTTTCTCCTAACTACAGATGGTCCTGACTTAACAATGGTCAATGGTTCTACTCAGGTTTTTTTTGAGACAAAGTCTCACTCTGTCGCCAGGCTGGACTGCAGTGGCACGATCTCAGCTCACTGAAACCTCCGCCTCCTGGCTTCAAGTGATTCTCCTGCCTTAGCCTCCCGGGTAGCTGGGACTACTGGCACACGCCACCATGCCCAGCTAATTTTTGTATTTTTAGTAGAGACGGGGTTTCATCATATTGGCCAGGATGGTCTTGATCTCTTGACCTCATGATCCACCCACCTCGGTCTCCCAAAGTGCTGGGATTACAAGCATGAGCCACTGCACCCAGCCTTATTTGGGATTTTTTTTTTTTAACTTTACAAAGGGTTTATTGGGATGTTGAATGTATTTTCAACTCGCAGTATTTTTGAGTTATAATGGGTTTATTGGAATGTAACCCCACTGTAACTCAAGGAATACCTATAATGTCTTCTACTGAGACAGAGGCGGCCATGGAAACGTGTTCCAGAGTAGTTGCATAAACCACGAGTGGAAGGACAGAAATGAAGTCCCCAAACAATAATGAAATACTACCCTTAATTTCTCATAAGCTTCCTTCAACTACCTACCTTAAGCCCTCAAATACTATCCCCTCCCACATCCACCCCGTTCCCAAACAGTTATGTACAGTAAGACCACATGGAATACTTACAAGGAGTTCAACTAAGCTCTTGGCACCTTTTCCGGAATCGGGACCAAACAACGTTTCTGTAGGTTCTGCAAACTGTGGTACATTTTTCCTATGCTCAAACCAAGGCAATGGCTGCCCACCCTTTTCAGAGCTGCAACAGCTTTCAGGATGTGTATCTTTGGTCTTGTCACGGTGAAACACTGTGTGCATGGTATTTCCTGAGGTCTCTCGATTACCTGGATCTGTAATACAGCTTCCAAGCTTCTGGATCTGATACCACAGCAAAGGATTTCACAGGTAAAAAGGCATGATATAATAGCAATTATTCTTTAAAAAAAAAAAAAAAAAAGCGGGGCACGGTGGCTCATGCCTACAATCTCAACATTTTGGGAGGCCGAGGCAGGTGGATCACCTGAGGTCAAGTGTTCAAGACCAGCCTGGCCAACATGGTCAAATGCCATCTCTACTAAAAATGCAAAAATTAGCCAGCCATGGTGGCATGCGCCTGTAATCCCAGCTACTCAGGAAGCTGAGGCAGGAGAATTGTTTGAACCTGGGAGGCAGAGGTTGCAGTGAGCCAAGATTATGCCACTGTACTCTAGTATAGGCGACAGAGTGAGACTCCATCTCAAAAAAATCCTGACATAGTATTAAACCTTTAGAAGGAATACTAAGTAATAGTAGCAGCTGGCATTCATTTTATTTTACCAGGCACTTACTATGTACTAGACACTATGCCACACCTGCCAATATACATTCACTTCACCTTCATAGAACCTAATATGATAGGGACTAAACAAATTGTTTAAGATTACACAGCTTATAATTTTAAAAGTATAAAAAGAACAATTGAATTTCTGACTCACAAGGACTGTTGCACAAATGATCACATCTCTCTCTGCCCCCAACCCACACTCTCACACGATGAGCACCCAATGGAACTGCAAAAAGAACTCATTCTAAAAAAAGTAAATCCTAGCAGCTAAGCTGCACATATGCCACTCCAAGGAAAACACGTGTTCTGTCCTCAACAGCAAAGGTTTAAGAATTACAAGTTATGACACTTACATGTTCATCACATTTCAGTATCTTGCTTTTCTTCTTCTTCTTTTTATTTTTTCCTTTTGTGTCGTTCTCTTCAGAATTTGCCCAACATTCAACACAACTATCACCATCATCCTCTTTGTCTTCACAGTGATGAACACAAGAGTCATCACCTGCAGAAATCAATAATCCTTCTTATTTATGTTCTTAAGTCAGCCATGTAGTAGAAATAACTGGGAAACTTAATGTGAGCCTACCGTGTTCATCATGATTACAAATGCCTTCAGTGCAGGCAACATCCGAACCCTCCCGAGAACCTGTTTCACTCCCTTCCATGCTAGATGAATATCCACAATCACTACCATTACAGTGTGGAGATAAGCCTGAGAATAAATCAAGTGAGAGTTACTATTAACATACCAATAAGTATATTAGGACAAAGAGTGAACTCTTTGGGGACCACAGAAAAATCTCATAATTAATGGCTTATTAAAAGTAGAACATTTCCAATGAAGGATTTTTTTTTTAAGTAGAAAGTAAATTAAATAATGAAAATATGATTAGGAATTTACCATTTTTCGTTTTTGTCAAAAATAAGTCAAAGAACATAAAGAAAAAGGAAATATTAAGTATCTGACTAAATTATATGATATTCTTGGAACTATAAAGCAGTTTTAAAATTCTAGCTCACAGAATCTCTAAAAGCTCTTACATTTAACAGTAAGAAAGAATAGAGTTAAGAGTTCATTTTAAAAAGAAATTATTTACTTACCTTTCTTTATTTTAGGGGACCCCAAAAGATTGCCACTGCTAGGACAGGTACATGATGTATTTTCATTGGTAACAATTACTTCTACACAAGTATTACCATCTTCAGTGCTGCCACAGGCTTTGCAGCTGCTATTTTCTATGAAGTCTGTTTCCTTTAAGGATCAACATTAAGAGAGAGTCAAGAGCTTTACTCCATAACAGCTACATTTTATTCCCTAGATCAAAACTATTTTCATCCTAATAGTAAGATGTGGCATTTTCACTGTACTGACATTTACACTGACAGTACAAAAGTAATGGTGGGTAAAGATATTAGTCCTTAGCACAAATCAAGACAGTACTAACCAAAGTGTGCTAAGAATCACTGTATTCTTCAACTGTCAAGCGCTCTCACAAAAAGATATTTCACTTATGAATGTCTCTGAGGAAGCTGTAAAAATATTAATTGTATCAGATATCAACCACAAATACATATACTTTTTCCTTTTTTTTTTTTTTTGAGTACGGTCTCCCTCTGTCACTTAGGCTAGAGTACAGTCATACAATCATGGCTTACTGCAGCCTCAAACTCCTGGGCTCAAGCAATCCTTCTGCCTCAGCCTCTCAAGTAGCTAGGACTACAGAAGCACACCACCAGGCCTAATTTTTTTATTCCTTTGTAGAGACAGGGTTTCGTTATGTTGCCCAGGCTAGTCTTGAACTCTTGAACTCCTGGCCTTAAGCAATCCTTCTGCCATGGCTTCCCAAAGTGCTAGGATTACAGGCATGAGCCTCCACGCCCTGTCAACAGAAATCTTTTTGACAGTCTATGTGGGGCCAGGTGCAGTGGCTCATGCCTGTAATCCCAGCACTATGGGCAGCTGAAGCAGGTGGATCACTTGAGGTCAGGAGTTCAAAACCAGCCTAGCCAAGATGGTGAGACCCCGTCTCTACTAAAAATACAAAAATTAGCCGGGCAAGGTGGCAGGCGCATGTAATCCCAGCTACTCAGGAGGCTGAGGCAGGAGAATTGCTTGAACACGGACGGCAGAGCCTGCAGTGAGCCAAGATCACACCACCGCACTCCACTGTGGGCGACAGAGTGAGACTCCGTCTCAAAAAAAAAAAAGTATGTGACAAATGGGAAGTATGCTTAAAGCATTTCTATTGCAGCTGTCTCAAGGAAACGTACTTGTGCCACTTTTTGAGGTGCAAGCTGAACTTTTTTCCTGGAACATCAAGTTCACTTGAACGAATAAATGAGAGACAAACTGAGAGACTTGGATATTTAGCAGGCATTTTCTCAAAAATGAATGAAGTCAATCTGTTACTTCAAAGGAAACAATGAACAACAACTGTTGTCAATGACAAAACTCAAACATTGAAACAACAATCAGAATTTTGGCCTTGCAACCAGCAGTGCTATGAACTTGAAGCTTCCTAATACTTGGACTTTTCTGACCTGCATAATTCAGTGAACTTTGAAATAAATTCCAATGCATGATGTTACAAAACAATGCATGAGTAAAAGATCTATTCAAAGTCCAATATAGTCCAACGGATTCTAATTTAACAGAGTACAAAAAGGTCATTGATAAGGTGCCAGATTCCATATTGCAATGAATCTTTTAGAAACTACCACTGGTCAAAGTGTAGTATTGAAGAATATCCACAACTATCTGAAAAGGTTTATATTAAAATACTGCTCCCAGCCAGGCACAGTGGCTTATTCCTGTAATCCCAGCACTTTGGGAGGCAGAAGCGGGCAGACTGCCTAAGCTCAGGAGTTCGAGACCAGCCTGGGCAACAAGGCAAAACCCCATCTCTACTAAAAATACAAAAAAAAATTAGCCGGGCATGGTGGTAGGCGCCTGTAGTCCCAGCTACTTGGGAGGCTGAGGCACAAAAATCGCTTGAACCCAGGAGGAGGAAGTTACGGTGAACCAAGATTGTGCCACTGCAATCCAGCATGGGTGACAGAGCAAGACTCTGCTCCAAAATAAAATACTTTTCCTACCATATAATATCTGTGTGAGACTAGACTTTCTTCATATGCTTCAACCAAGCCAATAAATGGAAACAGATTGAATGCAGAAGCAGATATAAGAATCTAGTATATTCCGTCAGGCGCGGTGGCTCACACCTGTAATCCCAGCACTTTGGGAGGCTGAGGCGGGCGGATCACGAGGTCAAGAGATCGAGGCCATCCTGGCCAACATGGTGAAACCCTGTCTCTACTAAAAATACAAAAATTAGCCGGGCATGGTGGCACACGCCTGTAGCCCCAGCTACTTGGGTGGCTGAGGCAGGAGAATTGCTTGAACCCGAGAGGCGGAGGTTGCAGTGAGCCGAGATCATGCCACTGCACTCCAGCCTGGCAACAGAGCGAGACTCTGTCTCAAAAAAAAAAGGAATCTAGCTTATTCCTTTTAAGATGAACATTAAAGATATTTGCAAAAAATATATATAGTATAATACCATTCTTCTCACTCTCATTTTATTTAGAAAATAGTTATTTTTGAAAAAATATTTAGTTAACATTATTTTTGAAGGAGTAGCTTAAAATTTATCATTTAATTTCTAATACAGTAAATATTGGTAAGTATAACCCACATAAACAAAAGCTCATTGAGTACCTTAATTTTTAAGAATGTAAAGGGATCCTAAGACCAAAAACTTGAGAACTGCTCTAGGTCATGCACAGAGGTGGCTTTCTATATTTTGACTTTGATCTAATAATACATTAAAGTCAGGTAAAGAGATAACTACTCAACATTGTCTTAATAAAACATAGACATGACATTAAAATTCTGGCTTATACAGACTACAGTAGGAAAAAAGCTGATATAAAAACTGCAGGAGCTCACATCTGGAAAAGCATAGTAAAAATGCCCAAATCTAGCAAAAAGCCATACAGTTAACCCTCCATATCTGTGGGTGCTGCATCCATAAATTCAACCAAGAATCGAAAATATTTGGGGGGGAAAAAATCAACCTGCATCTGTACTGAACATGTACAGACTTTTTTCTTGTCCTTATTTTCTAAACAATACAGTATAACAACTATTTAAACAGTTTTTATTTATTTTGAGAGAGTTTCACTCTGTCGCCCAGGCTGGACTGCAGTGGAGCGATCTTGGCTCACTGCAACCTTTGCCTCCTGGGTTCAAGAAATTCTCATGCCTCAGCCTCCCAAGTAGCTGGGATTACAGGCGTGAGCCACCATGCCCAGCCTTACATAGCTTTTACATTGCATTAGGTATTATAATTTAGAGATAATTTAAGAATACAAGAGGCCAGGCACGGTGGTTCATGCCTGTAATTGTAGCATTTTGGGAGGCTGAGGTGGGAGAATTGCTTGAGCCCACAAGCTGGAGACCAGCCTGAACAACATGGTAAAACGCCATCTCTACAATAAATACAAAAAATTAGCTGGGCCTGGTGGGGTAAGCCTGTAGTTCCAGCCACTTGGGAAGCTGAGGTGGGAAGATGACATGAGCCTGGGAGATGAACGCTGCAGTGAGCCATGATTGTGCCACTGCACTCCAGTCCGGGTGACAGAGTGAGACCCTGTCTCAGAAATAAAAGTATAAGGAGGATGTGCATAGACTATATGCAAATATTACACCATTTTACATCAGGGACTTGCACATCTGCAGATTTTGGTATCTACAGGAAGTCCTGGAATCAAACCCCACAGATACCAAGGGACGACTGTACTTTTTATTTTTATTAAAAAAATAAAATAAAATAAATAGAGATAGAGATCTCACTATCTTGCCCAGGCTGGTCCCAAACTCCTAGGCTCAAGTGATACCTCCACCCTGGGCCTCCCAAAGTGCTGGGATCACAGGCGTGAGCCACCACACCTGGCCTGTACTTCTATCTACAAGCAATACATACACACTTAAGAGTTGATATTAAGAAATATTACCTTCTCTTGGCTTACTTCCTTTTCATCTGCTGTTTGTAAGGGAGTAGGAATATCACACACACACTTATTTTTTCGTCTATTCTTCCGTTTTTGGCGTTTCTTTTCTTGCTTGAGTTCTCTTACTCGTTCCTCTTCTGAAAATTCCTCACAAAGTTGTTCCAATCTGCTAATACCCTGTACTTTTTCCACGGTCATCTATTATAAAAATAAGGTTGAGGGTGAATATTGGTCAGAACTTCTTTTCTTTTTTTTTTGAGACGGAATCTTGCTCTGTCGCCCAGACTGGAGTGCAGTGGCATGATCTCAGCTCACTGCAAGCTCCACCTCCTGGGTTCACGCCATTCTCCTGCCTCAGCCTCCTAAGTAGCTGGGACTACAGGTGCCCGCCACCACGCCCGGCTAATTTTTTGTATTTTTTAGTAGAGACGGGGTTTCACCGTGTTAGCCAGGATGGTCTCGATCTCCTGACCTCGTGATCCACCCGCCTCAGCCTCCCGAAGTGCTGGGATTACAGGCGTGAGCCACCGTGCCCGGTCCCTTTGTTTTCTGTGGTAATATACACACTCCTATTCCAAACCAGCAAGATTCTAGTTTTAAATTTCAGAATTTTTTTTTTTTTTGAGACAGAGTCTTGCTCCATCGCCCAGGCTGGAGTACAGTGGCACCATCTCAGTTCACTGCAACCTCTACCACCCAGGTTCAAGCGATTCTCCTGCCTCAGCCTCTCAAGTAGCTGAGACCACAGGCATGCGCCACCACACTGGCTGATTTTTGTATATTTAGTAGAGACAGGGTTTCGCCATCATGGCCAGGTTGGTCTCGAACTCCTGGCCTCAAGTGATCCGCCCACCTTGGCCTCCCAAAGTGCTGGGATTACAGGCATGAGACACCATATCTGGCCTAAATTTCAGAATTTTAACACAACAAAAGTAAACATACCATTTACTGACATAATGAAAAAACTATTTAACCTGATTAGATGATCTAGTCTCTGAAGGTACAAAAATACAAAGAGAAAACGAGTAAGGGCTGGGCGCCGTGGCTCATGCCTGTAATCCCAGCACTTTGGGAGGCCAAGGCAGGCAGCGGATCACGAGGTCAGGAGATTGAGACCATCCTAACTAACATGGTGAAACCCTGTCTCTACTAAAAATACACAAAAAATTAGCCGAGCGTGGTGGCGGGCGCCTGCAGTCCCAGCTACTCGGGAGGCTGAGCCAGGAGAATGGTGTGAACCCAGGAGGTGGAGCTTGCAGTGAGCCGAGATCATGCCACTGCACTCCAGCCTGGGTAACAGAGCGAGGCTCCGTCTCAAAAAAAAAAAAAGAAAAGAAAAGAAAAGAAAGAAAGAAAAATAGTCCTTATACCATGGCATTCACACAGCATTTACTTCATACTACTGGACATTAGCAGGCAAAATGAAACTCACTGAAGGTTTTAACATTTCCTGCTTAATCCTTGGGGGCATTTAACTTTTCACTAGTTATGTGTGTTTTTTTTGTTTTGTTTTTGTTTTTGTTTTTGTTTTGAGACGGAGTTTTGTTCTTGTTGCCCAGGCTGGAGTGCAGTGACGTGATCTTGGCTCACTGCAACCTCCACCTCCCAGGTTGAAGCAACTCTCCTGTCTCAGCCTCCCAAGTAGCTGGATTACAGGTGCCCGCCACCACGCCCAGCTAATTTTTGTATTTTTAGTAGAGACGGGGTTTCATCATATTGGTCAGGCTGGTCTCAAACTCCTGACCTCAGGTGATCCGCCTGCCTCGTCCTCCCAAAGTGCTGGGATTACAGGCGTAAGCCACCATGCCCAGCCTCACTAGTTATGTTTCATAGCAGCATCTTATTAAACATCTTCAGTTTTCTACTCTGAGAAAGTCTAAAAACCAAAGCTAGCAAAGTTAACAGGATTAAAAACATTTTTTTAAATCCATCAACTTCTTCTAAATCCCAGTTCCCTAGACCACCCCCACTCCAACCCAAAGCCATGTAACAATATCCAGCCAAATCCATGAAGCTCTATCAGTGATGGACAGTCCTTTTAGGCACTGGTGGCTTACATTAAGATTCAGTCCAATAACGTGACTAAGCAATCTGAGATACTGGAACAGCCCACTGTTCTTACCTCAAAACTCTTGCGTAAAGCATCAACACCAAGATAGAAAAGCATCTGCCATGTCTGCTCTTCTGCCCGTAGCTTCTGCCAGATTCGATGCAGTCTTTCATAAAGATGAATTCCCAAGCAGGTCAGAACTTCTTCTTGAGCTATATCTATTGTCTTTGCATGCCTTTCTCTTCGCCTATAAAAGGGAATAATCACACACTAATACCTTTAACTGAAACAGTAAAAGATGGATAACACAGCTGCAAGTTCAGGTTTTAAACACAATGTGCTTACCTAGTAACAAGACAGTTATACATTTACACTCAACGTATATGTTGCTATACAAGCATGCATGTCCACAACCAATGAGAAATACACATGCAAGTAGAATTTAGTCCTCGTATTGCTAAAAATAAAGTAATTCAGGAACTGGCTCTAAAAAGATGGGTTTTAGGGCACAAAGCAATCACATAGAAGTGTCCAGCTCATAGTAGACACAACAGTTCCTTTTACTTTCCAATTATAGCAAAACATTTTTTCCTTCTTTAGGTTTTTTGTTTTGAGGAGGAATTGAGAAAGGCAATGCCAAAGTGATTCATCATGGGCAAGAGTCCTCCACCAGGCCAGTCTTTACAAGTGTTCACAGAACTTTGGCGATAAAAAAGCCCTTTGTATTCTAGCAGAAAGTAGGCACTCAAATGAGGGTTGATACCCTAAATACAAAAGGAAATGCATTTGATTTATTCTATTAACATCATCATCTGATTTTATTTTTACAACAAAGCCAGAGATACTACTTTAGGTTTCTGTGTAGTAATAATAATATAATATACACAGTTCGTGAATTACATTCAATAAGGCATTTCTTAATCCCCTACTGCAAAGATCTGACTTATGCAAAAACCATTATTGTGAATAAAATTTACACATGATAATGCATGGATAGAGGGAGAAAAATCCCTTCTAATCATTTTCAAATGAAAATGATAGTCTGTAACAATGAAAGCCAAAAAAGCCTGCCTCCCTTCAAGCAAGAACTAGCAGAGGACTGAACCAAACACCAGAGAACAGTTTTTCCCTATTTTCAGTCAATTAAGAAATGCATACTTTAAAGAGAAGCAAAATCTTTACAGGCATACTTTAATTTATACATATATCATATGTACTGAGGCAGAAGGTGATGAAAATAAACTTTCAGTAATAAAATGAAGCAAAGCGCTAGATAGCCCATTCTAGCAAATTACATACTCATACCCTCCTGCGAACTCTGGCTCAGCACGACCCAAAAGATGTGCAATGAAGTCTGTTTCACAGCAAACATGTATGTGTCGTTCATGTGGACAGCACCGCAAGCCTTCATAAAGTGCAGCACAGTAGCCCTTTTCTTTGCTGCAGTCAAGTTCACCAATAAGGATATTGTATGCTCGGAGGACTTTATTTTTGCAATCAGTGCAAAACCTGTTGAAAAGAAAAACCTTAAAATTAAGAAATGGCTGTGCAATTATTTCTTGTGGCATATAACAGTGTACTAGATGATGGCACTCTCTCCCATCTACAGCATCCAAAATAAGCCTCCATACACACATTTAAAACATACGCACATAAGGTAAATACAAATTTAGGGATTGCATAAATACAGATAGACCTTCATTGGCAAATTATTTTTAAACTAGAGAAACACATAGCCTAAAAGAATGAGGCAGATACATACCTATTATTTCATAAAATGCATGCCCAGAAAAGTATTAGTTGCCAAGAACTAGCATATCTCCACTTCAAAAGCTATTTGCGCAGGTCAGAAATAAAACAATAGAGGCAACAAACCAATGACTCTTGATTGGTTTGTTCTCTCTCCTTCCAGTCTCTGAAAATAGATGGTCTCTTCAGCAAGGAGACCTTGACTCCAATTTCTATTACAACATTTTAATATTTCACTAGCTAAGCATTTGAGGATAGGGGTAGGGGTTGGGGTGGGGAGAAGAATGGGAAAGTGGTGTGTGCATTTTTTAATTTTCTGATTATTTCCAAAATGCCAAATTCTTTCTTCCCAAAAATGCCTATTTCTCAATAACAAACATAATATAGACAAAATATACATGGAAACTGGTTTAAACTTAAGTGTATAAAATGTGGCAAAAGAATAGAAGAGTTTGTGAATGTAGAGAAGGAAGAAAATTTCTTTTAGAAACCAAATATCAATCAATCAGAAAGAAATAATAGAGCCTGGTTTCTTTATCTTTGAATTCCTGGAACAAGAAGAACTTGGTCAGGTGGAAAAGCCAGGCTCACAATAAGAGTAAATGGCTAAGAAGATTAGTTAAGTGAAACAAGGAAATTTTGATCTCTTTGATTTAAATTCATCTCCCAGATGAGCTCATCTATGCGTATGGCTTCAACTAACATGTCTATAAAGATGACTTGTGACTCTACAGCTCCATTCAAATCTCTGCTATTGCCTGAGGGCCAGACCCATATCGAAAAGTGACAAGACATGGCAGATGTCCAATAGGCAACACCTTAAATTCACTGTCCAAGGGTAATGCTGTTCTATTCCTATGTGCCTTCTCAATCCCTGTTAATAAGAACACTGCCATTCACAGCCATTCAGAGTCACCCAGGCTGGAAATCTGAGTTAATTCCAACTTCTCCCTGGGTCTTCCTATTGAGTAGAGCCAACTAGTATTCATTCTTTCTTGTTTCTCCTGTAGGTCCCTATTTTCAATTCCCTCTGGCATGGTTTAAGTTGCCTATGCTATATATATATATATACACATATATATACATATATATACATATACATATATACATATACACACACACACACACACACACACACACACACACACATATATATATATATATTTTTTTTTTTTTTTTTTTTTTTTTTTTTTGAGACAGAGTCTCTCTCTGTTGCCCAGGCTGGAGTGCAGTGGCGCCATCGAGGCTCACTGTAACCTCTGCCTCCTGGGTTCAAGCGATTCTCCTGCCTCAGTCTCCCGAGTCGCTGGGATTACAGGCGCCCACCACTACACCCAGCAAATTTTTTGTATTTTTTAGTAGAGACAGGGTTTCGCCAAGTTGGCCAGGCTGGTCTTGAACTCTTGACCTCAGGTGATCTGCCCGCCTCGGCCTCCCAAAGTGATGAGATTACAGGCTTGAGCTACCGCACCCAGCCCACTTTTTTTTTTTTTTAAAGCTTCTTAACTGACTTTCCTGTTTCCACTCTTCCTAGCATTGACGCATCTCTTATACCAAAATAATTTTTCTAGCACAAATCTGATTATCTGTGTCTCAGCTTAAAAACCTTTCAGCTGGCCAGGCGTGGTTGCTCACGCCTGTAATCCCAGCACTTTGGGAGGCCGAGGCGGGCAGGTAACCTGAGGTTGGGAGTTCGAGACCAGCCTGACCAACATGGAGAAACCTGGTCTCTAATAAAATACAAAAATTAGCCGGGCGTGGTGGCGCATGCCTGTAATCCCAGCTACTCCGGAGGCAGAGGCAGGAGAATCACTTGAACCCGGGAGGCAGAGGTTGCAGTGAGCCGAGATCACACCACTGCACTCCAGCCTGGGCAACAAGAGCAAAACTCTGTCTCAAAAAAAACAAAACAAAACAAAACAAACTTTTCAGTTGTCTCTTATTATTAATACTTCTGATTTACACTCTTCTTCGTGTTTTTTTTTTTTTAAGATGGAGTTTCACTCTGTCACCCAAGCTGGAGTGCGGTGGGGCGATCTTGGCTCACTGCAACCCCCGCCCCCCAGGTTCAAGCAATTCTCCTGCCTCAGACTCCTGAGTAGGTGGGATTACATGCGCCCACCACCACACTTGGCTGATTTTTGTGTTTTTAGTGCAGATGGGGTTTCACCATGTTGGCCAGGCTGGTCTTGAACTTCTGACCTCAAAGTGATCCCCCCACCTCAGCCTCCCAAAGTGTTGGGATTACAAGCATCAGCCACCACGCCCGGCCTAGACTTCTTACTATAGTATTTACCCTTCTACTGCCATATCTTTGTTTCATGCACACACGTTTTGCTGGACCAATAGTAGATAACAATGTTTCTTAAAATGAAGATATGGGCTGGGCGCGGTGGCTCACGTCTGTAATCCCAGCCCTTTGGGAGGCAAAGGCGGGTGGATCATCTGAGCTCAGGAGTTCGAGATCAGCCTGGCCAACATGGTGAAACCCCGTCTCTACTAAAAATACAAATATTAGCCAGATGTGGTGGCATACACCTGTAATCCCAGCTACTCAGGAGGCTGAGGCAGGAGAATTGCTTGAACCCGGGAGGCAGAGGTTGCAGTGAGCCAAGATCGCACCACTGCACTCCAGCCTGCATAAGAAGAGCGAAACTCCATCTCAAAAAAAAAAAAAAAAATATATATATATATATATATATATATATATATATATATATGTTACATTAGAGGCTCTAAGCCCACTTGGTAAACAGAGGCAACAATGCTGACAAATAATGTTAAATTATGTTATTTCACTAAAGTTTTAAATATGGGCAAAAATATACAAAAATTAACACAAAATGGATTAAAAACTAAATGTTAACATCTGAAAACCATAAAACTAGAAGAAAACATAGGGGAAACTCTTCATGACACTGGACTAAGTGATGATTTCCTGGCTATGACACCAAAAGCACACATGCACAACAAAAACAAAAATAGATGCTTCTCTGAGAAAACACCAAATGGCAGATGATGCTGGTGGCAGCCGGTGGTGGGGATCGCCTGGGATGGGGAAATGCAGTGGCTTCCGTGGAGGTTTCGGCAGTGGCATCCGGGGCCGGGGCTGGGGCTGAGGCCGCGGCTGAGGCCGCAGAGCTCATGGAGGCAAGGCCGAGGATAAAGAGTGGATGCCTATCACCAAGCTGGGCCGCCTGGTCAAGCACATGAAGATCAAGTCCCTGGAGGAGATGTATGTCTTCTCCCTGCCCATGAAGGAATCTGAGATCACTAACTTTTTCCTGGGGGCCTCTCTCAAGGACGAGGTTTTGAAGATTATGCCAGTGCAGAAGCAGACCCGTGCCGGCCAGCGCACCAGGTTCAAGATGTTTGTTGCCATCGTGGACTACAATGGCCACATCGGTCTGGGTGTTAAGTGCTCCAAGGAGGTGGCCACTGCCATCCACGGGGCCATCATCCTGGCCAAGCTCTCTATTGTCCCTGTGCACAGAGGCTACTGGGGGAACAAGATCAGCAAGCCCCACACCATCCCTTGCAAGCCGACAGGCCACCACGGCTCTGTGCTGGTGCGCCTCATCCCTACGCCCAGAGGCACTGGCATCGTCTCAGTGCCTGTACCCAAGAAGCTGCTTATGATGGCTGGTATTGATGACTGCTACACCTTAGCCAGGGGCTACACTGCCGCCCTGGGTAACTATACCAAGGACACCTTTGATGCCATCTCTAAGACCTACAGCTACCTGACCCCCGACCTCTGGAAGGAGACTGTATTCATCAAGTCTTCCTGTCAGGAATTCACTGACCATCTCGTCAAGACCCACACCAGAGTCTCCATGCAGAGGACCCAGGCTCCAGCTGTGGCTACAACACAGGGTTTTTATACAAGAAAAATAAAGTGAATTAAGCCTGAAAAAAAAAAAAAAGACTACAGTCGTGTCACTTAACAATGGGACACATTCTGAGAAATGCATTGTTAGCTATTTTGTTGCTGTGCGAACATCAGAGTGTACTTACACAAACCTAGGTAGTATACATATTTTTATTTATATTTTTTTCACATGGAAAACCAAATGTCCCAGCACCATCACTGAATATTAATCATTTCCTCTACTTGATCTGCAACGCAGTATGCTCCATTATAATCTTACGGGCCCACTGTCATATATGTGGTCTATCACTGACCAAAATGTCATCACATAGCACATGACTATGCATTAAACTTAAAAACGTTGGCACAGCAAAGATGATCAACAGAGTAAAAAGGCAACCCAAAGAATGGGAAAAAATATTTGCAAACCATATATTGAATAAGGGGTTAATAGCCAGAATATAAAGAACCACTAGAACTCAATCACAAAAAAAATAGCTTAATTTAAAAATGGGCAAAGCCGTGATCATGCCACTGCACTCCAGCCTGGGCAACAAAGAAGATCCTGTCAAAAAAATAAAATAACTTAAAAGTAAATAAATAAATGGGCAAAGCATGAATCGACATTTCTCCAAAGATTATATACAAATGGCCAGCAAACATATGAAAAGATGCTCAACATCACTAATCATCAGGAAAATGCACATCAAAAACACAATGAGATATCACCTTAAACCAACTAGAATGACCACTATCAAAACAACAACAACAACAAATAACAAGTGTTACTGAGGATGTGAAGAAATTGGAACCCTTATGCACTGCTGGCAGGAATATAAAACGGTACAGCTGCTATGGAAACCGGTACGGAAGTTCTTCAAAATAAAACTACCATACGATCCAGGAATCCCACTTCTAGGTATATATCCAAAAGAACTGATAGCAAGGATCTTGAAGAGATATTTGCACACTCATGTTCACTGCAGCATTTATTGACAACAGGCGAAATGTGAGAGCAACCTTCAATGTCCATCAATGTATGAATGGACAAAGAAATGTGAATAGCCAGGTGCGGTAATCCCAGCACTTTGGGAGACCGAGGCGAATGGATCACTTGAGGTCTGGAGTTCAAGACCAGCCTGACCAACAAGGTGAAACCCTGTCTCTACTAAAAACACAAAAATTAGCCAGGTGTGGTGGTGTGTGCCTGTAATCCCAGCTACTCAGGAGGCTGAGGCAGGAGAATCACTTGAACTCGGGAGGCGGAGGTTGCAGTGAACCGAGATCAAGCCACTGCACCCCTGCCTGGGCAACAGAGCGAGACTGTCTCAAAAAAAAAGAAAAAAGAAAAGTGAATAATATCACATATACTATGACACTGCCCATTTTTAAATAATGTCACAGTATTGTGACATTATTCAGCTTTTAGAGGGGAATCCTGTCATATGCTACAACATAGATGAATCTTAGACATTATCTAAGTATTGTCTTAGATAATGGCTAAGTAAAATAAGCCAATCACAAAAATTCAAGTGCTACATTATCCCATTTATATGAGCTATCTAAAATAATTAAACTCAGAAACAGAAAGAAGAATTGTGGTTGCTAGGGGGTGAGGGGAGAAAAAAGGTGTTGTTCAATGCGTATAGTTTCAGTTGAGATGAAAAAGTTCTAGAGATCTGTTGTACAACAATGTGCATATAGTTAACAAAATTATAATGTACACTTAAAAACTGTTTGAAAGGTAAATTTATGTTTCACGGTTTTTTGAGACAGGGTCTCACTCTGTTGCCCAGGCTGGAGTGCAGTGGCATACTCTTGTCTCACTGTAGCCTCAACCTCCCTAGTAGGCTCAGGTGACCCTCCCCGCCTCATCCACCTGAGTACCTGGGACTACAGGTGTGTGCCACCACGCATGGCTAATATTTGTATTCTTTGGAGAGACAGGGTTTGGCCATGTTGCCCAGGCTAGTCTTGAACTCCTGGGCTCAAACAATCCGCCCACCTCAGTCTCCCAAAATGCTGAACTGTGAGACACTGTGCTTAGCCTTATTTTGTGTTCTTTTAAAATATACACATACGCGCGCAGGAACAGAAAGTCTCTCCTTTAGGAGAGAAAAAACGGACACAGAAATAACAACAAATACTTCCACATTTTCAGGTTATAAACAGCAAGTTCACATTTTCAGGTAATTAAATGGTCAAATATCAAAGAGAACAATAATAAAACTTGAAATATTTTCCCCCTATTTTACTGCTTTATACTCTCATAGTAGTTTAATATATGTTTGATTGTACAACTATAAGCATAAGTAAATAGCAAGTTAAAAATAGGATATAAAAGCCGTAAAAGCTTTTTTCCCATTTGCAAAAGCAGCATTGCATATGACTTTTTTAAAACTTTTTTTTTTCGAGACAGAGTCTCACTCTGTCACCCAGGCTGAAGTGCAGTGGCATGATCATGGCTCACTGCAGCCTTCAACCTTCCTGGGCTCAAGTGATCCTCCCACCTCAGCCTCCCGAGTAGATGAAACTGCAGGTGTGTCACTACGCCCAGCTAATTTTTTTATTTTGTTTTTATATTTATTTATTTATTTTTATTTACTATTATCTTTTTTTTGAGATGGAGTCTCGCTCTGTCGCCCAGGCTGCAGTGCAGTGGCGCAAACTCGGCTCACTGCAAGTTCCGCCTCCTCGGTTCACGCCATTCTCCTGCCTCAGCCTCCCAAGTAGCTGGGACTACAGGCGCCCGCCATCAAGCCCGGCTAAATTTTTTGTATTTTTTAGTAGAGATGGGGTTTCACAGTGTTAGCCAGGATAGTCTCAATCTCCTGACCTCATGATCCGCCCGCCTCGGCCTCCCAAAGTGCTGGGATTACAGGCGTGAGCCATGGCACCCGGCCTGTTTTTTTTGTGAGATGGAGTCTTGCTGTTGCCGAGGCTGGAGAGCAAATGGCGTAATCTTGGCTCACCGCAACCTCCACCTCTCAGGTTAAGTGATTCTCCTGCTTCAGCCTCCTGAGTAGCTGGGATTACAGGCACACGCCACCAAGCCCGGCTAATTTTTGTATTTTTAGTAGAGACGGGGTATCACCATGTTGGCCAGGCTGGTCTTGAACTCCTGACCTTGTGATCCACCCACCTCCGCCTCCCAAAGTGCTGAGATTAGAGGAGTGAGCCACCACACTCAGCCTTTATAAATGGGCCTCCCTATGTTGCCCAAGCTGGTATTGAACTCCTGAACTCAAGTGATCCTCCTGCCTTGGCTTCCCAAAGTGTTGGAATTATAGGCTTGAGCCACAATGCCCAGCCTTAAAAAACCCTTAAGGCAGAGGTTTCAGTTTATTAACACCTCATTTCTAATGATGTTCTATCACGTCTCAGCCTTTTGACTAAGATCAAGTGTAGTATCTGCCGATGTTCTACCGTAATACTTTTCTTTTGAGACAGAGTCTCACTCTGTCACCCAGGCTTGAGTGCAGTAGCACAATCTCAGCTCACTGCAAACTCTGCCTCCCAGATTCCAGCAATTCTCATGCCTCAGCCTCCTGAGTAGCTGGGATTACAGAAGTGCACCACCATGCCTGGCTAATTTATGTATTTTCAGTAGAGAGGGGTTTCACCATGTTGGCCAGGCTGGTCTCAAACTCCTGGCCTCATGTGATCTGCCCATTTCAGCCTCCCAAAGTGCTAGGATTACAGGCATGAGCCACCATGCCCGGCCTCTACCGTAATTCTTTTTTTGTTGTTGTTTTTTTGGGAACGAAGTTTCACTCTTGTTGCCCAGGCTGGAGCGCAATGGCGCGATCTCAGTTTACTGCAACCTCTGCCTCCTCCTGGGTTCAAGCGATTCTCCTGCCTCAGCCTCCTGAGTAGTTGGGATTATAGGCACCCACCACCACGCCCAGCTAATTTTTGTATATTTAGTAGAGATGGGGTTTCCCCATGTTGACCAGGCTGGTCTTGAACTTCTGACCTCAGGTGATCCACCCGCCTTGGCCTCCCAAAGTGCTGGGATTACAGGCATGAGCCACTGCACCCAGCTGCTAATTTTATTTTAATTTTTATTATTTTTGAGATGGCGTTTCACTCTGTTGCTCAAGCTGGAGTGCAGTGGTACAATCACGGCCACTGTGATCATGGTGCACCTTCAACCTCCTGGGCTCAAGTGATACTCTCACCTCACCCTCCCCAGTAGCTAGGACTACAGGTTTGTGCCACCATGGCAGCTAATTTTTCTGCTTTTTTGTAGAGACGGGGTTTTACCATGTTGTCTAGGCTGGTCTAAAACTCCTGAGCTCAAACCATCTACCTGACTTGGCCTCCCAAAGTGCTGGAACTACAGTTGTGAGCCACCATGCCCAGCCTATGTTTGTTTTAAAGAAGACAAAAATTGAGGCACAGAAAGTCAACTAACTTGTACAGTTACAATTAGTAGAATCCAGATGCAATACAATCTCCCTAAATTCATCACTCACTGCCTTAATTATTATTACTCTCAACCATACTTTCTCACAACCGTTAAGATATCTGTAAAATGGACTAAAATCCATCTAAAAATGTTAAAACACTAACCCTAAACATAGGAAAATCTACAAAACCATTATAAGAAACTCCAAAACATGTGCTCTAATAACTTGTCATTTATCACCTGCAAAAACTATCTTTTGGGAGGATCAATTCATATTTAAAGAGGAAGGATATATGTTTTGTGTCTGTATAGTCCCTGTAAAACTCCAAGTAAGTGACACATTCTCTACTCTCTTGGGCATAATCCACCAAAAAGGCAAAGAAAGAAAGTTTTTAATTGAAAAAAGAAAAACACCAATAAACTTGGTATGCGGGCGAAGTCATTAGCTTACTGCCACATAAAGTAATGACACCAGTTTTTATCATTCACTTGATTTTTAGAGGCACTCCCAAAATAATTGTGTATATCTGCCTCAAAGTCAAAGGACATACAACCACAAACGCAACTTGTAACAAATTTAAACAGTAGAACTGCCCCAAGAACACCATCTCTAGATGCTGTTACCTTACCAGTTGCTTTTTCTTTTTTTGAGACGGAGTCTTGCTCCGTTGGAGTGCAGTGGCACGATCCTGGCTCACTGCAACCTCTACCTCCTGGTTTCAAGCAATTCACCTGCCTCAGTCTCCCAAGTAGCTGGGACTACACGTGCGTGCCACCATGCCTGGCTAATTTTTTTATTTTTAGTAGACACGGGGTTTCGCCACGTTGGCCTGGCTGGTCTCAAACTCCTGACTTAAGGTGATCCACTTGACTGAGACTTCCAAAGTGCTGGGATTACAGACGTGAGCCACCGCACCCTGCCCACCAGTTTCCTTTTCTACTGGAGTCTCCTCCCTATGAATTTCCAAATGTTAATGACACTTAGAAGATTCCTTTGTAGGCCAGGCACGGTGGCTCACACCTGTAATCCCAGCACTTCGGGAGGCTGAGGAGAGCGGATCACAAGTCAGGAGACTGAGACCATCCTGGCAAACATGGTGAAACCCCATCTCTACTAAAAATACAAAAATTAGCTGGGCACAGTGGTATGTGCCTGTAATCCCAGCTACTTGGGAGGGTGAGGCAGGAGAATCTCTTGAACCAGGGAGTCAGCAGTTACAGTGAGCCGAGATCGAGCCAGCGCATTCCAGCCTGGCAACAGAGCGAGACTTCGTCTCAAAAAAAAAAAAAGAAAATTCCTTTGTAAAAGTAGTGTTCTATAAAGAAAAATCTGAAGTTACTTTTATAGTAACAAAACACATGAATATCAACTCTCTTTTGGGGTCCTGATAATGACAGAAGAAATACTTCAAATATTAAGTAAAAAGCTACTAATTTAATTTTGAAAATGCCATTATAGGCTGGGCACAGCTCATGCCTGTAATCTCAGCACTTTGGGAGGTCGAGGCAGATGGATTACCTGAGGTCAGGAGTTCGAGACCAGCCTGAACAACATGGCGAAGCCCCGTCTCTACTAAAAATACAAAAATTAGCCGGGCGTGGTGGCATGCGCCTGTAGTCTCAGCTACTCAGGAGGCTGAGGCAGGAGAACCGCTGGAACGCGGGAGGCGGAGGGAACAGTGATCCGAGGTCTCGCTACTGCACTCCAGCCTGGGTGACAGAGTGCAACTCTGTCTCAAAAAGAAAAAAAAAAAAATCACAAAATAGGAGATGCTGGCTTAACACAAGAAGGCTAACCCTGAGAGTCATCCCATAAAGCAACTGCTTTGGCCAAGCGCAGTGGCTCATGCCTGTAATCCTAGCACTTTGGGAGGCCGAGGTTGGTGGATCACAAGGTCAGCAGATCTAAACCATCCTGGCCAACATGGTGAAACCCCATCTCTACTAGAAATACAAAAATTAGCTGGGTGTGGCGGCGTATGCCTGTAATCCCAGCTACTCGAGACGCTGAGGCAGGAGAATCTCTTGAACCTGGGAGGCAGAGGTTGCAGTGAGCCGAGATCGCGCCACTGTACTCCAGCCTGGCGACAGAGCTAGACTCCATCTCAAAAAAAAAAAAAGGAACTGCCTACTCTAATATTAAGCTCCGCCTAGTGCCAAGTATTAAAGGGAAGGCTAGAATGCTATTATACAAAGGAGTTCAGTGACAGGCCACTCTAGGTGACTGACACATAAGGCACCTTCCACATTATACTGGAACAACCATCAGACTTACCTGTGTTTTCGCAGATATGTTTCTAGTGTTTCTAAAAGACAACTCGAGTCAATTAAAACTACTTCATCCCTGCATTCCTGCGACATTAGTTCCCATACATCCATCCAACAACCTCTGTAGAAAGAACAAATATTAGTGAAAAGGGAGAATACAGAAGGGTAAAACCTTAAAAAAACAAAAAACAGATTAAAGTATTGCTTGTTTTTACCTGGCTGTTCCCTGGAAACGTCCATAATGGAAAATGATCCTATACTTGCCGTCCTTCCTGTGGCCTTCACTATTTCTCATCTGTACTTAACTTCTCTGAACTGACACTGCTACTGCTCCCTTCACCGTAGTATAGTACAAAGCTTAGTGACACTGAGATAATCTGAAGAAATAATTTCTATAGTCTAAATTAAAATCATGAACACTTTAATGATTAAGATATTAGAACATGTTTACAAATTATATGATTACATACTCACTTTATATTAATATAACGTTCATTTAAATGTGTGCTCATATCTTTATATAAAAACTTCTGCTTGACTATCAAGTTTATCTGATACAATTTAACAACATCTGTAGTTATCAAGAGAGCAACTGGTTAATAAACTAAGTATTCTATGAGCAAATATAGTTGGAATGTTCTAAAGTCAAAATGACCGAAAAAATTATCAAGTATTTTCCCTTTTAAACACAGACCAATCTTCCACAAATTGAAAATTCTAAGAAGTTTTGATCTACTTAATGAGATCATCATCAAGTAATTTTTTTTTTACTTTTATTTTGTAGAGACAAGGTCTCTACTATGTTGCCCAGCCTGGCCTCAAACCCCTGACCTCAAGCCATTCTCCCACCTCAGCCTCCCAAAGCACTGGGATTACAGGTGTGAGCCACCATGCTCAGCTCAATTTTTTTTTTGTAATCACTCCTTTTTAAAGCTAAACCATGGTAACAAAACTATCATCTACCTTCACATGTATAAGTAGCTGGGAAGGTCATAGATTAATTACAGTGAATAAGTTTTACATTTACTAAAAGATAGTACACTAAGACGAACACTTTATACAGCCTAAATTAATAAGAACTATGTGGTAATTTTTTTTTTTTTGAGACAGATTCTCGCTCTGTCACTCAGGCTGGAATGCAGTGGCGTGATCTTGGCTCAGTGCAACCCCACCCCTGCAGGGGCTCAAGTGATCCTCCTACCTCAGCCTCCCGAATAGCTAGGACCATAGGCGTGTACCACCACACCAGGTTATTTTTATTTTTTTATTTTTTGTATTTTTTAAGTAGAGACAGCAGGGTCTTGTCATGTTGCCCAGGCTGATCTCCGACTCCTCAGCTCAAGCAATCCACCCACCTCAGCCTCCCAAAGGGCTGGGATTACAGGCGTGAGCCACCAAGCCCAGCCCTATACAATTTTTTAACAAACTTACTAAAAACTTCCCACTCTCCCTCCCCAACAGGGTTCAACTTCAGTATGAAAATTGCCACACATTTTGCTTTGTTGCAGCACATTTATCTTGGACCTGCATTCCAAGGGAAATGTGGGTTTACACTCCATTCAATCACAGCCTTCTTGATTTTTCATGATTCTGAACAACTGGCTCCTGTCTGTTCTTCTGCAGGTCTCAGTACAGTCCAAGGAATTCATTACACCTTGGACGCCAGAGACGGAAAAACCTCTGAACTTTTAACTTACTCTATGTAGCTAAATGGGTATTTCTCAACCCTCTGCCTAAAATGTAAGTTATCCACACAATTCAGCTCTGTACTCCCTCTCACAAGGGCTCAGGCCAAGGTTTAGCTCCCCTTATTTGTGACAACAAAAACATCATCTGTTCCACTTTCCATGCTACATCCTTCTATTCTCAACTCTGATATTTCCTTTTTGAGACAGAGTCTCACTCTGTCGCCCAAGCTGGAGTGCAGTGGTGTGATCTCGGCTCACTGCAACCTCCGCCTCCCAGGTTCAAGCGATTCTCCTGCCTCAGCCTCCCAAGTAGCTGGGACTACAGGCGTGTGCTACCACACCTGGCTAATTTTTGTATTTTTAGTAGAGACGGGGTTTCGCCATATTGGCCAGGCTGGTCGCGAACTCCTGACCTCGTGATCTGCCTGCATCGGCCTCCCAAAGTGCTGGGATTACCAGTGTGAGCCACCCCGCCCAGCCCCTTTTATTAACTATACTTGATCAGTATAATGCATAATTTCCCAGAACTGAAAAACTCTCAAACTCAAGCTCTCATAATTGAGGGAAAGGTTCATAAAGAGAAATCAGCTAAAGAATGATTATTATATCATTAGAATGTGAAGGCATTTTTTTTTTAAAAAAAAGCTCTATAAAAAAAATCTGTATCTCAAATCAGGATTTTATTTATAAACATTCTAGACCTTATGCCTTCTATTATTCTTTTAAGATCAAACTTTCCAAAAAAATAACCTTTCCACTTTCTGATTCTGCTCCCATACTCTCCATTCACAGCTTAATCCATGACAACCTTACATTGCATTCACTTTTCAATCATTGCAACCTGGATTCTGCTTCCACTCAATCACTAGCTCAGCTCTTCAAGATCACCAATTATCTCATTGTTACTAAATCCAATGTCCACTTTTGGGTCCTTGATAACTTGGCCGCATTTAATATAGTTGATCAGACTTCCTTGGAACGCTTTTACACCTTGGCTTCCTTCTACCTATCTGGCTACTCTTTCTCAGGTTTCTTTACTAATTTCTTTTCTACCATTAAATTCCTCAGAATTCTTTTACTCTCTTTCCCTTTAGGTGATCTTACATAACATTCTCTAAGATAAACTACAGGCCTACAACTCCAGCCTAGATCTTTCTTCCAGATCTCAAACTTACTCCCAGACAGACAATAACCTGGGTTTACTTGCATAGATGAGAGAATACTCTCAGAAAGGCTGACCTAGATTTCTATTTATTAGGCTAAAACCTAATCAACTGTATTATACTTTCTCTGGAAATAGACTAAACAAATTAAAAAAGCTATGGGGGGTGGGGATGTAGCAGCAGGAGGGGGAGTGGAAATACATAAAATGGAGAATCATAGTAGCATTTAATAGTGGTGACCATCCAAGGGAGAGGGAGCCTTGGCTAAGCATACTGTACTGCTTAGCCTGCTATTCTATGTGGCCTGTGGGAATAACTGAAGCTACCTTAATCAAGAGACAGACACCACTTAAGATCAATTAAGTCCATTCACACTGATTCCATACTCAGCAAACAGCCTTCTAAAACATATGACTTCCCATGTAGTGGAACTGTAGCTAGAAGGGGATGTAAAATCTGTGGAGGTTTGTTTTGTTTCTTAAGCTGAAAGATAGGAAAACAGAGCTGAATGTAAATTTAACAAAAGTAGGTAACTGAATAAGCAAAGTGATTGAAAACAAAGAAAATGGAGTGCAGAGCAAGAGTGGAAGGATTGGTCTTTGAAGGAAGGCAGCAATGAACACAGATGCATAAAATGCTGGGCTACTTGCTTCTCAGTTCATCAACAAAGAATATGCTTAACAGAAAAAAAGCACCAGAAGGCAAGCTCTTTACTGTATCATACCACTTTAGGCCTTCAGCCAACAGGTCATCTCTAATGTGAAAAATTAGCCTGTACTCTGCATTTAGAGTCAGAAATTCTCTGAAGCTACTGACAAATCTGAGAAGGAAGAATGAGCTGATGAAAAAATAAAAAATAAAAAATTTTTAAAAGATACTGACAAATTGGGCCAGGCGCCGTGGCTCACGCCTGTTAATCCCAACACTTTGGGAGGCCAAGGCGGGTTGATCACCTGAGGTCAGGAGTTCGAGACCAGCCTGGCCAACCTGGTGAAACCCTGTGTCTACTAAAAATACAAAAATTAGCCGGGCATGGTAGCAGGTGCCTGTAATCCCAGCTACTTGGGAGGCTGAGGCAGGAGAATCACTTGAACCCAGGCGGCAGAGGTTGCAGTGAGCCGAGATCGCGCCACTGCACTCTAGCCCGGGTGACAGGGGAAATTCCATCTCAAAAAAAAAAAAAGAATTTGAAAGAAAGAAAAAAAAAAGATACTGACAAATCAAGCAGCAAAATAACAACTATCCTTAAGAAAACTTCTTTTCTTCAGGCTACAAGAACATAATGTGTGGTTCTTGTTTGGATCCTGATTCATACAAACCAACATTCAAAAAAAAAAAAAAAACCAGAAACAGGTAAAATCTAAGTATGAACTGGGTATTCGATTGTTACACTTAATTTTGTTAGGTGTTATGATGGCAATGTGTGAAAAAAAATGTCCATATATTTAGAGATGCATGTGGAAGGATGCAATAGAGTAACACGAAGCCTGGGACTTGCTTTAAAATACAAAGAAAAAGGTGGATAAATGAAGCAAGTGTGGCAACTCTTGATTACTACTAAATCTTGGTAAAAGTGCATGGGAGGTTCAATCATTGTATTTTTTACTTTTCTATGTTTGACAATTTTACTAATAAAATTTATTTTATTTATTTATTTATTTATTTCGAGACAAAGTCTCACTCTTGTCGCCCAGGCTGGAGTGCAATGGTGCGATCTTGGCTCAATGCAACCTCTGCCTCCTGGATTCAAGCGATTCTCCTGCCTCAGCCTCCCAAGTAGCTAAGATTACAAGCACCTGCCACCACGCCTGGCTAATTTTTGTATTTTTAGTAGAGACAGGGTTTCACCATGTTGGCCAGGCCGGTCTCGAACCCCCGACCTCAGAGAATCCACCCAACTTGGCCTCCCAAAGTGCTGGGATTACAGGCGTGAGCCACCACGCCCAGCCTTTTTTTTTTTTTTTTTTTTTTTTTTTTTTGAGACAGAGTCTCGCTCTGTCGCCCAGGCGACACGATCTCAGCTCACTGCAACCTCCACCTCTTGGGTTCAAGCAATTCTCCTGCCTCAGCCTCCTAAGTAGCTGGGATCACAGATGTGTGCCACCATGCCTGGCTAATTTTTATATTTTTAGTAGAGATGAGGTTTCCCCATGTTGGTCAGGCTGGTCTCGAACTCCTGACCTTGTGATCTGCTCGTCTCGGCCTCCAAAAGTGCTGGGATTACAGGCATGAGCCACTGCACCCGGCCGATAAAATGTTTTAAATATTTTTTGTTGCTCGGTATAGGGGAAAAAAACTTAATAGATTATTAACATACCACTGCCTGGTCATCCAAGTCTTTGTGTCAGGGAGGAAAATGTCTATACAATAATGGTGTAACTCGGAAGTTCAGGTCAAAAAAAAAAAAAAATCAAAAAAAGGTGACAATGACACAAATGAGATATTTAAAAATTAACTTTTCAGAGGCCAGGTGCAGTGGCTCACGCCTGTAATCCCAGCACTTTGGGAGACCAAGTCAGGCAGATCACTTGAGGCCAGGAGTTTGAGATCAGCCTGGGCAACATGGCGAAACCCCGTCTCTATTAAAAATCCAAAAAAATTAGCCAGGAGTGGTGGCGAACACCTGTAATCCCAGCTACTCAGGAGGCTGAGGCACAAGAATTGCTTGAACCCAAGAGGCAGAGGTTGCATGAGCTGAGATCGTACCACTGCACTCCAGCCTGAGTGACAGAGCAAGACTGTGTCTCAAAAAAATAATTAAAAGATAAAATTAATAAAGAAGTATAGTTTTTTAATATCCCATTCTCTCCAAAACTAAAGTCACGTCTTAGAAAGTCCCTTCACACTCCATGGCTTCGCCTCACTATCCCCACCCCCAGGCAATTTTGTAGGGGACAACTATGGCACTGTGCTGGGAGAAAGTGAAAAAGCAGCCTTGGACACTATAGCACTTAATCAAGAAGAAAACTACAAATTATTATCAGGCAATATTTGCTTAAAAAATAAAATAGGCCGGGCGCGGTGGCTCACGCCTGTAATCTCAGCACTTTGGGAGGCCGAGGTGGGCGGATCATGAGGTCAGGAGATCGAGACCATCCTGGCTAACACGGTGAAACCCTGTCTCTACCAAAAATACAAAAAATTAGCCGGGCTTGGTGGCACGCACCTGTAGTCCCAACTACTCGGGAGGCTGGGGCAGGAGAACAGCTTGAACCCAGGAGGCAGAGGTTGCAGTGAGCCGAGATGACGCCACTGCACTCCAGCCTGGGCGACAGAGGAGACTCCATCTCAAAAAATAATAATAAATATAGAAAACTACAAATTAGTTACATAAATACATATTGTCATAATATCGTCATAACTACTTTTTTTAAAACCTTGGTAAATTACAGCTAGAGACAAGAAAGATAAATAATTTATACATTATGACTATTCTGTAGATCAAATAATGATTACCACTACTTTGAAAACGTTCATATTAGCTGCATACATTTCCATAAAGACTTCAACCGGCCGAGTGTGGTGCCTCACACCTGTAATCCCAGCACTTTGGAGGCTGAGGTGGGCGATCACCTGAGGTCAGGAGTCCGAGACCAGCCTGGCCAATAGGGTGAAACCCCATATCTACTAAAAATACAAAAATTAGCCAGGTGTGGTGGCACGCACCTGTAGTCCCAGCTACTCAGGAAGCTGAGGCAGGAGAATCATTTGAACCAGGGAGGTGGAGGTTGCAGTGAGCTGAGATTGTGCCACTGCACTCCAGCCTGGGAAATAAAGGGAGACTCCGTCTCAAAAAAAGAAAAAAAAAAAGACTTCAACCTCCCTCCTCTAAAACATATTTAACATAAAAAAATTTTTTTAAATCAGATCTACATTGAGACTTTATATATATCAAGGCAAAATGGCCAACATAACAAGAGGATCTATTTATTTTGACCTATGTCATAGAGTATAACCAATTAATGAATTAAAGCAAACAGTGGGTTTATTTCTTTTACTAAATATGATCAAATATATAATCTTAACAATGACAAAGCCTCTTGGTATTCAATTCTACTTACCCCAAAGGTTTTGGCTTGTGCGTATCTAAGGAGTGCAACTGACATCTCTTATTCTTCTTACTTTTTGGAATAGCATCTATCATGTCATTTAGTTTGGACCTAATTAAAAATAAAACATATTAAGGGTTTAATTCATTTTACTTTCAAATTTTAAAATCTCTATTTACTGTCTTTTAGAGAGAAGTCTCAAAACAAAACACAAAAAAACCACTTTTCTCTATCCCCACTGTATCTAGCAGTGTGCCTGGCACTCACGTTATTTCAACACTGACTGCTACCTGACTCTCAGCCATCTTCCCTTGCCCAGCCATTATGTAAATACACCAGTTGCAGAAGCACACACCTGTAGTCCCGGCTATTTGGGAGGCCGAGGTGAAAGGATCACTTAAGCCCAAGGGTTTGAGACCAGCCAGGGCAACATAGTGAGATCCCATGTCTTTAAAAAATATATAAAAACCTCACAAAACATTATGTAAACACAATACATCCTTGAAGAGGAGTCATCAACAGAACTTTTATGCAAATATGGAATACACACTACTACTATCCGCACCTTCCATCCAACCAATGAGCAAAGTTTGCCAATTCTACCTTTTAAATATTATCTAGAATCAGGCCTGGTGCAGTAGCTCATGCCTATAATCCCAGCACTTTGGAAGGCTGAGGTAAGAGGATCACTTGAGGCCAGGAGTTCAAAGCCAGCCTGGGTAACATAGCAAAATTTTCATCTCTACAGAAAATTTTAAAATGAGGCCAGGCATGGTGGCTCACACCTGTAATCCCAGCACTTTGGGAGACTGAGGCCAGGAGTTAAGAGACCAGCCTGGCCAACATGGAGAAACTCTATTTCTGCTAAAAAAAATACAAAAATTAGACAGGTGTGGTGGTGCACGCCTGTAATCCCAGCTTCTCAGGAGGCTGAGGCACGAGAATCACTTGAATCTGGGAGGCGGAGGTAGCAATGAGCCAAGATTGCACCACTGCACTCCAGCTTGAGACAGAGTGAGACTTTGTCTCAAAAAAATTAATAAATAAGATAGAATAAAAGCTAAATAAAAATTAACCAATCTAGAATCAGATCACTTCTTATCACCTCTACCATTATCATCCCTGTCCAACCCACCAATCTCTAGCTTAGTCAACTGCAATAGCTGGCCTCCTAAATGGTCTCCTTGCTGCACCTTCTGCCCTTTACATTCCAGGCCTCACTCAGCAGCTACAGTGATCCTTTTAAAATATGAATCAGATTACATTATTCCTCTGTTCAAAAACACTCCAAGGCTTATTTTCTCAAGCCCAGGCACAGTAAATATCAAAAGTCCCTACCACCATCTCTAAATAGGAAAGCCTCGGGTTTACTTTTCAGACCTCTTCTTCTTTTCCTATTTATATTCACTAAATGAGACAAATTTACATCTCTAACCCAGACCTCTCTGAATTCTATTTGGATGTCTAATCGCTATCTCAAACTTAGCACACCCAAAGATGAGCTCTGTTACATTTCTCCTCAGTCTCGTCCCTCTCGGTAAATGGTAACCATTTGCCCATTCTTTTTTTTTTTTTTTTTTTTTTTTTGAGACAGAGTCTCGCTCTGTTGCCCACGCTGGACTGCAGTGGCGCAATCTTGCCTCACTGCAACCTCCGCCTCCCGGGTTCAAGCGATTCCCGTCTCAGCCTCCTGAGTAGCTGGGATTACAGGTGCCTGCCACCACGCCCGGCTAATTTTTTATTTTTAGTAGAAATGGGGTTTCACCATGTTGGCCAAGCTGGTTTCAGACTCCTGACCTCTGGTGATCCACCCTCACCGACCTCCCAAAGTGCTGGGATTATAGGTGTGAGCAACCACGCAAGGCCTGTTGTCCATTCTTTACATCACAAATCTGAGAATCATCTTTGATGGCCTCCCTCACAACCAATCTATCCAAAAAATCCCACTGGCTCATTCCTCAAAATATATCCAGGATCCTTTATAACCATTTTTCACTACCTCCAAAGCCGTCATTCATTCTCAATACAGAGGTCAAAGTAAGCCAGATTTCATCAGACTATGCCACTCTTCTGCTCAAAACCTTCCCAAAGCTTGTCACCTCACTCAGAGTAAAAAAAAAAAGACCTCAGCCAGGCACGGTGGCTCACGCCTGTAATCCGAGCACTTTGGGAGTCCAAGGCGGGCAGATCGCCTGAGGTCAGGAGTTCAAGACCAACATGGCCAACATAGCGAAACCCTGTCTCTACTAAAAAATAAAAAAAAAGTCAAGCGTGGTAGTGGGCACCTGTAATCCCAGCTACTTGGGAGGCTGAGGCAGGAGAATCGCTTGAACCCGGGAGGCAGTGGTTGCAGTGAGCTGAGATCGAGCCATTGCACTCCAGCCTGGGCAACAATAGTGAAACTCTGTCTGAAAAAATAAAAATATGACTGGACCTTTTATTACCTTTTTTTTTTTTTTTTTTTTTTTTGAGATGGAGCTTTACTCTTGTTGCCCAGGCTGGAGTGCAATGTGCGATCTCAGCTCACTGCAACTGCCGCCTCCCGGGTTCAAGAGATTCTCCTGCCTCAGCCTCTCGAGTAGCTGGGATTACAGGGACCCGCCACCACTCCTGGCTAATTTTTTGTATTTTTAGTAGAGACTCGGTTTCAGCGTGTTGCCCAGGCTAGTCTTGAACTCCTGAGCTCAGGCAATCCAACTGCCTCGGCCTCCCAAAGTGTTGGGATTATAGGCGTGAGCCACCGCGCCCAGTCGCTCTTCTTTTTTTCTTTTTGAAACGGAGTCTCGCTCTGTCGCCCTGGCTGGACTGCAGTGGCGTGATCTCGGCTCACTGCAACCTCTGCCTCCTGGGTTCAAGTGATTCTCCTGCCTCAGCCTCCTGAATAGCTGTGATGACAGCCATGCGCCACCATGCTCAGCTAATTTTTGTATTTTTAGTAGAGATGGGGTTTCACCACGTTGGTCAGGATGGTCTCGACCTCCAGACCTCATGATCTGCCTGCCTTGGCCTCCCAAAGTGCTGGGATTACAGGCGTGAGCCACCGCGCCCGGCCTTATTACTCTGCTGACCCCATCTTTTATTACTGTTCCCTTCATTCATCTGGCTCCAGCCACAAGGGCTTCCTTACTATTCCTCAAACATGCCAATAAAACCCCAACCTCAGAACCTTTACACTAGCTGTCCCTTCTCTGCCTTCCCCCCAGTTTTCTACAAGATTTGCTTGCTCACTTCATTCAAATCTATATTCAATGTCATTTTATCAGGGAGGCCTTCCCTGACCATCCTCCACAATAATTCTACCCCCACTCCATTCTCTACCTCCCTTACTGATTTTTCTAACTTATCATCCCTGACAAATTGAATATTTGCTTTCTGTCTGCCTCTCCCCACGTGGAGAGTTGAAACTTTACATCCACTGGTACATACAACTTACTCAATAAAATTATTAAATCAGACTCAATCTTTCCATCAAGAAAATAAGCTGCCACTGTCACCAAGCTGTTTTAAATTTTAACAAACCCATTTTCTCCTAATTGATTATACTTACCCATGTACATAAAATAATGTATAAAGCTTCTTTGCATCAGTCATGCAGCTTCTAGTTACAGACAGGACTCCCTTGGGCCCTACTGTTAGGGGTTCAAGAGCAGGATTTCCAGACTCTACAAGCTGGGAAAAGAGACGCTCCACACTGCGACGACAACCAACACATGGGACAAGCTGAGAAAGTGCACTCAGGACTTCGCGTGATGTCACCACCATGGCAATACTTAGATCCTGTTGCTTAAGCATACCATGTCGCTGAAAGAGGGAAAGAAAATGAAAGAGTGTCCTTTAAAAAGACGTAAAATTACACTTTCACTACTACTGGTTCCTATCCTTGTGCAGTAAAGTACAACCTGGCCAGGGTTTACCAGCTCTACCTGCAACTGAGTCAGAAAGGCAAAGTAGTCAGCTTTGTCCATGCTGTACGGAATTTCCTCCACAAACCCCCTTGCTCTAGAATCTAGGGTATATAAACAACTCTGCTTAGGATGCCAAAAAGCAGTACTGCATCTGGAAATGTAGGGCTGGTTCAGTGAGTATTAGGCCAGTCCTCTCACAAAAAAAAAAAAAAAAAAAAAAAAAAAAAGCACAATACAGCTGTACCTTTTTTTTAAGTTTGTTTGTTTTTGTTTTTTGAGACGGCATCTTGCTCTCTCGCCAGGCTGGAGTGCAGTAGCACAATCTCAGCTCACTGCAACCTCTGCCTCCTGGGTTCAAGCAATTCTCCTGCCTCAGCCTCCCGAGTAGCTGGGACTACAGGTGTGCACCACCACGCCCGGCTAATTTTAGTATTTTTAGTAGAGATGGGGTTTCACCATGTTGGCAAGGATGGTCTTGATCTTTTGACCTTGTGATCCACCCGCCTCAGCCTCCCAAAGTGCTCGGATTACAGGCGTGAGCCACCACGCCTGGCCTGTTTTTTTTGTTTTGTTTTGTTTTGACAACTTTTAACAACACACTTACTATCACTATGTTTAGCTACAGGAGTCAAGTTAGGATGGTAATCATATGGAGCAGCAATTCCCAATCCAGAGGCATGAACAGGTATATTACGAATTAATGGGAGAAAACATGGCCTATCTTCCTTATGTAGGGAAGTAACTAGCATGCTGCTGCTTATGAATTGTATCTGCTGGTTATGACAAGGTAGAAAAATAACTGAGAGCTACTGTTGCAGAGAAATGAGCAAACTCTAGTAAGTAACTTCTACCTGATGGAGTTATAGTTAACTGCAGTTAACACTTTCAGATTTGCCAAAAACGGATAGGAAAGTAGGACAATTCCCAAGAAGCATTTTCTCACATTTACCATTACCCTTCCATTCAAAGTTTTCCTAAAAGTAGAAATAAGAGTTCTGAAGTAAACTAACAAGTCATCTTCCAATATCTTAATTACAGTCAGCCCTCCATATCCATGGGTTCTACATCTGTGAATTTAACCAACCAAGGATCGAAAATATTTGACAGGAAATACTAAACATGTACAGACTTTTCTTCCTTGTCATTATTCCCTAAAGATGCAGTATAACTACTATTTACACAGCATTTACATTGTATTAGGTACTATAAGTAATCTAAATATGCTTTAAAGTATATGGGAGGATGTGCAGAGGTTACATGCAAATATACATCTTATTTTTTCTGAGACAAGGTCTCACTCTATTGCCCAGGCTGGAGTGCAGTGATGCGATCTCAGCTGACTACAACCTCTGCCTCCTGGGCTCAAGAGATCCTGTCACCTGAACCTACGGAGGAGCTGGGACCCCAGGCACATGCTGCCATGTCTGCCCAACTTTTTTGCATTTTCTGTAGAAACAGGGTTTTGCCATGTTGCCCAGGCTGGTCTCCAACTACTGAACTCAAGCGATCCACCTGCCCTGGCCTCCCAAAGTGCTGGGATTACAGGCATGAGCCACCATGCCTAGCCCTTACTATATCATTTTGTATAAGCATTGTGGATTTTGGTTTGCCTAGGGATCCTTGAACTATCCCCCACGGATACTGAGGGACCACTATACATTGCATTTAAGTGTATTTATAAAGCACTATATTTCTCAGGAATTAAACAAACATCAGAAAATTCATAATATAGGATTACTTTGTCTGAACAAAACAATTAGTACAGCAGAAAACCAACAAGTTTTTAATGAAAAATTATATACCTTATCTTTTAAAAACTAGGAAAGATGGCCTGGTTTTAAAATTAAAGTCTTATGGACATGTAAAATATTAACACACCACCACCAATTCTTTTTCACATGGCAGTTACATAAATCATGTAAATAACTATGCATGCTTACTATAGCAATGGTGAAAGAGCAATTCCAGTGCAATATTAAGACCTAGAGAATCCTATATAAAATTAATACAGCTAAATTTTAAATGAGTCTTTAAAATACACATACACCATTAAAAACACTGATTGAAAAAACTATTACCTGAATGAACTGCTTTAGCTGTGCACCATTATTCTGATGTCCATCGAGATTTAACACATTATCAGGAAATTCCATCACCATCTTAAAATGCAAACAGAACGGAAATCAATTACTTTACCCCTCTGAGAACAGGATACAGCCTACAAACTCCAGAAATAGACCCGTGAAAGCCAGATTTGCACCCATCCCTAGCCCCTCAAAAAATTTTGTTAAATCCAAGTACATGGCCTGGTGCGGTGGCTCACACCTATAATCCCAGCACTTTGGGAGGCCAGTGGGGTGGGGGGCGGCGGATCACCTGAGGTTGGGAGTTCGAGACCAGCCTGACCAACATGGAGAAACCCCATCTCTACTAAATACATAAAATTAGGCAGGTTTGGTGGCGCATGCCTGTAATCCTAGCTACTTGGGAGGCTGAGCCAGGAGAACCACTTGAACCCGGGAGGCAGAGGTTGCAGCGAGCTGAAATCGCACCACTGCACTCCAGCCTGGACAACAAGAGTGAAACTCTGTCAAAAAAAAAAAAAAAAAAAAAAAAAAAAAAAAAATTCAAGTACATAAGACAAGTTTCCATTTTTTTTTTTTTTTTTTTGAGACGGAGTCTTGCTCCGTCACCTAGGCTGGAGTGCGGTGGCATGATTTAAGCTCATCACAACCTCCACCTCCTGGGTTCAAGCAATTCTCCTGCCTCAGCCTCGCGAGTAGCTGGGATTACAGGAACCCACCACCAAGCCCAGCTAATTTTTGTATTTTTAGTAGAGATGGGTTTTCACCATGTTGGCCAGGCTGGTCTCGAACTCCTGACCTCAGCCTCCCAAAGTACTGGGATTACAGTCGTGAGCCACTGTGCCTGGCCAGAACAGTACCTGCCTGGCACATAGTAAATGTTTGCTCTAATTATGAACAAAAAGGGCACATTGATATACTTATTCAATTATCAAAATTCACTACCATAGGAAGGCATATGAAACTTAAGGAGGCTTCACTATGTCACATAATGGGAATGTGTAATTAGTACATTTTACTGATCTGTTGTCACACCACAGATTTTTAGTACCATAGTTATGTATCACTACAAGCCATTTTTACTATAAGATGTCATCAAATTCAAGCAGCATCCTGATTTCAGGTATTAAAATGTGGGGGAAAAAGATATGCCTTCAAAACAATGAAAGTAACACATGTATATCTTAACTAAAACATTGTTAAAGATCAAACATATCGTACTAGGACAAACTATTTCCACATTGCCACATAACAAGGACCACAAACTCCTACAAAATCAAAGAGTGAAGTCAAGAGAAAAACACCGATTTAAGGCAAAAACAAAATATCCCTACCCAGTTGAATGCGATCTTAAAAAGATCACTCCCTTCCCCAACCAGCACCAGAGACCTGCTTCTTTAATAGATGTAACCATTCCTTTCCTTCCATATTAGAGAAATTTAAAACATGTTTGTTCTAACAGCAAAATGAGGCCTCATTAACAGCTAAGTCAAACGTAAGCAATAGATTTAAGAGTTTTTCTTGATAACGGAGGAATATGAGATATATGAAGTACAGAGACAAATAGATACTAAAGGATAGACTATGATGCAAATACTAACATAATCCAGACTGCATGTGCAACACACTTCAAATTTTCAGTGTGTATACTTTATCTTTCAAAAAAGGAAAACATATTAGATGTGGCTATCTCTAGGTAGTAAGACAACTTTTTCTGTATGTGTTCCTATATTTCCCAAATGTATTACAATGCATATATACTATATATTATGGCAGGGGAAGAGTTAATGCTCCTTGCTTCCAATTCTATATTCACTATACCATGTTTAGAGACATGCTTCCATTTCAATAGCTTTTTTTTTTTTTTTTTTTTGAGACAGAGTCTTGTTCTGTCACCCAGGCTGGAGTGCAGTGGCACAATCTCGGCTCACTGCAACCTCCGCCTCCCAGGTTCAACCAATTCTCCTGCCTCAGCCTCCTGAGTAGCTGGGATTACAGGCACCTGCCACCAAACATGGTTAATATTTTGTATTTTTAGTAGAAACAGGGTTTTGCCATGTTGCCCAGGCTGGTTTCAAACTCCGGAGCTCAGGCAATCTGCCTGCCTCGGACTCCCAAAGTGCTGGGATTACAGGCGTGAGTCACCACGCCTGACCCATTTCAATAGCTTTTACCATTCTGAAAGTTTTTTCTTCCATGCATACAGATGAAATGTCCAAATGTCAATTATCCAATTTTCAGGTTTATCAACCCTGACATCTTGTTTCTAGTTTTCCTTCTCAGTCTTATTAATACCTCTAAAGGGGGGTAGCAATAAGTAATAATAAAGACACTTCATGTGTATTAGACATTGTTATAAGCACTTTCATACATTAACTTTATCAACAGCACAAAGCAAAACTGAAGTCAATGGTCTATTTTAATGCTGTAGCTATCAATAATCTGGTGAGGATGACTGAAAAGAGCAAAATATCTAATGAACCATACTGCCTATTGTATTTATTCTAATTAACATGCTCTACTCAAATTTAAAAAAATAATAATAATCCTGGTATTGGAAATCCTGGTCCAGAAAACTATTATAATAAAAGCAATAAAATAGTTAATAGTTCAATTAACTCATATTTTCTGGAATCATCAAAAGGTTTAAGACACACAAAAATTTAACTGTCAAGTCATTAAAAAGGTATAAACTTTTAGAGCCATGTAACTCAACAGAATATTGGAGGTCACTCCAAACCTACCATTTAAGTAACTAATACCTTGATTTATATTTTCATTTGCTTGATACAAATATACACCATTTCACCACATACCAATAGCCGTAATAAAAAATGACAATTATCTATACTGTTTAAAGATCAAAGCTATCAATTTAAGAAACAAAGAATATTCCTTATTTAACCAAATCAAAATCTCTCCAGTCTGGTTCTTAGGCAAAATCCTAAATTCTGACTCAGTATGTATTTATATTCTGATCAACTGTTTTAAAAATTGAAACGGAGATCAAAGAACACATCTAATAATACTGAGACCTGCGAGCTGATTTGTAAAATTTTTTTTTTGAGACAGGGTCTCAACTCTGTTGCCTAGGCTGGAGTGCAGTAGCTCAATCTCGACTCACTGCAGCCTCTGCCTCCCAGGTTCAAGCAATTCTCCCAAGTAGCTGGGATTACAGGCGTACCACCATGCCCAGCTAATTTTTGTATTTTTAGTAGAGACAGGATTTCACCATGTTGGCCAGGCTGGTCCTGAACTCCTGACCTCAGGTGATCCACTCTCCGAGGCCTCCAAAAGTGCTGGGATTACAGGCATGAGCCACCGCGCCCAGCCTAAAATATTTTAATTATATGGATAATACCTGATTTAGGAATTCTTTCTAAGAAGTCAATAAAGAAGCCGGTGGCTCACGCCCGTAATCCCAGCACTTTGGGAGGCCCAGGCGGGTGGATCACCTGAGGTCGTGAGTTCAAGACCAGCCTGACCAACATGGAGAAACCCTGTCTGTACTAAAAATACAAAAAATTAGCCATAGTGGCACATGCCTGTAATCCTAGCTACTTGGGAGGCTGAGACAGGAGAATCACTTGAACCCAGAAGGCGGAGGTTGTGGTGAGCCAAGATCGTGCCATTGCACGCCAGCTTGAGCGACAAGAGCAAAACTCGGTCTCAAAAAAAAAAAAAAGTCAATAAAGAACACGGTTATTTTTAAAAACAAAACTTGTTTCCAATCATTTCATTTTCACCTAATTAGTAGCAAAAATACTAAGATCTAATCTATTTCTATCTTTCCTGGTTTCATCAGCTTGCATACTACTAAATTTTCTCTTGTATTTACTCACTACTCTGGCTGGAGACAATGCACTCAAACTAAATACTCTGTCCTCGCCTTTCAAACACTTAGGACAATGGCTTTTTACCTTACTGTTTTCTGGCCAATCACTATATGCTGTTCAGTGTTTTAAGAGATGAAAATAAAAAGGGGAAGGCAAAGAGGCTAGTAGCACAATTTGTTCTTCATTCTTTAAAACCACTTCCTTAACTTAATCTTGAGATTCTAGGTTACCTAAAGGAAGACAGTCCTGTAAAGTATTTCAGGTGTGGTTTTATAGAGGCATCATTAGCATTCAGCTTCATGAAGAGGTTCCCTACCCATAGCTAGCAACAAATAGAACAAGTCATTGTGCTGCAATTACTGCTTTATAAAGTTTATTGAATCAATTACCCACTTTCACTCTTAAGTATCTGTTCTGGTTTCTCCTGACCACAAAAAAAACCTGTTTTTAGCGCATTCTCACAAGTTCTAACCAACAATATACTAAGTTTGCATTTATTAAAATCACTGTCATTTTGGTTTTACTCCACACAGCTATTTGTAACATCTATCACCCTCAGTAAAATTAACTGTTAAAAGTTGAAAGAAAACATTAAATGCTAACTTTTAACAATTACAAAACATCTAATTCCCAAGTGGATATGCCACCATTTATCATTTTTTTAAAGTGTAAGACATTAAGAACTCTTACCAGATTAATGCTGTACATGCAAACAAGAACAAAAAGAAAAAAAAAACAAAACCCCAAACTCTTATCAGAGTAGTCTATTTAGATTGGTTTAAATTAGGAGAGTAAACTGCAATGCAGAAATGTAACAATCTGGCCGGGCGCATTGGCTCACGCCTGTAATCCCACCACTTTGGGAGGCCGAGGCAGGCAGATCACTTGAGGTCAGGAGTTCGAGACCAGCCTGGCCAAAATGGTGACGCCTCGTCTCTACTAAAAATACAAAAACTAGCCGGGCATGGTGGCGGGCGCCTGTAATCCCAGCTACTCAGGAGGTTGAGGCCCAAGAATCACCTGAACCTGGAAGGCGGAGGTTGCAGTGAGCCAAGATCACACCACTGCACTCCAGCCTAGGTGACACAGTGAGACTCCATCTCGAAAAAAAAAAAAAGAAATATCATAGCAATCTGACAATATGTACCTGGAACTTTACAAAAGGTTCTTATCCTTTGATCCAACCAGTAATTCCACTTCCAAAAGCCTGAGAAAACATTTTAATGCAAAGATTTTTGCATTATTTATGTTCTTACAGTTTATTCATAGCAAAAACTAGAACAACCTCCATGTCCAACAGTGGAAAAATAATTACAGAATGTCATACAACGGAATATTACACAGCCATTAAAAATGTTTAAGAATGACAAGAAAAAATGTTTTCAAAATTACATTTAGTGAAATAAATAAGGACAAAAAGTTACAGAATATATTAACTGTATCTGTGTGTCTAGGACTGAAATTACACCAAATGTGCTTATCCCTGAGAAGCATGACTAAGGGTAATTTGTTTTGTAGTTATTTTTCAAGATTTTAGAAGGAATATATATTTTGGCCGGGTGTGGTGGCTCACACCTGTAATCCCAGCACTTTGGGAGGCCGAGGCGGACAGATGACCTGAGGTCAGGAGTTCAAGACCAGCCTGGCCAACATAGGGAAACCCCCATCTCTTCTAAAAATACAAAAAAATTAGCTGGGCGTGGTGACACGCACTTGTAATCCCAGCTACTCAGGAGGCTGAGGCAGGAGAATCACTTGAGCCTGAGAGGCAGAGGTTGCAGTGAGCCAAGATCAGGCCACTGTACTCCAGCCTGGGCGACAGAGCGAGACTGTGTCTCAAAAAAAAAAAAACTTTAATTCTTCAGATTTCTCTAAAATCAAATATGTATTCTATCTGTTATTTTATAATTGTAGTAACACTGAACAACATTTTAGCCAGAGTATAAAACTTTCTTAAATATTTCACCATTCCACCAACTTATTTGGAATTTTCTCAAGTACACCTACATCAGCCCTATCCTATACTCAGGTGTTCAAACTCACTGAACTACCATGGGAATCTTCTAAACATGGACACAACATATCACATAAAAGAAGAGGCTATTTTTTTTTTTGAAACGGAGTTTCACTTTGTCTCCCAGGCTGGAGTGCAGTGGCGCAATCTTGGCTCACTGCAACCTCCGCCTCTGGGGGTTCAATCAATTCTCTTGCCTCAGTCTCATCAGTAGCTGGGTCTACAGGCACACTCTACCACACCCACTGATTTTTTTGTATTTCAGTAGAGACAGGTTTTTACCACATTGCCCAGGCTGGTCTCAAACTCCTGAGCTCAGGCAATCTGCCAGCCTCGGCCTCCCAAAGTGCTAGGATTACAGGCATGAGCCACAGCACCGGGCCTAAGGCTACTTTTTTTTTTTTTTTTTTTTTTTTTTTTTTTTTTTTTGAGACAGAGTCTTGCTCTTGTTGCCCAGGCTGGAGTGCAGTGGTGCGATCTCGGCTCACCGCAACCTCCACCTCCCGGGTTCATAGGATTCTCCTGCCTCAGCCTCCTGAGTAGCTGGGATTACAGGCACCCACCACTATGTCTGGCTAATTTTTGTATTTTTAGTAGAGACGGGGTTTTGCCATGTTGGCCAGGCTGGTCTTGAATTCCTGACCTCCAGTAATCCACCTGCCTCAGCCTCCCAAAGTGCTGGGATTACAAGCGTGAGCCACCAAACCCAGCCTAAGGCTACTTCTTTACATACAAGTTTGTTAATTTCATTTTACAAGTCCAAATTACAACTGCCAGTTTAACTAAGGGTAAAGTTTCAGCATCCCAACTAAAATGATAAAGTCTGCAACTGCCTGTAAACATTGTAACTATATTGCAACATTTAGCTACTATCAAAATCCTAAGACTACTATTTGAAATAAGTTCAAACAATGTTTCCTCAGTGCATTACCTACAGACCCTAGGGACAAAGACAAAACCTAAGGTTAACTTCAGGCATCCACTGCCATCTATCAAAGGAACAATGCAGAGCATAAAACTCTGATAGGGGCATCTTCCTTCCCTCTTCCCTTTTCCCCTTCTCTCCCAACAGGTGTTTTGCTCTGCATTCTCCCTTTCAGTAGTATTTGGTAGAATATCCTGAAAGAAACTTGTTTCCCTTGACAAGAATTTTCACTAACATTCACTCACAGCATTCAATGACTGTGCAGAAGTCCCAGCACAAATAAATGTCTCACTCATTCCTTTGTGATAAAAACCCATTCTGAAGCAAAGAAAAACTGCACCTTTTCCTAAATGTTATTTTGAGATATTTAAATTAAGTGAGCTTAAGTTTTATTTGCCTTAGTCACAAGTCCACAGTACAATAAAAGCAAAATTCAACCGCCAGATACAGTGCAAAGTAAGTTCCATACTAAACCACATTGCAAGGTTACATCTTTTTCAGTGGAAAATTTTGGAAAGTCACATCATTGTGGAGAGAATACAGTATAAAAGCACTTAAAAAGTTGGCCATTTTAAAGTGCTATATGACAGATGTATTAATGTGCTGCATTCACAAAGGTGGTTATGTGAATATACCAAGAACTAGTGTCTTTTGAAGACTATTTATGTTGGTTTTCCCTATGTTTTGATATGTTTTCCTATGTTATGATTATTCATTAAATAATAATCTTATATCCAAACTCACTGAATTTTTTTTTTTAACTCCACAGCCATTGTGGGACAATAAACCTTAAAGGCTGATATCATAACTATATGCTTCAGAAAAGTGTTTATGTTAGCAGGGGAGAGAAGAAAGAAAATATCAACAAATGAATCCCTATCTGAAGTCCAAACTGAGAAATGCATTATTTAATATGATCACAGTGCTAGTTTCAACTATTTAAAAATACAAGTCCATTATACTTCTAATGCAAAAAGTACAGAAATCATAATCAAGACACACAATTTCTAATGCATCAACACTATTTACTTTATGTCAGAACAAATCATTCTACCTTTTTTCATGAAAAATAAATGCACTTGAATAATTAGAAATGCTGTCACTTAAAAACTTCTAATAAATTAAGTCATTCAATAGCTCTTCTAATCCTTTTTAAAGTACTGCAGCTCAATCAAGTCTTAATTGAGACTGGCAAGCATAAAGGCATAGACTGGCATCTCTACAATGACTTGCATTTTACATAAAATTTGAAAAAACTTCGGTAGATATTTGCAAAAAAAAATATTGAGGAACAAAACTGATCAACTGCCTTTGATAGCAAAAGAATACTGATGAGATGAAGAGACTTAGGTGCACCTTATCGAAATAAGCAAATGTATAATCCAAAGCTTCAGCATCATCAAAACGCAGATTTCAAAAGATATTCGGAAAAGGTTAATTTCATTTCTTAAGTGGCAAGCAACTGCACTCATTTCCTGTTCAGATTCAATTCAAATTTCAGCCATTTCCTTTTAAAGGAAACAGTACAGCAACATAGGGCAGAGGGTCGATAATGCTACACTACCAAATCTAAAGAATAAAGTACCCGGAACTGGGTCTTGACACTCAAGATGAGCAATCAGCTTTTTATAGTACTCTTACACATTCAATAATTTGGCTTCCTTTAAAAAAAAAAAAGTCCACCTGTAAACTAAATAATGCGAAGAAAGCCCGTTTTGAAGAAAGGGCCTAGCAATACAATCATTTCAAGAGTTTTAATGCATTAGGCAATACGAGACTATTTACAACGAAATCAAACCATTTTAGTGGAATCTTGACTGTGCACGAGCATGTCACTCTGCCCCCAGTAATTAAGCTTATGTGGTGAGAGCTACCAGTATTAAAACAGAAAATACACAGGTAGCAGTGCAGCTGCGACATTACCAGGTAATTAAGCCTCCCCGAGGGTAGGTGGTTTCTGTATGGGGTAGGCCCTAAACGCCCAAGATCCTTCAACCCCTCTCTGAGATGTGTGCTTTGACAAAAGCAGCGTCTCCTAAAGGGAAAGGGTCAAGGAATAAGGTTCCAAAAGAAGGAAAATCTGGAGAGAGGGAGTGCGTACGGAGCTCTGGGCTTGGGGCCGACAGAGGTTACCGAGCCACCCACTGCAAAGGCGAGTTTGTGGGGCCTGCTGAAGAGAAGGCCTCGCCTAGGAGTTGCAACACACTCTTTCTCCAGTGCGCAGCGCTCGGCCTGGGGGAGGGGGAGGAGGGGAAACAGCTGCCAGGGGAGCGGCGGGCCCAGCCCGGCCCGGCCCGCTCACCGTCAGGGTGTCGTCTATGTAGAGGGGAATCTGCCTCCTCTCGAAGGGGAACTCCTCCTCCCCGTCCCTGCACACTGCCACGAGTCGCGCCATCGTCCCCGACGCTGCCGTTGCCACCGTCACCACCTCCTCCCAGCTGCCGCCGCCGCCGCCGCTGCTGTTTCTGCCGCCGCCGCTGCCGCCTCCTCCCAGCTCCTGCCTGCAACAGCCAAACCCCGCGAGCGTAAGCACCCGCCGCTGCGCAGCACATTCGCCACGGGGGGCAGGGAGCGGAGCGGGAGGGTACGGGAGAGCCGGGCTGCGTTTCCCATCACCCGATTCCACACACGCTCAGCCAATCAGCGCCCAGCGCCGCCGGGACCCGCCCCCCTCGCGCCGCGCTCCCTCCCTCTCTCCCGCCCGCCCGCCCGCCCGCCGGCCTCCAGTCAGGGTCCAAAGGAGAGGCGGAAGGGACCGGCCTGCCGGGGGCTTCCCCGCCCGCTGCAGGAGTCCCGGCCCCAGGACCCCACCCCTGGCCTGGGCCCCGCAGCCTGTTCCCCGCCGCCCGCCGCCCGGGTGCCCTCTGCCCCCAACTGACCCCTTCTCCCCGCTTCTGGGCGCACCCCGCCCAGTCGGCCCCAGGACTGCAGTTGCCCAGCGCGACCCCGCCCCTGGGAGGGATCGACCCCGCAGCGGCTCTGCGGAGTCCAGGGAACGGGGAGGCTCAGACCCTTTCCTCACCCTTCTCGGAGGAGGCTGTCGGTTCCGACCTTCACCGTTTTCGTGGTCGCCTCGCTAACTCCCACCTCTGCTCCCTGTTACTGGCTGACGAGGCCCGCGTCAGGGCCGGCGTGGGCGGGAGCGCAGCTCCGAATGTCGTTTCCTCTACGGGCAGTCAGCCGCTCGCGCCGCGGGGAGTGGAAGAAGGAGGGCGGGGGACGAGGGGAAGGTGGGGCCGGGCGGGGTCGGGCGCCGGGCGGGACCCACGTCCTCTCGCGAGACTGGGGCTGGCCGCGCTGGGGACCCCGCTGGAGAAATTTGCGCCCAGAGGGTGCGGGGCCGCCCTGGCCGTCCCGCCCGTGGGCCCGGCGCCCTTCTCGGAGCCCAGCCATTCCGCTAGACCCGAACTAGGACTGGTAGGAGGGGTGATCGGCCCAACCTCAGGCCCCAGCCGCGGGCCGGGAAGGCTTCCCCACGGACGAGGGGCAAGCCCCTCGACGTCAGGGTGTCGTCTATGTAGAGGGGAATCTGCCTCCTCTCAAAGGGGAATTCTTTCAGCGAGTCAAGCCCGTCTGATTCGGGGCTGACTCAGGGCAGAGGCCCAGAGAGGACCTGGATAGGTTGCGAGAAGTCGAGATCAGAGGGGGCGGAAGGCAGTGAGAAAAGGGAGACGAGCATCGGGGGGTGAGAGACAAACTCAGGTCTGGCTCTTGGCCCTTGACGCCACTGAATTCGCTTCCCACGGTGGGAAGAGGAGAAAAGGGCCCTGACACCGCGGCTCGCCAGGGGCCCGCTGCGTAGCTGCATCCCGATCCCGCTGAGGGGACAGCAAATAGTGAAGTGCTGATAGCTTGTGGTTGTCGTTACACTGGAAGGAAATAGAAAACCGGACAGTGGTGTGTGTGTGTGCGTCTTGGCCAAAGGAACTTCTTGGGCTGGGTTAATGTGAGCAGGTACTCCCTTGGGCGAAGTACTGGCACTGGCCAACGGCCTTTCCCTCTGGCCGTCTCCGAGGAAGCAGAGCTGCTGTGAAGACAGTTCCTCTCGCCACCGTGTGTTCAGTTCTGACCTTGAAGGTTTTGGAGGTCTGTTGTGAAGATATTTAGCCTATGAAAGTCCTGGTGATCTGAAGGACAGATCAATTTACTGCTCTATTTCCTGGAGCTGTGATACCTTTAAAAAAAGTATTTTGGGTCGGGCATGGTGGCTCACGCCTGTAATCCCAGCACTTTGGGAGGCCGAGGTGGGTGGATCACCTGAGGGTCAGGAGTTTGAGACCAGCCTGACCAATATGATGAAACCCCCGTCTCTACTAAAAATACAAAAATTAGCCGGGCGTGGTGGCATGTACCTGTAATCCCAGCTACTAGGGAGGCTGAGACGGGACAATCACTTGAACCCGGGAGGCGGAGGTTGCAGTGAGCCCAGATCGCGCCATTGCACTGCAGCCTGGGCAACAAGAGCGAAACTCCATCTCAAAACAAAATAAAGTATTTTGGTTATCACATGGAGTCTTAGAGATTCACAACAAATAACCCATAGTGCACCCTTAGCCATGTTGACTTAGTACATTGTGTGGTCATTGTTAGGGTCGGTGACATAATAAACGAAGAACCATTGTTCATTCCCGAAGGTGTCATTACCCGGCAAATATTTATGTCTTCTGGGCCGGGGTCATGGCTCACGCCGGTAATCCCAGCACTTTAGGAGGCGAGGTGGGTGGATTACTTGAGGTCAGGAGTTCGAGACTGGCCTGACCAACATGGTGAAACCCAGTCTCTACTAAAAATACAAAATTAGCCGAGCGTGGTGGCGCACGCCTGTTATCCCAGCTACTCGGGAGGCTGAGGCAAGAGAATCGCTTGAACCCGGGAGGCAGAGGTTGCAATGATCCGAGATCGCGCCATTGTGCTCCGGCCTGGGCGACGAGTGAAACTACGTCTCAAAAAAAAATTTTTTTTATGTCTTCTGGCCATGTTAGCAGAGTAGAAGAGTGAGTATTAGCTTGAATCTAATACGTATGTATGATGTTCATATACATAGCCAAAATTTGGACATTTTTAGAGAATCTTGCGTTTTATGTAAAAAACAAAACAAAAACCAGGACGGGGGCGGCGGCTAACACCTGTAATCCCAAGACTTTGGGAGGCCAAGGCGGGCGGGTCACTTGAGGTCAGGAGTTCGAGACGAGCCTGGGCAACATGGAGAAAACCTGTCTCTACTAAAAATACAAAAATCAGCTGGGCGTGGTGGCGAGCACTTTTAATTCCAGCTACTCCGGAGGCTGAGGCAGAAGAATCGCTTGAACCGGGAAGGCGGAAGTTGCAGTGAGCCAAGATACTGTGGCCTTCAGTATCTAGAGGTGCTCCTACAGTGGTACATCAATTAATGTACCCACTTTAAACCTTTTTTTTTTTTTTGAGACGGAGTCTCACTCTGTCGCCCAGGCTGGAGTGCAGTGGCGCTATCTCGGCTCACTGCAAGCTCCGCCTCCCGGGTTCATGCCATTCTCCTGCCTCAGCCTCCCGAGTAGCTGGGACTACAGGCGCCTGCCACCACGCCCAGCTAATTTTTTGTGTTTTTATTAGAGACGGGGTTTCATCGTGTCAGCCAGGATGGTCTTGATCTCCTGACCTCTTGATCCGCCCGCCTCGGCCTCCCAAAGTGCTGGGATTACAGGCGTGAGCCAACGTGCCCAGCCTAAACCTTTTAGACTTCATTAGGATTCTGGTTGGTAAAGAACATTAAAAATGACAAGCTCATTATATAGGTGCTAATTTTAATTACTTTGACTACTGAACACACGCCAGGTACTAACAAAGAAGGGAGTATTCACCCTGGGGATTTAAATCTGTGAAAAGGTATTAAAACATATATAAAACATAATAAAATGAAATCCCAAAGGTCTCTTTCCATCTGAGCTTACTTTCCCTAATTTGGGTTTGTCTCTTAGGTCCACCGGGCATACTTAGTATCTTTGGACAAATAGGAATTCAATGAAAACGTATTCTTAAAGGCGAAAAAGGTGGATTTGCTAGGTAAGTTGCTGTTTCTCAAGGAGGTAGCCTGGGTGCTATAAATCCAATCCAATCTAATCTAATCTAATACCATACAATATAATACAATCGATACAATAAAATCAATATCCCAAGGAAAACGCTTAGAAAATTATTTCATGGCAAAATAATTTTTCAAAGTTTTCACTGTGCATCTTCCTGGTTTTAGAGTAGGCACTTATTTTTATTTTCACTATTGCTCTATTTTTAGCCATAACCACCAGTACTGCAGCAAATACTTCTTGAGAATTATCCTATGTACTTTAAAATGAAAAGTATCTGCTTTTAGAGAGCAAACCTCTAATTGACGAAATATATAATTGCTACATTAAAAGACAGTTGTCTGTTGCCTATTATTTCATTTTGATATTGGCATTGTGAAATGCAAGTTCAAAGGATTTGAAAGGCCAGGAAAGTAAAGGCAATCAACAGCAGAACACATTTTGCTGGTACCTAATAAAGAACAGTTGGAGGGACGGAGCTGTAATAAATTATCAGCAAACTACCATTCTTTTTCTTAGGTCCAAATGTGTGAGACGCTAGCCACAAAATGCAGGCATAAATGAGATCTATCTGTTCTCCAGGCTACCTAGGTTTAAAAAAAATGAAAAGTACCAAGGTATTCCTTATTATGTCTTAGCTTCATAGACTATATTTAAACTCCTAGGGAGGAACATAAGGTTCTTGTATGATTTATATAAATACATTGGACATTTATGCTCAATAAAAATAAAACTGGTTGTCATCTTCGGCACACAAGAGCTACTGGGGCACGTGTAGTAGACATCCCCAGTTTATAATTGTGTAAAATTAAAATTGGCCGGGTGCGGTGGCTCGCACCTGTAATCCCAGCACTTTGGGAGGCCGAGGCAGGCGGATCACGAGGTCAGGAGATCCAGACCATCTTGGCTAACGGTGAAACCCCGTCTCTAATAAAAATACAAAAAATCAGCCGGGTGTGGTGGCGGGCACCTGTAGTCCCAGCTACTCGGGAGGCAGAGGCAGGAGATCGTGCCACTGCACTCTAGCCTGGGTAACAGAGCAAGACTGCGCCTCAAAAAAAAAAAATTAAAATTATGGGAGTCACTTTCTGAAGGGCATAGATAGGCTGAGGTCCTGGACAGATTATGTTCTTCTTACTCCTCACTTTGTTATCTTTCCCTCTCCTCTGCCCTCAAAAATTGATAGTTGCAAGGAAAATGATAGTTGATTAGAAGACTTTTTGTTGTTTCATTATAATAACCACAGTTTTATGTGGTAAGACAATCTATGGCCACAGAATGTTATTTAAATTACCATAGTGACCTAAACCTGAGGATCTGTGGATTGGGTTTTCTTTTTCATGAGCTGACACTGGGAAGTTCTGTTTTATCTGTCAAAAATAAACACACCTGGTTGGGTGCGGTGGCTCATGCCTATATCCCAGCACTTTGGGAGACCAAGGTGGGCGGATCACTTGAGGACAGGAGTTCGAGACTGGCCTGGCCAACATGGTAAAACCTCATCTCTACTAAAAATACAAAAATTAGCCAGGCGAAGTGGCGTGTGCCTGTAATCCCAGCTCCTCGGGAGGCTGAGGCAGAAGAATTGCTTGAATCTGGGAGGCGGAGGTTGTAGTGAACCAAGACTGTGCCACTGCACTCCAGCCTGGGAGACAGAGCAAGACTCCATCTCAAAAAAAAAAAAAAAAGACAGTAGAATATTAAACGTCATTATAGGCCAGGATCACGACGCCTGTAATCCCAGCACTTTGGGAGGCTGTGATGGGAGGATCACGTGAAGCCAGGAATTTGAGACCAGCCTGGGCAACCCCATCTCTATTTTTTACAGATTTAAATTAAACCTTAATTTAGCCATAGTTTTATTAAATTACACTGGGTACTTGATGACTCTCATCTTTCTTATTGGTTCTCCTTTCCCTTAGCATGGTAGGTGAGGATGCCTGATGTGGCCCCTGCCTGCCTCTCCAGCTCTCTGCCCATGCTCTTCCTTCTTCTGTGTTCAGCCTTCTTTCAATTCCATTATGTGCTTGGTGCCCTCCCAACGTAGGACTTTTGCTGAGGGAGTCATCCATCTATAATGTTCTCTGCCATTTGCCCCCCAGCCCCCAGACACATAAGACTTTATAACTCCTCATCCCACTAATCAGCTCTAGCTCAAAAAAAAAAAAAAATCTGTGGGGAAAACTTGACTCCTTACTAGGTCAGTTCTTGATTTGACACTCTTGACAACCTATGCTTTTTCTTCATAACTTAGCATTTCACAATAGATGTTTAATGTCTGTTTCCTCCACTAGATTGCAAGCTCTGAGGTATCAGGAAATTTGTGCTGTGCTTCTTAAATCCCTAGCATAGGGTAGGCTAAAAGATGAATTAATCCCAAAGCAAAACTTTGTCTCGTAATTATTATGTGTATAAGCTATAATATAACATCCAATTCAGTCTATTTTTTTTTTTGTAGACAGGGTCTCACTGTTTCCCAGGATGGTCTTGAACTCCTGGGCCCAAGCAATCCTCCCACCTCAGCCTCCCAAAGTGCTAGGATTACAGGCGTGAGTCACCATGCCCAGCCTTCCATCTATTCTTTGGTGCATTTAACTGTCTGACTTCATAGTATATAAGTATTTTATTTTTAAAATTTTTCTTTTTATATCCACCCATCTGCACATTGGAGTGTTTGATTTTAAACACTTGCTTCTTAGTCCTAGGTTTTATTCAAAAATTTAAATTGAGCAATAAACAAGTATTGACAATCCACAGTTCACACTGAAATGTCAACATAAACATTTCATTTTATATTTATTGTAAAAGCAATATACAGTAAAAATACAGAATAGCATAAGGTTACATTAAGATGGAAAGTAAAAATTTTCCTCCCCCCACCCCAACAGTCTTTCAATGTCACAACTATAAAGTTTCTTTAAAATACTACTTAATACATTCTAACAAGTCAAAAGGCTTTGTTTCTTCTTGGTTTTATTGTTGAGATACATTAAAATATTAAGCATTGGCCCAGTGTGGTGGCTCACACCTGTAATCCCAGCACTTTGGGAGGCCAAGGTGGGTGTTATCACTTGAGTTCAGGAGTTTGAGACCAGCCTGGCCAATATGGCAAAACCCCATCTCTACTAAAAATATAAAAATTAGCTGGGCATGGTGGTACATGCCTACAGTGCCAGCTACTCAGGAGGCTGAGGCAGGAGAATTGCTTGAACCCGGGAGGTGGAGGTTGCAGTGAGCTGAGATGGCACCACTACACTCCAGCCTGGGTAACAGAGCAAGACTCTGTCTCAAAAAAAAAAATAATTAAGCATCACTGCTGTTTAGATGACTGAAACTATTTTATAATAAAATATGGTTAACACTGTTGCCAAAAGCACAATTTCTTTACAATTAATATTCCTCATTAAATATTGCCCAAATACTTATATATCCTACTCCTGCTGATCACCAAAATTGTACAGTCTTATCTTGCAAATATAGTACATATACAATTAAACAGTTGGAAAACATATAGAGATTGACCACAAATAAGGCCCACAAGGTACTGCTGTGTAATGTATCTACCATCAGGTTGATCAGGCCAGTTGTTATATTTGACAGCAAGAAAAATATTAACTGTTTTCTGTTTAGAGCTGTGATTAAACAAAGACTGGGTTCCATTCTTTCGGCTTCAGGGACTAGAGATTCTGAATGCTTTTTATTTGTAACAGGTGACTGGATAAGTTTCCAAGAACATGGTACTAGAGCTCCTTTAATTAGAAATTTGGCAAAACTCAAAATTATATCACCCAGTAATAAACTACTAAGAAGGATCAGGCTAGAAGCAACTATCCAAATACAAAAGGCTAAATTTGCCATTCTTCGAGATACTGCTTCTACATTTACTTGAACTACGTAAAGAGATATGAAGAGGCTAATAGCTGCCAGTAAAAGAAAACAGGCTACTTTTATCAAGTCTTTGATATGTGATCGGTTCTTATGCATATATAACCCTGTTTGCACACCAGCCATGTGTATTGCCACATACCCCAGGGTAGAGATTATTCCTTCGCGGTTGGCATTTAATAGACCAACCCGTGTGCCACTACCATCAGTGCCATATAATATTAACCTCTTCAGTGAGGTAAAGTCAAGGGCTAGCTGGTATAATACAGTAATGCCGAGGGCAATAATCCAGGACTTATTTAGGGGAAAAATAATCAACAGCAGTGGTGTTATCAATTTCACAACTATTATGGTAAAGAAAAAGTTCCAGTGAACTCCATACTCTGTTAAATGTTCCTGATAGCCTATTGATTTTATAATGGCTAATCGTCCGATTCCTAGGAAGACTAATGGCCAAACAGAGTACAATGAGTTTGTAAAGTAATGCAATTTGGACCCTTCCATATATTTTCTCCTCCTGACCTCTAGACAAACCATTGCAGACCCAAAAACAAAGCCACCTACTCCAAAATCCATTGCTCCTGTCCCATAGAGCTCAGTTTTGGCAAATCTTCTGGGAAAAAGTGGGAAGTCCACAGCCAAAATAGCAATAGCAGTAAACGCACTGGTAATTACACGGAAACAGGAGATGGCTGGATTGTATTCTGATTCTAGACTGATGTTCAAGAATTTTTCAAGGATTTTTAGGAAAGGCAGTCTGGCATAGCAGGTCCTCCTTCGGTATATTTGATACAACAGCCCTGCCCCAAAGATAATTACACCGAGAAGCTCAAGGAGGATAAATGAAGCCCAAATGGTCAAAGTGGCTACCATGGGAACTATTAGGACAACAAAGTCAGTGAGGAATCTAGTTTTCCAGGTAGGTGAAAAAGAACACAAGTACTGTGAGAAAATGATCAGGAACCCTCTGCACAGGATACAGAATGCAGGAAAGCACAATCCCTGGGTGATTTCCAGCACGGTGGTTCCATTGAGGTTACTGACAAAAGCTTCCTTCATCTGCTTTTCAGACATTTTTCTTCCTGTGAAAACAAGAGCAAAGGAATGGATTTGTGAAAAGCAGCATTCTTGTGTAATTAGCATACCTGGCTTAATTTTACTCTTATTACTAGATTTCAGAGCAGAACTTTGGGCCCTAATGAGTTCACCTAGGATTTGTGATTCCCCTTCCAAGGATTGTGGGAAGAAGCTTAACACTAATGTGTTCAGATAGAAATGTCATACTAATAATATTAAATTATTGGTTACAAAGCTTCAGCTATTCCCTGTACAAGACAGACTCACAAAGAAAGTGAATTTGGGGCCAGGCGTGGTGGCTCACACCTGTAATCCTAGCACTTCGGGAGGCCGAGGTGGGAGGATCACCTGAGGTCAGGAGTTCGAGACCAGCCTGGTCAACATGGTGAAAGCCCGTCTCTACTAAAAATACAAAAATTAGCCAGGCGTGATGGCACCCGCCTGTAATCCCAGCTACTTTAGAGGCTGAGGCAGGAGAATCGGTTGAACCGGGGAAGCAGAGGTTGGAGTGAGCCATTGCACTCCAGCCTGGGCCACAGAGTGAGACTCCATCTCAAAAAAAAAAAAAAAAAAAGGAAAAGAAAAAGCAAAGGAAAAGAGAGCGAATTTGGGATATAAACTCTGAGAATGGCATCATAGGCAGATGGGAATTTCTATTATGGAGCACAGTACGTATCATGAAGATTCTTTGATGCAAATTGAATAGGATTTACTAATGACCTTAAAGCAAATTCAAACGCTAGGGGCCAAGTACATTTTGAAGTTGGGGGCCTTGGTTCCAGTTCAGAGCCTCTCCAAACCTACTGCCTTGGTACAAAACGTGACCCCTGCAGTGATTTCTGGATCCCCAGGCTGCTCCTTTCCTCATTTACAGACAGCTATGTTTTCAGGTTAGGATGGAAGTAGGTACGGTGGGTGCATTAAGAATGGATGTATAGCACATACTAGTGTTAGTTGCTCTTTTATTAAGGGTTGTAAAACACCTCTGAATGCCACACATCATTGTCTGAAAAACGGCATACTGGAAGAACACATTTGTTGGTTAAACATGAACCTAGAGTTTCTAAATGTACCATGAGCTGAATAAGTAAGTGAATGCATGCGTGCATTATGGCCTGTCTGGAACCTGTGACAATATCTCACAGTAACCAACTCAAATCAGTTGACCATTAAAAATAAAAGTCCTAGCCGAGAGAAGTGGTTCATGCCTGCAATCCTAGCGCTTTGGGAGGAGAGAGGATCGCTTAAGGCCAGGAGTGAAAAAAAAAAAAAGAAAAATTAAAAATTAGCTGAGCGTGGTGGTGCGCGCCTGTAATGCCAGGCTGAGGCGGGAGGATCGCTTGAGCCCAGAGGTGGAAGGCAGCAGTGAGCCGAGATCGCGCCACTGCACTCCTACCTGGGCGACAGAGCGAGACTCCGTCTCTTAAAAAATAAACATAAAAATAAAAAGTCTTTTTCCTAACAGACGCCCGACCTGGCCGCGCCCTACCCGTATACCTCACGTACTCCAAATGGTGCCGGCGCCCCCAGCAGACGGTCTACGTGGGAAGGGCAGCCGGACTGCCGCTGCACCCGCCAAACCACGCGGGAACCAGCCGCTTCCGCCTCCCGCGCGGCACTTCCGGCCGACGCAGGCAGCTGGCACTTCCGGGCCGGCCGATTCCGCGCGTCTCCGCCCATCATGGCGCTCGTGCCAGTGTCCCGTGGGCTACCCACTCCTGTCATGTCCTTTGGGCTGGTGCAGGCCAGATCTTCTAGGGCCGTAGCCCTGAGAGGAGCGCCTGGAGAGGAAACGGCGCGCCATGCACCTCACACGGCCCCTCAGACCTCACGGCGAGGCCCTATCAGGGTAATGGTGTCCGCCGGCCTCGCACAACACTCCGCCGCACTCGCACAAGACTCCGCCGCGGCGACCTCTACTGAAAGACCCCCAGTCCTGGTGTCGCCCGAAGGCCCAGGAAACCGTGCTTCCGCGCTTCTCCCCCAGAACGTGGGAAGCTGCCGCTTTACCCTCATTTTACCCCAGGGTCGCAAAACATCTCACCGTAGTTGAAGCCAGCAAGCCGGACCAGGCGTCCCGGCCAAGCCACGTGCGCGCCCCGCGCCGCGAGTGCTCGCCCCGCCCCTAGGGAGGAGCCGGCCGACCCCCGGCCACTTAGCAGTGCCGCAGCCGACGGGGTGCGGTTCGGCGCTCCCAGGTTCCTTTCCTCACTGCACGCTCTTGCCCCTCCTCTTTTCTCTCCTGCCCGTGTTCTTCCCGCCGCCTGACCTGGCCCGCCCGCCTTTCCAGTCTGGCCGGGCGGGGGCCTGAAGCACGGCGGCTCGGGCCGTGGGACCGGTGAGTGTCAACCCGAACCTATATCTGAAGCCCTTCAGACGCGGAAGGGGCTTGGGAGGCCAGTTTGCCCCGCAGCGGTGAGGAAGAAGTAGGCGTCTCCACCTCCCCTTCCAAAGCGCCGTTTCCCTCCTTTTTGCCTTTTCCTTTTGACCCTCTTGTGTCTCACGAGGGGGTAGCCCAGCTCTTGGCTCTTGCTTGAAACAAGTCTTTCTTGATCACCCTCCACCTTTCCACCTGGCCGGCAGGGGGCGGCCTGGGGGGAGAGGGTCCTTGCTCCACTCTTCGCCCAGCTGAGGACCCCGGGAGGGGGCGGCTGGTCCCGGGAGGTGTCAGGGCAGCTGCGCCCTTGGCTGGGGTCACGTCCACCTTCCTGGGAAGGACATACTCTCCCCGTGCCAGGTGCTTCCGGAACGGCATCCCAGCCCTGGGTTTGCGGCACGACGCCCGGACCTTGAGTCCCCGGTTCCCGCCGGGAACCTGGGGGCGGAGCCAGCTGGACTGATGAGATCCTTACCCAGCGCTTCTCAGCGTCTGCCCTCCCACTGTCCTCCATGCCTAGAAAGAAACAGTCTGAGAAGGAGGGACTGGTGATCAGGTTGCCACTTGCCTTGATTCGGTGTTCCATTTACTCATTACCGTCTCCTTTCTGCCCACAGTGTTCACACCCTTTCCAGAAATTCTTGGCTGGTAACCGCGAAACCGACTGGAGCAGGAGCTGGGAGAACTGGAGAAAACTGCTCTAATCTCACTTGACTCCAGCTAGGAGCTGATGCTGCATCGTAATAACATTTGCAGAGCGCTTTCACAGGTATTAGCCCCTTTAACGCTTCATTTAGCCCCGTGAGATCTGGATATTATCACTCCGTTTTGTAAACGAGGAAACAGAGTGAGGCTTAGTTCTTGGGTTCTGTGCCAGGGGCCTTGGGTTTTGGATTCAAACCCCAAACCTGTTGTGCTGCCCCTCTGGACCTATTGCTTGAGATGAGTTCCCAGTTGAAAGAGCTTTGTTCTCTGGAGCCCTCTGCATGGCTGTCCCTTGGATGGGGTACAGTCAGTGTCCAGGGTCAGGATCTTTTAGGGCTGTAGCACCACACCTTAAGTGGTCCAGCACGGTCCTGATACCTGTTTCCGCCTCAATTGTCCTTTTTCCAGCTTCTATGGAAGTCCCTATCCCTGGGTTCTTTAAAGACTTGATGTATTCAGAGCCTCAAGAAAGTCTCCACCAGGGTTAATCCATTGCAGGCACGCTTCACCCTCAGCCTCATCTCTCCTTGCTAGGGGTGGTGCCAAGGCCTAGAAAATTCCAAGTCTGAGGGTCACTTAACCATTCTTCAAAGATTGGCTTAGGCCCAGCCTCACAACACCCCACCTCCCAGATGGATTCATCTCCCTGAAATCCTCACCTTCTTGAAGTTGACACTGGACCGTTCACCTGATTAGCGCTCCCAAATGGATCATCAACCCTTAGTCGTAGTGCTAACAGTGTTTATCCTCTGAGTGAATACTCAGATTCGTACTTTGTGTGGTGCTGTCAAACCATGACCTCATTGACCTTCACAACCACTCCTTATGAGGCAGATTTAACTGTCCCCATTTTCAAGGTAAGAAATTGAGGTAGGTGATGTGCCTGACCCAGGATCACACACCCAGTGAGTGATTGAACTGTGATATAAACTACCACACCACACCTTTCCTGGAGCAGCGAGAGATGACTCCAGCCTCTCCTCCTCACCAACGACTGAAATAGGATATTTCTGTCTAATGTAGAGGATAGGGCACAAGGCTTCTCTGTCTCCCCAGTGTCTTACTCCTCCTCCATGGCACACTGACCCAGAGGGTTTGCAGCCCCACCCCAACCCAAACCCTAACCCTGTAATAAAACTGGCCCAGGGAGCCTCTGAGGCTCTCATAAAAGTTTCCCTGTCTCCTAATTGGCAAGGGAAAGGACAGGCCCACTCTCCGCCCAGGCCTGCCTTGCATCTCATTTTGGTTGCTTCTGCTAGGTGGGAAGGAGTGAGTGAGTCACTCCAGAAAAGCCCTCACCTGTGTGTGGTCCTTGTCTTCTCTCTCATGCCACAGGCGCTGGAGTGACTTGTCTGAGATTCCTCCAGAACTGAGCCCTTTGTTGGAACCATACCCCAGCCCATGGTCCCATGACTAGGTGGATAGTACTCCTTGTACCTCCTGCAACCCAGAACCCTGGCTGACCACTTTGAAGGAGGATGCTCCAGCAGGTAAAACCTCAACCTTAGATAACCCAGGCCCTCAAGCACCTGCAGCATCTGTTGCTAGCCCTAACCTGGAAGGAAGGGAAAGCCCCCTTAAAGGTCTCTTTTCTCTCCTCAAATTGTCTCTCCAGTGCCTTTTACTCATCATCAAGAAACTCTTCCTGATACCTAATTTGAATCTGTCTTGTGGTTTTTAGCTCCTTTCTTTGGGATAGGTAAGGTGGGATGGGTAAGGGAATCCTTAGGGCACTTTGGGGATTCTGCAGAGGAAGTCCTGAGAGATGTCCCTGCCACCTGAATTGTTGAGGCATAGTAGAAGCCTGGGGCTTCCAAGAGGATGTGTTCCTTGAAGCTAAGCCTTAAAGAACTAGAAAGAATTAGCCACTTGGAGAAGGAAAATAAGCACTCCAGGCAAAGAGGTCAGCCTGTGCAGAAATGTAGGAGACTATGAGGAAATATAGAAGGATTCTAATGAGTGGATCATGGGTTACATGATCCCCATGTCTCTGCCTCTCTGAAAAGGCTACTGTTGCCCCAGGCCTGTAGGATTCCAAATCACCTTTTACAGCGGAGCTCTCTCTCATACCCATATCATCCTTCATGTGTAACTCTTGGTCCTGAGAGAGTGCCAGTACTTATTTGCTGACTTTTTATTTTACCAAGTGTTGCCAGGCACTGGGCTGAGGCAGATGTTGAGGTTGGTGCTTGCCCTCAAGGAGCTCAGAGTCTAGTGGAGTCTTGGGTAGGTAAGTGCCTGACATCAGCAAGGTAGCAGCCAGGTGTGGGGCCTGCCAGCATCAAGGGAGCCATAGTAGACACTGCAGCTTGACCTTCCAGCCATATGGCTCCTGGAACAGGTTTGAAGGTAAGAAGTGGGCAAAACAGTTGACTGCTCTGGGCTTTTTTCTTGCTTATTTTTAAACTTTTTTTTTCTCTTATTAAAAAAAAGGTATATCAATACAATGGAATAAAGCAAGTTACACAAAAATATAATACTTTTCAATGTTTTTAAAGTATGTAGGGGAAAAAACCTATGATATTCTCTAAAATATTGGTTATTTCTGGGTAGTATGATTATGGATTTTTATGCTCCTTTTGCTTATCTCTATTTTCCAATTTTTTTTTTTTTTTTTTTTTTGAGATGGAGTCTCACCCTGTCATCCAGGCTGGAGTGTAGTGGCTTGATCTTGGCTCACTGCAATCTCTGCCTCCCAGGTTCATGCTATTCTCCTGCCTCAGCCTCCCGAGTAGTTGGGACTACTGGTGCTGGCCACCACGCCTGGCTAATTTTTTGTATTTTTTAGTAGAGATGGGGTTTCACCGTGTTAGCCAGGATGGTCTCGATCTCCTGACCTCGTGATCCACCCACCTCGGCCTCCCAAAGTGCTGGGACTACAGGCGTGAGCCACCGCGCCCAGCCTCCAAATTTTTTTTAATAATTTTTGTTTATTTATTTTTATTTTAGAGATGGAGTCTCACTCTGTAGACAAGGCTGGTCTCAAACTCCTGACCTCAAGTGATCCGTCTGCCTCAGCCTCCCAAAGTGCTTTTACAGGGGTGAGCCACCGCACCCAGCCGTGAGACCCTGTCTCTTAAATAAATAAATAAATAAGGCCAGGCACGGTGGCTCATGCCTGTAATCCCAATACTTTGGGAGGTCGAGGCGGGCAGATCACCTGAGGCCAGGAGTTCAAGACCAGTCTGGCCAACATGGCAAAACCCCATTTCTACTAAAAATACAAAAACTAGCCAGGTATGGTGGTGCATGCCTGTGATCCCAGTTACTTGGGTGGCTGAGGCATGAGAATCACTTGAACCTGGGAGACAGTGGTTGCAGTGAGCCGAGATTGTGCCACTGCACTCCAGCCTGGGCGATAGAGCGAGACTCTGTGTCAAAAAAAAAAAAAAATACAAAAGCCACTTTTACGCGTGCCTGTAGTCCCAGCTACACAGGAGGCTGAGGCAGGAGAATGGCGTGAACCCGGGAGGCGGAGCTTGCAGTGAGTCGAGATCGCGCCACTGCACTCCAGCCTGGGCGACAGAGCGAAACTCCGTCTCAAAAAAAAAAAAAAAAAAAAAAAGCCACTTTTAGAAGAAGAATAGCTAACCCCTTTTGGCAGATTCCAGATGGCCTTTCTAAATCCTTCGTGTGTTTTTGTGCTTGTGAGTATCTGTGAGGTAGGTACCATTATCCCATTTTACAGAAAAGAACTTTAAATAATTATTTAGAGACAGGGTCTCACTTTGTTGCCCAGTGCAGTGATATCCCCATAGCTCACTGTAGCCTCGACCTCCTGGGCTGAAGCAACCCTCCTGCCTCAGCCTCTAGAATAGCTGGGGTTACAGGCACATGCCATAATGCCCAGCTAATTTTTAAATATTTTTTATAGAGACAGGGTCACCTTGGCCTCCCTAAGTGCTGGGATTACAGGCTTAAGCCACTATGGCCAGCTGGAAATTTTTCTATTTTTATTTTTTACTTTAGAGACAAGGTCTTGCTCTGTTGGCCAGGCTAGAGTGCAGCGGTACAATCATAACTCATTGCAGCCTCGAACTTTTAGGCCCAAGTGGTTCTTCTACCTAAGCCTCCCAAGTAGCTGGGATTACAGGGACCAGATGAGGAGAATTGAGGCAGAAAGAGATTAAGAAATTAACATAAGAGTATATAACTGTAAGAGATAGAGTCAGGATTCAGAGCCAGACAACTAACTTTCAAGTCCAGGTACTTGATCACTATACTCAGATGCCTCTCTGGTTGGATCAGAACTCTTCATAAATTGTGTCTGTGTTTGTGAATGGTTTGTGTAGTGGTGGTTTTTTTTTCCCCTTCATAAAAGGAGAGGGATATGCATAGATATAGCTGTGCTCTGACCTCCGCAGTTACTCTGGAGGCCAAGAGCCTACCTTGTGCATTATAGTGGGCCCAAAGTTCAGAGAACAGGCAACAGTTTTGGAAGAAATGCATTACTGGGCCTCTTGGAGGAAATTTGCCACCATGGCTTATTTCTATGAGAGATTTGAAATTTTAGGCTCACCATTCTCATTGGAAATTCACCTGTTGTATCACAGACCTCTTCCTTCAAAAGCACATTTCAGCAAGATACCTGTCTTCAACCCCCACTCTGTCTTTCCTGCATCCCCAAAGGAGACAGTAGGAGAAATGGGACCACAGGAGGAAGTGGAGGGATGATACATCAAGAATGGGCAAAGGAAGATAGGGTGACTCATGCCTCTAGTCCCAATTACTCAGGAAGCTGAGGCAGAAGGATCACTTGAGCTCAGGAGTTGGAGGCTGCAGTGAGATATGATCATGCCACTGCACTGCAGCCTGGGTAGCAGAGCAAGACTCCATCTCTTAAAAAAGAAAGGAAAAAAAAAAGATAGGCAAGGGAGGAGAAAGGACCTGTTCCCTTGGTGCTTATTCTTGACCTCAGACAGCCGTCTGAGCCAGGCTTTCTCTCAAGCAGACTCGGGCCAAGGGAACCAATTCATTAGCCAGCCTAAATTTAAGCCACAAAAGGCAGGTGATGAAGACATGGGGCTACCTCTCTCAGAAGGTACAGCTGTTTTACATCAAAAGCTGAACTGTCTCTTCCCAAAAAGGCCTAACCCATGGTTCTTTTCCTTTGCAACATTCCTATAGCCTTATTTCTAATAAGGCTAGTAGCCTGGAAGTGCTACTTGCAAGTGGCCGGAGCTCTTGGCAGAAGAGATAGCATTTGTTGAGTACATGCTGTATGCCGGGCACTGACTAAATGCTTTGTATATCTCTTCTTTTCTTCCCAATAACCTTGTCAGTTGAGTTTATTTTCCTTTATTTACGAATAAACAAACTGTGACTCAAAGAGGGTAACTTACCCAGGCTCACAGGGCTACTAAGAGGCAGAACTGAAATTTGAACCCAACCAGACTATGATACCAGAGTCTCCTTCTACTATACAGGTTCCCACCCTTCTGTAGCTGCCAGCTGTTTTGAGTACCAGCTGTCGCGGCCTTCATGTTTTTTGGTTTTTTTTTTTTTTGAGACAGAGTCTTGCTCTGTCGCCCAGGCTGGAGTGCAGTAGCACAATGTTGGCTCACTGCAAGCTCCGCCTCCCGGGTTCACGCCATTCTCCTGCCTCAGCCTTCCGAGTAGCTGGGACTACAGGTGCCCGCCACCATGCCTGGCTAATTTTTTGAATTTTTTTTAGTAGAGACGGGGTTTCACCGTGTTAACCAGGATGGTCTCGATCTCCTCACTTTGTGTCCTGCCCGCCTTGGCCTCCCAGAGTGCTGGGATTATAGGCATGAGCCACTGTGCCTGGCCTCACCTTCACGTTATCTCTTCCAGGTCAATGGCCACAATCCGGGGTCTGATGGCCAAGCCAGGGAGTACCTCAGAGAAGACCTGCAGGAGTTCCTGGGTGGGGAGGTCCTGCTGTACAAACTGGATGACCTCACCAGGGTGAATCCTGTGACACTAGAGACAGGTATGGGCCTCCCATTCCTCAGGAGTATCATCTCCAGGAGGTTGGAGGTGTAATGAGAGTAGTCAGCACAGCTTCTCCAGGTCAGACGGAGGTCGGCAGGACTCCTGATCTGGAGCCAGGTGGGCTGCTCCAGACCTCCGCCTGAGGGAGCATGACAGCTGCACCTGGGCTCCCCAGGGCATGCTTTGCTTCAGATTTGGAGCTCATCTTAATTAGATCTTGTATCTTTTCTTCAGGGAGCTGCTGGGATTTAATGATTCTTGGCTAATTGCAGAAAGAGGGCTGTTACTTAAGTAGATGTGTGTCTGTGTGTGTGGTTTGACTATATTTGAGCCCGAGTTTGCTAAAGGCATCTCTGCCTCAGTCCTGAGGTGCCTGCAGGCCCGGTACATGGCAGACACATTCTACACCAATGCTGGCTGCACCCTGGTAGCCTTGAACCCCTTCAAGCCTGTTCCTCAGCTCTACTCGCCCGAGCTAATGAGAGAGTACCATGCTGCGCCTCAGCCCCAGGTAAGGCTCTGCCGCTGCCTGTGGCCTCAGGGCTCCTCTACCTCCCGCTAAACCTCTTTGCAGTTACCCCTGTCCTTATTCATCTATTCACCAGCAATGTGGTCATTCAGAGTCTGCTAGTGCCACGGCCTGCCCAATAGGAGCTGGCAGAATTTTGAACCATGAAGAACTGACTACAGGACAGAAGGTGCAAAGTGGGGAATAAATAAATATTTGTTTAACTGAGTTTGGAACCTAAAATAAGAGACATAAGAGAAAGGATTTTTTTTTCTTGTTTGCGGTTTTATTAACAGGAAAGGATTTATAAAGGTATTATATATTTGTTTATTTAACAAACTACCTTTTTATTTTTTATTATTATTTATTTATTTATTTATTTATTTTGAGATGGAGTTTCAGTCTTATTGCCCAGACTGGAGTGCAATGGCATGATCTGGGCTCAGCGCAACCTCCACCTCCTGAGTTCAAGCAATTCTCCTGCTTCAGCCTCCTGAGTAGCTGGGATTACAGGCATATGCCACCACACCTGGCTAATTTTGTATTTTTAGTAGGCATATTGGTCAGGCTGGTCTCAAACTCCTGACATCAGGTGATCTACCCACCTTGGCCTCCCAAAGCGCTGGAATTACAGGTGTGAGCCACTGTACCCGGCCCTATTTATTTTGAGACTGAGTCTCTCCCTGTCACCCAGGCTGGAGCGCAGTAGTGCGATCTTGACTCACCGCAACCTCCGCCTCCAGGGTTCAAGTGATTCTTGTGCCTCAGCCTCCCGAGTAGCTGGGACTACAGGTGCCCACCACCATGCCCGGCTAATTTTTGTATTTTTAGTAGAGATGGGGTTTCACCATGTTGGCCAGGCTGGTCTCGAACTCCTGACCTCAAGTGATCCACCTGCCGTAGCCTCCCAAAGTGCTGAGATTATAGGCATGAGCCACTGAGTCCAGCAAAACTACCTTTTTAGGAAAGAATGAAATTATACACGATAAGGATTGCCCTGGAAAATTCAGCATATGTTTATCTCTGCTGAGGAAAGTAACTTATTCTTTTACTGAGAAAAGGATAAGTTATTTGGGGTGGGGTGGTGGAGGTACAGACAGATAATGAGCTTGTTGGTGTAAAAGTGCATGATGCATTCAGGGAGAGGTGAGAGAAAACTTGCTGGCAGGAGGGAGGTCTTGGGGGCAAGAGGGAGTAGATGAGAGCAGGAAGACGAGAAAGCCAGGGTTGTTTGTGAAGAGTCTGAAGCACCATAGCAGGCAGAGAGAATCTGCAGAGCATCTTCATCCAGGTAGAGGTGGGACTGGGAACAGAACCCACTAGACGAATAATTACTGTGGGAGTTGGGTTCAAGAAGGTGAGGCAGGAGGCAGAGACAACAGTTGGAGGCTTTGTATCCCTCCAGGTGATAGGTGGCTGGGGCAAGGGCAGGTGTAGAGAGGAGTGGCTCTGACGCCATATGGAACAGTTGCCTTCTCCCTCAGCAAGCTGTGGGTAAGTGATCACTGCTGGCTGGGTTAGCTAGGCATTGTGGAGATGGCGTGGCCCTCCAGAAGTTCATGCGTGATGAGGTATCCAGTTGGAATCCAGGGGCAGTCTGTCCTGAGAGCCCTGTCTGCTGTCTGCCCTGCCTCCGGAAAAGTAAAAGCCAAGTCGTAGTCCCCTATGTTTCCTCAGCATCCAGCTTGATTGATGCCTAGTACATTGAAGACAGTTAATAGTTGTTGAAGAAAAGGGGAACAGTGGCTTTGGAATTTAAATCACATGGATATACTTACTTGCTGAGTGGCCTTGCAAGGTTATTTAACTCCTCTGAACCTCACATTCCTTATCTATAAAATAGGGTTATATTTCCAATTAGTGGACAGGCTTCTTAGTAGTTTATACGAACTTTGCAAATTGCAAATTATAGTAATATGAAGTAATAGGCAGAAGGATAAGACAATTAAAGCAAGATAAGATGGGGGTATAAAGTGTTAATGTCATAAACTGGTCAAGGCTAGCCCTGCTTCTAGGCTGAGAGAAAATGAATAGGTAAAGCCAACATAGGGGTTCTAAAGTTGGGCCTAACAATGTGACATCCAGAAAATTTTTCTGGAGGAAGCATCCCACCACTGCTATTGGCAGCCTCCCCATCTCAGTCATCATTGGCTCAGTCATCATTGAAAAACAGGCATTCCCTCACATGACCTTTCACTCCTTGATGTTCCAGAAACTGAAGCCCCATGTGTTCACTGTGGGTGAACAGACCTACAGGAATGTCAAGAGCCTGATTGAACCAGTCAACCAGTCTATTGTTGTCAGTGGAGAGAGTGGTGCTGGAAAGGTAGGAAGACGTCTTTCCCATCCTGTCAACTCACGACTGGCTGGGTGGACAGGGAGGCAGGGGTCATTCCTTGGCCTTCCTTGTGGAGTTGTTTGCTTCCTAATCATTCCCACATAGGCTGGCTGAAGCTGGGGTTGGTGCACAATGGTGGGCTAGCACTGAGCCGGAAGTCAAGAGACAGGATACCAGTCCAGGCTCTACTGCAAGCTCTGCCATCACCCTGGGTGAAATAGGAATGAAGTTTCCTTTCTAAGCCTTATTTTCTCATCGAAAGTGTCTCCCAGCTCTTGACACTACTGGAAACAAAAGTCAGCTGCTGGGGATTCCAGCATAGTGGTTAAGAACACATCAGAAAAGTACGTAGCTTCTGCAAAGCTCTCAGTTCTTCCACTTGTAAAATGGAAGGGAAGGGAGGACCAACACCTGACTCATAGGACTTCTGTGAGAGTTAAATGAGTCACTGTACATATGGCACCTGGTGGCATGCTTGGCATGTGGCAGTGCTCCTCCAAAGTAGCTGGGGTTCTTGTGGGAAAAAGTTTATTGGAGTAAACCACCTGAACCCTCTGGGTTGCGCATGGTGGCAAGGGCAGTATATTGGGCCAGGTGTTGGGGAGGACAGAAGCTCCTGGTATGGCCACGTGGCCTTCTGGGTAGCAAAACCACAACAGGTGAGACAGGATGTTGCATACAGATGAGTGGGGAGTTGCACAGCTAGTCAAAGGAGACTATTGGCCAAGGCCTTGCCACCTTCTTGACAAGCCTCACCCAGCTGCCTCGCCCTTTCCACAACACTTTTACCTTCATGAGGAACTCTTTGGACCATAAACTCCTTCTGCCTTCACTCACATATGAGAATTGCTGAACACTGAGAACTTGCCAGGTTCTAGGCTTCTGGCTGGGCACTGAGGGGTGGCAGGGGGATGAAAAATGCAACATGTAGCTTTCAGGGGGCACTTAGTCTGCTGAGAGACAGATAAGAAAACAAAGACAGTAAGTTGCAGGGATGAGGGCTTGGACTTGGGTTAGGAGGGGATCTCTAGGAGCTATATCAAGGTGGCTAGTGAAGTGGCTTATGCCCAGCTTCTCAACGAAGCCTTGTCCCCCAGAATTGCTCTGGGGAACTGAAGCTGAACCTGGTCCAAGACTCATTCAACCAGAGAGCTAGGTAACCCTTTATTGAGCAGCCACTGTAGCCCTGGGCTGGGCCTGGTATATTTTCAAAAATTTATTTTTAATAAATAGTAATGTAGTTACATAGTTCAAAAAATCAAGCAATACTACAAGGCTTATAAAGAAAAACAGCAAACCTGCTCCTTGTCTTTCAACCTTGTTCCCTGTCTCCAGATGCAGTTACTTGCACATCTTTTATCAGTTTATTTGGGTGTTTACATCCGTATTTTTAAACTACTGCTTATGTTGTTACTGACTTTTTGGTTTTGGACCTTATCTGTTCACTTCCTACTTTGATGAGGATTTAACCCTTATTTCCCTGCCCTCAAAATACATATTCTGTATATAATTATTTCATAATTTCTAATTAAGTTAATAAGCAGTATTTACATGGTTATGGTCATGTGTATATGCATAGCAGAGCCATATAATATACTATATATTCTTGCATAATTTTTATTTTCCCTCTGTTTTCCCTGTTTAATAGTGGTGTACAAAAACTAAACCAGTGAAAAAGTGGGGCAAGTAAAATAAATAATAAATAAATAATTGCCCCATTTTTTCACTTGTTTAGTTTTTATATACCATTATTAACTCATTACCAGACTTGTCACCAAATCTGGAAAACACCTGTCAAACTGGCAAGCAAATCAGCTTCTTTCATTGGAGATACCCTTCCTAGAGCTCTCAGACCATATCTTTTCTTCTGTCTGGATTGGTGCCTGCTGAGGGCTGCTGCCACACAGCTGTTGCATGGAAGCTTCTTTGCTTCTGCACATCCCCAGATTCCCATCTGTCCTAGGATAAATCCCCCATGGCAGGAACCCATAGCGTTCTCTTTATTTTGTTTTTGTTTTTTTTTTTTTTTTTTTGAGACAGGGTTTCTGTTGCCCAGGCTGGAGTGCAGTGGCACAATCTCAGCCCACTGCAGCCTCCGCCTCCCCAGTTCCAATAATTCTCATGCCTCAGCCTCCCGAGTAGCTGGGATTACAGATGCATACCACCACACTCAGCAAAGTTTTTTTTTTTTGTTTTTTGTTTTTTTTTTTGAGACGGAGTCTTGCTCTGTTGCCCAGGCTGGAGTGCAGTGGCACAATCTTGGCTCACTGCAACTTCTGCCTCCCGGGTTCACACCATTCTCCTGCCTCAGCCTCCCGAGTAGCTGGGACTACAGGCGCCCGCCACTACGCCTGGCTAATTTTTTGTATTTTTAGTAGAGACGGGTTTCACTGTGTTAGCCAGGATGGTCTCGATCTCCTGACCTCGTGATCCACTCGCCTCGGCCTCCCAGATTGCTGGGATTACAGGCGTGAGCCATCACGCCTGACCTGCTAAGTTTTATATTTTTAGTAGAGTGGGGTTTCACCAAGTTGGCCAGGCTGGTCTTGAACTCCTGGCCTCAAGTGATCTTCCCGCGTTGGCCTCCCAAAGTGCTGGGTTTACAGGCATGAGCCACCACGCCTAGTCTCCATGGCTTTCTTTTTCTTCATTTACTGCCTTGTTTTGTTTTTATGAACCATATTCTATTTTTTTTTTTCTTTTTTTTGACCAAGTCTCGCACTGTCGCCTAGGCTGGAGTGCAGGTGGTGTGATCTCGGCTCACTGCAACCTCCGCCTCCTGGGTTCAAGCAGTTCTCTGCCTCAGCCTCCTCCCGAGTAGCTGGGATTACAGGCGCCTGCCACCAGGCCCGGCTAATTTTTGTATTTTTAGTAGAGACGGAGTTTCATCATCTTGGCCAGGCTGGTCTTGAACTCCTGACTTCGTGATCCACCTGCCTCGGCCTCCCAAAGTGCTGGGATTACAGGCGTGAGCCACCACGCCCGGCCAAACCATATTCTTTAGTGGTTTCCTGAACAAGGTACCTGGAGGGCAAATTGTTGCACATCTGAAAATGTCTATTCTGCCTCAAATCTGATGGATATTTTGGCTGGGTTTTATAATTCCAGGTTAGAAATAATTTTCTTTCTGAATATAGAGACTTTATTTTCTTTTTTCTTTTTCTTTTCTTTTTTTTTTTTTTTTTTTAAAGACAGTCTTGCTCTGTTGCCAGGCTGGAGTGCAGTGGCACAATCTTGGCTCACTGCAACCTCCGCCTCCCGGGTTCAAGCAATTCTCCTGCCTCAGCTTCCCAAGTAGCTGGAACTACCAGCATGCACCACCACACCCAGCTAATTTTTGTATTTTTAGTAGAGATGGGGTTTCACCATGTTGGCCAAGATGATCTCGATCTCTTGACCTCGTGATCCACCCTCCCCGGCCTCCCAAAGTGCTGGGATTACAGGTATGAGCCACTGTGCCTGGCCGAGGTTTTATTTTCATATATTGCTGTTGAGAGAGCCAGTCCATAATGGTGATTTCTTTTTTCCCCCAAAGGTTTTAGGTATTAAAATTCACAGTGCTGTGTTGTGGTATAGCCTTTCTTCACTTATTATGCTGGGTACTTTGTGTGGGTCTTTTTAACTTGGAAACTCATGTCCTTTTGTTCAGGAAAGTATTTTTGTGTTATATCTAATAATTTCCTCCCCTGTTTTCTCCTTCTGGAACTTCTGTGAGGAAATTTGGTTAGTTGTGTAATCATGTTTTTCTCACCTATCCTCCTTTCTCTTTATTTTTTTAATCTTCTGAGAGATATTCTTTTCTTTACCTTCCAATTCTTTGGAACTTCGAATATTTGTTAAAAATTTTAATTCTACATTCTAGTTTTTTTCTAACATTTATGATATTTGTCATTTCACGTAAAAGAGGCTTATGAAATAATGATCCTAGAGTGTCTGTTCATATTTAAAATAAGGCATTAAACAACTGATTAGAATCTGTGTTTACGTACAAGATTGTCAACCAATGGGGCCTCACTGTAAGTAGCTTTTTAAACTTGTGGGATCCCTGAATGGCCATAACTTTTCCCGTGAGCTTATTGGTGTCTCCAGAAAAGATTCCTCCAGTCTTTCAGCAGATAGGTGGAAACTATAAAGAATCAAATGGAGATGATAAAAATTTAAAACATGATAAATCTTTGGGCATATCAACAGACTAGACATGCAAAAGAATGCATTAGTGAACTTAACTGTTGGTGAATAGAAATTATCCAAATTGAAAAACAAAGAAAATTGCATCCAAGAACTGTAGTACAATATCAAATGGTCTGCCATTGAACAATGCAGAGGTTAGGGGCACCAACTCCCCACGCAATTGAAAATCTGCATATAATTTAACTGCTGATTAACTACTGTTGACTGGAAACCTGACAAATAACATAACAGTCAGTACGTATTTTGTGTGTTATATGTCTTATATACTGTATTCTTCCAATAAAATAAGCTAGAGAAATGAAATTAAGAAAGTCAGAAGGAAGAAATATATTTACTACTTAAGTGAAAGTGGATCCTCATAAAGGTCTTCATCACTGTCATCTTCACTTTGAGTAGGCTGAGGAAGAAGAGGACAGTCTTGCTTGGTCTTGCTGTCTCAGAGGTGGCAGAGGTAGTGGAAGTATAATAGAAGGGGAGGCAGGAGAGATTTATTGAAAAAAAACCCACGTATAAGTGGACCCATGCAATTCAAACACGTGTTTTCAAGGGTCAACTGTACTTGTAATTGGTGTCCTAGGAGTAGAGAGAGGACATGGGTCAAAAGTAATATTTTTACAAAATTAACCAAAGATGGCAAGCACAGATCCAAAAAGCTCAAAAATTGCCAAGTAGAATGAATACAAAGAAAACACATTTAGGCACATTATGGTCAAAGTGCTGAAAACTAAATATAAGAAAAAAATCTTAAGGACCAGGTGCAGTAGTTCACGCCTGTAATCCCAGCACTTTGGGAGGCTGAGGCAGGCAGATCATTTGAGGTCAGGAGTTTGAGACCAGTCTGGGTAACATGGTGAAATCCCGTCTCTATTAAAAATACAAAAAATTAGCAGGGCATGGTGGTAGGTGCCTGAAATCCCAGCTACTTGGGAGCTGAGGTGGGAGAATTGCTTGAACCCAGGAGGAGGAAGTTGTAGTGAGCCAAGATCATGACAGAGTGAAACTCTGTCTCAAAAAAAAGGAAAAAAAGTATCTTAAAGGAAGCCAGGAAAATAAATATTACATAAAAATGAACAAAGATAAGAATGACCATAGGAATCTTGACAAAAACTGTAAGCCCACAGATAAAAGTGACACCTTTAAGGTGCTGAAAGAAAAAAATCTGTCAACTTAGAATTCTGTTATCAGCAAAAATATTTTTCAACAATGAAAGTGAAATAAAGACTTTAAGACAAATAGAAGTTGAGGGAATTCATTGCCTGCAGACTTGCACTGCAAGAAGTGATAAATTCTTTAGTGCAAAAGAATATGAAAACCAGATAAATATTTGGATCTACACAAAGGGGTAAGTTTCAGCATCACAGATGTAAAATCTTTTTTTTTTTTTTGTCTCTTTAGAAGATAATCACTATAAGGCACAAATGGTAACAATGCTTATATGATAGAATGGAATCATTAAAATGCCAAATTTAATCAAAGGCAATAAGAAAAAAGGGAACTAAGATCACATGGGACAATTTAAAAAAATAAGATGGTAGATTTAAACCCAGGCATAGTGACAATTACGATAAATATAAGTGGTCTACTCGTGGATAAGTTCAAACTAAATGGATGGGAAAAAATATAACATCCTAACATTCATAAAGGAAAGCTGAAGTGGTTACATTAGAACAAGCAATGTTGCTAAGGATAAGATGAGACATTTCATAATGATAAATGGGTGAATTCATCAAGAAAACAGTTCTAAACAGGTGTGTACCTAATTACAGTTTCAAAATACATGAAGTAAAATCTGCTCTCATTGAAAGGAAAAATATATAAAATCAAAACTACATTTTGAGGCCAGGCACAATGGTTCACACCTGTAATCCCAGCACTTTGGGAGGCCAAGGCTGATGGATTGCTTAAGTTCAAGACCAGCCTGGGAAATGTGGGGAAAACCCATATCTACAAAAAAATACAAAAATTAGCCAAGCGTGGTGGCTTGTGCCTGTAGTCCCAGTTTACTCACACAGAGCAAGCAAGACTCTGTCTAAAAACAAAAAACAAAAAGATTAAAATGATACAAACTATGTTCCTTGAGCTGAATAGAATTGAATTAGAAATAAACAACAAAGACACCTAGAAAATCCTAAAACATTGGGAAATTAAACAATGCACTTCTAAATATCCTATGGGTAAAAGATAAAATCACAATGATACTATAAAGAAAAAAAATCTATCTATCTGTCTATCTATCTATCTCACTATGCCTGGGTTTAAATCTACCATCTTATTTTTTAAATTGTTCCGTGTGATCTTAGTTCCTTTTTTTATTGCCTTTGATTAAATTCAGCATTTTAATGATGCTATGCTGTCATATAAACATTGTTACCATTTTTGCCTTAGTGATTATCTTCTAAGGAGACATATATATACATACTTTTATATATATATACATACTTTTATGTATATACATATATATACACATACACATATATATATATATATATATATATATTTTTTTTTTTTTTTTTTTTTTTTTTTTTTTTTTTTTTTCCTCTGAGATCCTCTGGCCCAGGCTGGAGTACAGTGGTGTGATCTCAGCTCACTGCAACCTCCACCTCCTGGGTTCAAGTGATTCATTTGCCTCAGCCTTCTGAGTAGCTGGGATTACAGGTGCATGCCACCACACCTGGCTAATTTTTGTATTTTTAGTAGAGACTATGTATTTTTAGTAGAGACGTTATAGTTTCACTATGGTGGCCAGGCTGGTATCAAACTCCTGGCCTCAAGTGATCAGCTCGCCTCAGCTTCCCAAATTGCTGGGATTCCAGGCGTGAGCCACTGTGTCCAGCCTTGTCTGAAATTTCATTACCAAGTCGGTATTAGAAAATATTTTGAACTAATAAATTAAAATGAAAGCACAACATCTTCATTACCTCTTTTTTTTTTTTTTTGAGATAGTTTCGCTATTGTTGCCCAGGCTGGAGTGCAACGGTGCGAGCTCAGCTCACTGCAACCTGCGCCTCCCGGGTTCAAGCGATTCTCCTGCCTCAGTCTCCCTAGTAGCTGGAATTACAGGTGGATGCCATGACACCCAGATAAGTTTTGTATTTTTAGTAGAGACAGGGTTTCACCATGTTGGTCAAGGCTGGTTTTGAACTGCTGAACTCAGGCAATCCACCCACCTCAGCCTCCCAAAGTGCTGGGATTACAGGCGTGAGCCACCGCACCTGGCGTCATTACCTTATTTAATCTTAATTACCTCCCGAAGATCCCTTCTCCAAATGCAGTCACATTGGGAGTGAGGGCTTCAAAATATGAATTTGAGGGGAACACAATTCAGTCTGTGGCATACCTTAAGAAGCTAGAGGGGAACAGAATAAACCCAAAGTATGCAGAAGAAGGGAAAAAGTAAAGATGAATAAAATAGAAAAATTAATGAAATAAAAGACTTTTCTCTGAAAAGATGAATAAAATGATAACTCACTGGGTGCAGTGGCTCACGCCTGTAATCCAGCACTTTGGGAGGCCAAGGTGGGTGGATCACCTGAGGTCAGAAGTTAGAGACCAGCCTGACCAACATGGTGAAAGCCCGTCTCTACTAAAAATACAAAAATTAGCTGGGCATGGTGGCGAGCGCCTGTAGTCCCAGCTCCTCAGGAGGCTGAGGCAGGAGAATCACTTGAACCCCGGAGGCAGAGGTTGCAGTGAGCCGAGATCGTGCCACTGCACTCCATCCTGGGTGACAGCAAGACTTTGCCTCTAAAGAAGACAAACAAACAAAAAAATGATAACTCTCCAGTCAGACTTATAAAAAGAGAAAAAAGATGTAAATCACCAGTATCAGGAATGAAGGAGTAGACATCAATATAGATCTTACAGATTAAGATAATATTTTGAATAACTTTATGCCAAGAAATTATACAATTTAGATGAAATGGAGAAATATTTTGAGAAACGCAAACTGCTGAAGATCACACAAGAAGAAAAAGAACCTGAATAGCCCCTATTTCTGAAAGAAATTGAAGTCATAGTTAAAAGCCCTCCCACAGAGAAAGCTGTAGGCCCTGGTGGCTTCACTTGTGAATTCTACCAAACATTTAAGGAAGAAATGTTACCAGTTCTACATAAAGTCTTTCAGAAGATAGAAATATCTCTGATCCCAAAGAAAAATCTAAAGAATCTACAAAGTAAGTTGCCACCTTACTGCAACTAAAAAGTTGTAGAGCGTTTAGTGAGGTGATAGGATACAAGGTCAATATGTAAAGACAGTGTATTTCTATGTCCTAGCCACAAACAATTAGAAGTTAAAATGAAAGTATACCTCACTTCAGCTGATTAAGAACAAGAGTATGAATTAAAATTAGACTGCTTGGGGCCAGGTGCGGTGGCTCACACCTGTAATCCCACTTTGGGAGGCCAAGGTGGGCAGATTACGAGGTCAGGAGCTCAAGACCAGACTCACCAACATGGTGAAACCCCGTCTTTACTAAAGATGTAAAAAATTAGCCAGGCGTGGTGGCGTGCGCCTGTAATCCTAGCTACTTGGGAGGCTGAGGCAGGAGAATCGCTTGAACTCAGGAGGCAGAGGTTGCAGAGAGTTGAGATTGTGCCATTGCACTCCAGCCTGGGAGGCAAGATGAGACTCCGTCTCGGAAAAAAAAAGTTAGACTGCTTGGGTATAAATGGGAGCCCTGTCATTGAGTAGATGCATGATTTTTAATAAATTTTTAAATTTCTATGCTTTGGTTTTATTGTTTATAAACAATTGTATAATCACACCTTTGCAGAGTTTGCAAAAAAAACATACACAGAAAGCCTCGATAGCTCAGTGTCTGCCACAGAGCTGAGAGAAACAGATGTCTACTCCCATTTTACAAACAGAGGTAGAGGAAGTGCCTTGCCTGAGGCCAGGGTTGAATTCTGCCTTCACCCATTTTGTCAGCAACACACTGGTGGAGAAGAGAGCTCTGGTGGGCACTGTTCTCTCAGGCAGGCTCAGAAGTGGGCGGGAGCATAGATACAGCTCCCACAGGGCTGTTTCTGCCACAGACATGGACGTCTCGCTGCCTAATGAAGTTCTATGCTGTGGTGGCCACCTCACCTGCATCTTGGGAGAGCCACAAGATTGCAGAGAGGATAGAACAGAGGATCCTGAACTCCAACCCTGTCATGGAAGCTTTTGGTGAGCTTGGGCTCCTTTGCACAGTATCTCAGTCCCATTTCCTCTGGGATTTTCCACCTTCCAGGGAGAGGGACAGTGCTTTGAGACCCTCTCTTGGGTGGGGGTGGAGGATGAGTGTATCCTTCACTGCCTCAGATCCCCAACCTCTCCCTGGTACTCCTTAGCATCATTCTAACAGAGGTCATGTCATTCAGTCCTCTTCCTCGCTCCAGCCTAGGCACACATAACAGTCGTGCTGGAGAAGACCTGGTGGCTTAGCTCGTCCAAATTCTGTCTTTCTATCCAGTTTCCTGATGGTTCAATGAAGGGTACTTGTTAAGGGATACAAGGTGATTAGTGTTTGTGTTGGCACTGGAACCCAGATGTGCCTTCCTGTCTAAAGTCAGTAGTGACAGCTGATTGTTTTTGACCTTTCCCTTCAAAGAAAGGTCCCTGACTGCCTAGGCTTGCTCATTCCAATTTCTTGCCAGGAATTTCTTCTAACTCCCCTGAATCCCACTTGCTAAAGCATGAGGGCCCATTTTCTAGTCCTGTCCCCTATGACATGAAAACCAACAAAGGGGCCTTTAGGTGACTTGAGCACGGGAACATGACCTCCAGAGACCTGCAGCCACCTTGGCTTATGAGGACTCTGCAAACCCAGGGGAGTGAAATAAACATAGGTGTGATCTGTAGGGAATGCGTGTACACTGAGGAATAACAACAGCAGTCGCTTTGGGAAGTTCATCCAGCTCCAGCTGAACAGGTAATAGCTGCTGTTGCCCTGGCTAGTGGGAGGATGGGACTGGGGAGGTTGAAAGTGGCTGGGGCAGTATCTGGCCTGGGCCACCCCTATGGGCAAAAACCCTGCTCCTCCTGGTGCATGCCCTTTACCTCAGGTGTGAGCTCTGAGGGTGATCTTTGCACCTGGAGAACTATAGCTCCTCTCCCCTTGGGGAACCCTGGGGCAGTGCGCTTATTCAGGCCTGGGTTCCTCCTGGCTTTTACTCTTGCTCAGGGACTTCAAGCTAAATTGCCACCTCTTTGGACCATATCCCTGAGCTTGAGGCTGAGACTTCGACTCCTGTCTTGGGGTAGAGCAAAGTGATGTGCAGAGGCCTTGGCCCTGCCCACCTGAGCTAGATGCAGGGGAATATTCCAGGACACCCAAGGACATTCTGAGTGGTCCCCACCCCTCAGTGCCCATTGGCTAAGTGGAAGAGCTTGGCGGGGAGTTGCCAGGTAGCAGGCAATCTGGCACACCCAGATTGCCAGACATGGCTATGGAATGAATGGGCAACTAACGGGCTCTGGCCTGTGTGTGTCCCAGGGCTCAGCAAATGACTGGAGCCGCAGTCCAGACCTACCTCCTAGAGAAAACTCGAGTGGCCTGCCAGGCTTCCAGTGAGAGGAACTTCCACATCTTCTATCAGGTTTGTGCCAAATGGGGCCACAGCCCCCCAGATGCGAGACAGGGATGGGTCCGTGTTTTTCAACCCCCCACTCCCCAGAATGCTCCATACCTGGTTCCTTCACCTAGCTTTTGATGGAGCCACCACTTTATCCTGCAGACTTTACATGCAGCACTTCTGCCTCACACTGCGCCTTGGCTCCCAGCACAGTTGTGGCCTGGGAGTATGTTTTACCTCCTCCATCAGACCAGAAGGTCCTTGAGGCTGGGACTGTATCTCTAGGGTGGAAGCCGTGTCACTCTTATCATTTTAAGGGCTCTCCTAGAATGGCATCTGTCGCTAACAGAACAAGGGCTTCCCTAGAGTTGTGCCTTTTCCATCGGACTGGGAGTCCCCCAAGGCATGGATAGGATATCTCCCTTTCTCTCAAAATCGGAGCATCCTTAGGTGATGGGTATGCCTCCCACGTCAAGACGACGGACTCCCTGGGCAGGAGTTGTCCTTTTTTCACCAGACTGCAGGTTTCCCTAGAGCAAGGTTCTTTTGCATCAGGTTGGAGACATCCAGGGCTATGTTTACGGCATCTTTTGCCCCCATACCTGCCGTGGGCTCTCGGAAGGGACCTCTGAGCCTTGTGATGTTGCTACCAACTCTCCTCTTATCCCAACCCCATGCCTGCCTATGCAGGCCTGGGCTTTTCTCAGACCCCCTACCCAGCCTCCCACCTACCCTTCTCCACAGATTTGCAAAGGAGCCAGTGAGGACGAGAGGCTCCAGTGGCACCTTCCTGAGGGAGCTGCCTTCTCCTGGCTGCCCAACCCAGAGAGGAGCTTAGAAGGTAAGGGGAGCCCCATCCAGCACCTTGCGCTGACCCAGCATCACCCACCCACTCTGTACAGAGCCTGCCTCCCTCGCATCTTGCTGCTGCTGACCTCTGCCCCGAACTTGGATTCTTTTTCAGAGGATTGTTTTGAGGTGACCAGAGAGGCCATGCTCCATTTGGGCATTGACACCCCTACCCAGAACAACATCTTTAAGGTCAGAAGAAAAGCCACGCCACTTAAGTTTGGCAGAGATGACGGGCAGCCCTTTGCATAGAGCTTTTCCCTGGACTTGGAGTTGGTCTTTCCCTGAGGATCTAGGACTTTGGGCCCTTCTGTGCTACCTCCAAGGAATCAGTCACCTCTGTTCTGCTGAGTCTGGAGACCAGGTGGTGGGGTGGACGGGGCATAAGGAAGAGTGATGCATACACAGTGCTAGAGTACAGAATGCAGTAAGTGATCCATGGGGGCAGAGAGCAAGGTACCGCATGATCAGAAGAGAGAACTAGTGCTACCGCCTTGCTTGTCTAGTACATTAAAACTTACAAGTCATGTTCACACTTCTCTGCTCACTTAGTTTTTTAAACAGTCCTCTGTGTGTGTTTATTTCCCTTTATGCCTGAGAAAACCAGAGAGGTAAAGTGACGTGCCCAAGGTCAGATACCACTAAGTGGTGATACAGAGTACCAGACATAGTAATTCCAAGTTCCTACCCTCTCTGTCTTCCCCCAACCCGTGCCCCGTCGTCCTCTGGAACATGAGACTGCCCCAGGTGAGCTGGGCTCCTCTCAGTCACACTAGGGGGGCCTCCCTTCTGTCTTTGCTGACAGAGCTGACTACCTCCTCTCATCTTCCTCACCCTCTAGAGCAGCAGGAGGGGATAGATAGGATGGCCTGGCAGTCGAGAAAGGGAGGCCACTTCAGGGAGGTAGCAATGCAGTGGAAAGTGACCCTCACCTCCAGATGGGGGCTGCTCAGACACTGCCAGGTAAGAACTTGACAGAAGGACAGTACCTGGGGACAAGCCCAGGATAAGTGGACAACACTGGGAGTCGGGGCAGGAGTGCTTTGGGGGTGGGCATGACCCTCTGCCACAGCCCTTCTGCCTGGTGGGCATGGCAGTCTTCTGGAGCAAGTTGTGGCCGGAAGACCAGTAGCACATGGAGGCACCCTGCCTGGGACCATATAGGAATGGTGGGTGGGGTCCCTGTGTCAGGTCTGAGGGTGGTGGTTTTTTCTTTTTTTTTTTTTTTTTTGAGATGGAGTTTTACTCTAGTTGCCCAGTCTAGAGTGCAGTGGCACAATCTCAGCTCACTGCAACCTCCTCTTCCCGGGTTCAAGTGATTCTCCTACCTCAGCCTCCGAGTAGCTGGGATTACAGGCATGTGCCACCACACCCAGCTAATTTTGTGTGTGTGTGTGTGTGTGTGTGTGTGTGTGTGTGTGTGTTTATTTTTAGTAGAGATGGAGGTTCACCATATTGGTCAGGCTGGTCTTAAACTTCTGACTTCAAGTGATCCACCTGCCTCAGCCTCCCAGAGTGCTGGAATTACAAGCGTGTGCCACCATGCCTAGCTGGGTCTGAGGGTTTTGAAGTTGCTGGGCCTTGGTGGGGTGAGGGGAGCTTCTGTCTATAGCCCCAGGGGGCTTGTCGGTGTGGAACATTGAGTACAAAGGCAAAGGGGCACCCATCGGACACAGACCAAGGTCACAGTGCCTCCAGCAGGCTGGGCTCTCAGAAGCCTGACAGTGGGAAAGGGCTCAAGGAAGCAGAGACAAGCCTCCAGCAGGCACACAGAAGCAGCCCTGCCCCCAGTCACCAGTCTATTCCTAGAGAGCAGGGGGCAGAAATGTAGAGGATGGGTGGGCATGGAGGCCCACAGGCTGCCCCAGGAGACATCTGAAGTCAGCCTGGGTTCTCATCCCACCTTTCCCCTCAGGAAGCACGTGTCCTCAGTCTCATCTCTATCATAGGCAGTGGCGTAGCACATACCTTACAGGTTGTTGAAAAGTTGCAATGAGGCGATGCATGTAACTTGTATAGAATTGTGTCTGGCAGAGATGGGCACTTGGGCCATGATTGGGAGCTGCCCTTCTGCTGTCGTGATTGTACTCAGCAGAACGGCCCTTCCCAGAGTAGGCCCACGTCACGCCCTCTCCTACTCCCACCCATCCTTTTCTTTCCCCCAGGTCCTAGCTGGACTGCTGCACCTTGGCAATATCCAGTTTGCTGCCTCCGAGGATGAAGCCCAGCCCTGCCAGCCGATGGATGATGCCAAGTGTGAGGGTCAGGGTGTAGGATGGGGCAGGCCCTGTCAGGAAGGTAGCCAGCATTGCTGGGGTTGGGTGGAAGGCTGGATGGTGAAAATTGGAATCTGATGCCCTTGCTTATGCCACCCACCATAGGGCCTGGCCCTGGATCATTTACTCCTCACCCTGTCTGGTGAGGCAGACAGTATCGTCCCCATCTTAAAGATGAGAAAATGAGTCAGAGGTTTGTAAAGTGATTTGTCCCATACATGGCAGCATGGACTGGTACATGAAAGTGCTGGGTTTGAGTTCTGACTGCTGTTTATGGAGTCCTTTGGGTGAGTCACTTCACTGATCAGAACTTAGGTTTCTTCTGTCCAGTTGGGCAAGTCATGGTCCCGCTGTGATGACTTCACAGTGCCTCGTGAAGAGGACTGGATGGAGAGTGATTTGCCTAAAGAGGATTTGCCCCTCCCAGACTCTGTCAGGACGGCAGCCTCGCTGCTGGGGCTCCCAGAGGACGTGCTGCTGGAGATGGTGCAGATTAGAACCATCAGGGCAGGCAGACAGCAGCAGGTGTTCCGGAAGCCCTGCGCCCGAGCCGAGTGTGACACCCGTAGAGACTGCCTGGCCAAACTGATCTATGCGCGGTGAGCAGTTACTCTGGCCCCTTGTTGGGGAGGACCCCGACAAGTGCTCTTCCTGTCCGGGGTTGGGCCAGACAACATCAGGCAATAGGCACAGGCCCAGGGTGGGAGATAAGACAGACTGGTTCCTCTCCCTGCTCCTCAAACCCCTGGACACATCAGGGCACAGCTCCCAGGTTTCACCAAGCAGCGTCTGTGGCCTCTTTCTGAGTGGGAAAGTTGCTACATTCCTGGCCAGAATTCAGCTCATTATTAAAGTTCAGGAGGCTGCTTTAGCCTCAGCAAGGTGAAGAGAACCTGCTCAGCTGTCTGCTGGCAAGGCAGGCCCCAAAGGTGATCTAGAGCCTTCGCAGTTCCTGCTTCAGATCCTTGGCTGAATGGGCCTCTCTGTCTCCCTGTGCCTTTGTACATCACCTAGGAGTTTGATAGATTGTGGTAAAGCCAGAGGCTCAGCCCACAGCATGTAGCACAGTGGTGAAGGTGGGGTCCTGGCCTTTTCTGGTAGATTACGTGGGTACCTCCACCCTCTGGCCATGTGGTTAAGGATGATCTCTCACCTTGAGTTCTGAGATTCTTCAGCAGGCCTTGTAAGGGCTTCAGGGGCCCAGAATCCTCTGAGATGAGCCAGAATGAGTGTATGTGTGTGCATGTGCACATGAGACCTTGGGCACCTTTCTGGGGAGAGGGTCCCCTGCTTTCATAAACTCCACAAAGAGCCAATAGCCTGAGAAGCTCTGCTGGGGGAACCAGATCGTCCGAGTTGAAAATGGTCCAGGGCAGCTGAGGCCAGACTAAATCCATTTCAGCAAGAGACTAGTTACCACTGCCTCAAGCTAATTTCAGGTCACAATTTGAGGTCAAAGGCTTTTAAAGCCTTTGCCTACAAGTCACTCCAAGATGAGCAGATAAAGTGTGATGAACACAGATAGAGTGAGCTTCTGACCACAGGACATTTGCACAGCCCCTGTTGCAAAAAGAGCCAGTTTATTTACTGAAGGGAAAAAAGTTGCAGAGCAATTACTTTAAGAAAAAATGTGAGGAAGAAACCCCTGTATAGTGCTGTACGTGTCAGCGTCTTGTGTGGTAGTCTCATCTTCTCTGGGCTGGGGCCGGTTCTAGAGTGGAGGATGCCATTGTTGACCTCGGGACTGGGGGCCCACTTGTGCAGAACTACATCAGGGGGTATGGTGGGGCCTTGAGCTCTGGGCTCCACCGGTAGAGTTTTGCAGGGGTGTTCAATGAACTCAGTTATTTACAAACCACACCCAGGCCCATCTGCCCCTTCCCAAGACACTAGCTGGGTCTCGAGCCATGTGACTGAGCTCGACTGATTCCCTCCCCAGCCTAGGAGCTGAGCTTGTCCTGTGCTCAGTCTTCCCATAAGGACATGCCAGGTTTGTGTGTACCTGGCAACATGCATGCCCATAGCCTGCATCTGTAGTAGGTCAAGACGTGATAGGCCGGAAGCAAGAGGAGAGGATTTGGTCTTTGACCTGTCAGGCTCAGAATACAAGGGCCCCCCAGGGTGTAGCACCCTGATGGGGGGAGCAATTTTACCACCCCTTTGACTCAGCCAGACCCTCTTACCAGAGTCCACTCTCTTCCCCCAACAGGTTGTTTGACTGGCTGGTATCAGTGATCAACAGCAGCATCTGTGCAGACACCGACTCGTGGACCACTTTCATAGGTAGCAAGGCCTCACTGTGCTGGGAGCACTCCAGAAAAAGAGCAATAAAGCCCTGGATGGAGAGGCAGGAGCCCTGGGTCCACTGTGTGACTCTGGGCAGTTCCTTTCCCTTTTTTGTCTCCTCTTGCATCTGCCTGCCAGCATAGAGCGAGATCTCTGCATAGGGTGAGATCTCTGCTCTCCTGCACCCACATCTGAGCAGTCCATAACTCTCCAGACAGGCTCAACAGTGCCTTGTCTGAAAGAGCCCTTTACCTCCCCAGAGACCCAGCTCTAATTGTGGGAGAGTAGTGGGGGTTGGGGAAAATAGCTGTATTAGAAGGGACTTTGGAGGCTGGCACCGTGGCTCACACCTGTAATCCCAACATTTTGGGAGGCCAAAGTGGGAGGATCACTGGAGGCCAGGAGTTGGAGACCAGCCTGGGCAATATAGCAAGACCCCATTTCAAAGAAATTAGCCAGGCATGGTGCTACATGCCTGTAGTCCCAGCTACTCAGGAGACCGAGGTGGGAGGATCACTTTAGCCCAAGAGTTTGAAGCTTCTGTGAGCTGTGATCACACCACTGCACTCCAGCCTGGTCAACAGAGCAAGACCCTATCTCAGGGGGGAGAACAAAAAAAGACTTGGGGGACATGACTGAGGGAGGTCAACACGGTTGTAACTAGGTGGGACAGTCAGTTATAGGAGGAAATAAAGCTTAAAGGTACAAGTGCAGTTTGCTCATGGAATGGTGGAATTCTAGGCACCAAATTGGCTAGTGAGACTAATGCCCTCCGAACTAGATTTAACACAGAAAATGTTCCCTGGGACCTGGTTTCCTCATAGGAGGTGCCTATCAGAACCAGAGAATTCAGACTCAAAAATGGGCCTGATGCTCTGGGCTGTCTTCACACTTCATTTGGGTTTCCTGCTTGCTCTGAGCTCTACAGGGGAATGGGGTAGAGATGGGAGCCACCTTGGGTGGAGGGTGGGGAAGGTATGTTCTGCCCACCACAGGTGTCATGCTCACTCAGCCTGATGCCCAGGCTGCCAAGTATAAGGCATTGGCAGGGGCCCAGCCACCCTGGGTTCCTTGGTCCCCTATTCCCCATCTGCTCCCTGCAGTGGCCCCATGGGTTCTCTGCCATCTTCCCAGGCCTGCTGGATGTGTATGGATTTGAATCATTTCCTGACAACAGTCTGGAACAGTTGTGCATCAACTACGCCAATGAGAAGCTGCAGCAGCATTTTGTGGCTCACTACCTAAGGGCCCAGCAGGTGAGGGATGGGGTGAGCAGGAGGCAGGTCCTTCTTTTGGATCCTCAATCCCTTCCTGACCTTCCAGCCCCAGTCCAGGTTCTGATTAGAAGCCTTTTGTTCCTTCTTATTTTATTTTTAATTGACAAATAATAATTGCACATATGGAGTACAATGTAATGTTTTGATATACTTTTGTTTCTTTGATGCTGTTCTGGAATACGCTGTGGTACCGAGGCCAGCCGTGGATGGCCCGTCAGGACATCAGACCACAGCTGCCTTCTCCCACCTCATCCCACCTTGTTCTTTAGGAGGAATACGCAGTTGAGGGCCTGGAGTGGTCATTCATCAACTACCAGGACAACCAGCCCTGTTTGGATCTCATTGAGGGAAGCCCCATCAGCATCTGCTCCCTCATAAATGAGGTGGGGAGGTCAGCTAATGAGCCGAGCACCAGAGTTGGCCTTTGGGTTTTCTGGGGCCTTGATGATTATCCTGTTTCCTCTCTGTGCCTCTCTCCTCCCAGTCTGCCAAATAGATCTGCTAATTGCTATATTTTTTCTGTTGGGGACACTATGATGCCTGTGTGATGTCTGCTGTCATGGGGTCCACAGGGTGGGGACAGTGAGGGTTGTGGTGAGACACTCTCATGTTGGTGGCTGACCCCCTGTTCCCATCCCACAGGAATGCCGCCTCAATCGACCCAGCAGCGCAGCCCAGCTCCAGACACGCATTGAGACTGCCCTGGCAGGCAGCCCCTGCCTGGGCCACAATAAGCTCAGCCGGGAGCCCAGCTTCATTGTGGTGCATTATGCGGGGCCTGTGCGGTACCACACAGCAGGCCTGGTGGAGAAGAACAAGGTACGGGCTGGGCCATGCCCTGTGGGGCCTGCGAGAAACGAGATGCTGGGTCTTTGCTATGCAGACATAGTAGTTTCCCATCGTGAGTCCTTTCTCTCCTGAACCTCCTCCCAGAATCCAGAATCACCATCTTGGGCCCACCTGTCTGAGGTCTCCACTAATCAAGCATGACCTGCCTGGAGATAACCCATGTTAGACTGGGTCTCCAGGTCTCTGGTTGTCCAATGGACCTTCTCTTGGACTCAGGCCCTGTCCTACCTGGAAGCCCCGTCATCTGCGGCTTGGGTGGGCAGTGGATGGCCCTGAGCAGAAGCTCCACCTGCCCTCACTGCTGCTCTTGCCATTTCCCAATAGGACCCTATCCCACCTGAGCTGACCAGGCTCCTGCAGCAATCCCAGGACCCCCTGCTCATGGGGCTGTTTCCTACTAACCCCAAAGAGAAGACCCAGGAGGAACCCCCTGGCCAGAGCAGGGCCCCTGTGTTGACCGTGGTGTCCAAGTTCAAGGTGGGTCTGATGTGCTGATGGGAGGTGCTTGGTTCAAACTCCACGGTCTCACAAATATTTATTGAGCACCTGCCGGGATCGGTGCTGTTTGTTGGGGAGCAGTGGCAAGTCAAGTAGATGTGGTCCCAGTCCCCTGGAGTTTATACTTCAGTGTGGAAGACAGAAACAGTAGACAAATAGGCTATCAGGTATAATATGATGGGAAGTCTAGGGGCCTATGGGGGCACTATGCAGCCTCTCACCCCCTGCCACTGGGGTGCTCATGGGAAGAGGATCAGCTACATGAGCTTCTTTGACCTGGCTCATCTCCAGCTGTCTAGCTTCCTGTTCTAACCCTACCCTCACTCACTTCTCTCACATCGTCTGCTTTCTACCACCTCTCAGTCCTTGCATGTACCGCCCCACCTTCCTGGGATACTCTTGACTACTGCCCCATCAGCTCCACCTCACTCCCATCCTCCACGCCCCTTTTCCTAGTTTAGTCCTTCTCATCCTTCAGACTTTAGCTTTATCACCACCACCTCGAGGAGGCACCTGGAAAACCAGGTTTGATTAGCACCTTCCTACCCAGCCTCAAACACACCCCCGAGGGTGTTCATCCAACATGTGTGGCCCATTGGAGTGAGCTCTGACATGGCAGCAGGCAGCCTGTGGCACAGCCTCCAACACACAGGATGAGCTGAGTGATAACAGTTGTTGCTGGACGAATGGCAAGAAGTTTTGAGATTGTTCTTTTCTAAGAAGATTGCTCTGGGGAGAAGTGGGGAGGGGAAAGAGGAGGAGATTGGATTCAGGGAGAACAGTCAGGGAGGATCACAGGTTTAGAAGGGTCCCTTAAGACAGAGGTGAGGAGCATGGGAAGTTGGGAGAGGAATGTGCTCTGAGCCTGCTCGTTGAGAGCCTGCAGCAGTCATCCCTGCACAGGAGATTCTTGGTCTCAGGATCATGGAAGGGCCCGCTGGAGGCATTTGATGTAGTTACTAACCAGAGCCCAGTTGATGGCCCTGGGCAGCCCCTCTCCCTGCCTAACCCCATGGTCTCTCATCTGCAGGCCTCACTGGAGCAGCTTCTGCAGGTCCTACACAGCACCACGCCCCACTACATTCGCTGCATCAAGCCCAACAGCCAGGGCCAGGCGCAGACCTTTCTCCAAGAGGAGGTAATTAACACCGGGCCAAAGCTGCTTCGCACCAAACCCCATCTGGCCAAGGCCCTGGAGAGATGAAGGGCAGGACATCTGTTCCAAATGGAGTGCACAGAAGTGGTCTCTCCGGCCAGGCCTGACATGAGAGAGGACCCATCTCCCTTGCTGTGGCAGGGCAGGCATGTATGGTTGTGTGGTCTGTGCATAGTAGCCTAGCCAGGGAGGCAAGTTCCAGTGCATCTTGTTTTTTTGAGCCATGTACCCTGATGAGAGACTGAAACTGCCCAGAGGAATGGGTGTCTCGTGATTAGCTGAAAGTCTACATCACCACACAGTCCCCGCACAGTGCAGCCATTTCTCACTGGAGGTATCATTTTTTTCTTTTTTTTTTTTTTTTTTGAGACTGAGCCTCACTCTGTCACCCAGGCTGGAGTGCAGTGGTGCAATCTCAGCTCACTGCAACTTCCGCCTCCCGAGTTCAAGTGATTCTCCTGCCTCAGTCTCCCAAATAGCTGGAATTACAGGTATGCACCACCACACCTGGCTAATTTTTGTATTTTTAGTAGAGATGGAGTTTCACCATGTTAGCCAGGCTGGTCTCAAACTCCTGACCTCAGGTGATCTGCCCACCTCAGCCTCCCAAAGTGCTGGGATTACAGGCATGAGCAGCCACTGCACTCAGCCGGTATCATTTTTTTCTAATCTAACAAAAGCACTCTAGCCAGCAGCTGCCCTTTTCTTGGGATTCCAGGTTCTGAGGGATGTGGATGAGGGGTGAATGCTGGGCACTGCTGAAGGTGTGGCCTGGTAGATGTGGCCTTCCGGTTTGTAGCCAGGACAACTCAGCTCTGTGGTAAAGACCTGGGTTCAGGTCACAGAAGAATCTTCATAGTATAATCTTCCCTGCCTCTCAGCTGTGAACCACCCTCTAATGCCTGCAGACAGTGAAAACAATCCAAACTGGAAATTTGCCTGGGCTGGGTTGTGTGGTAGTGAGACTACACTGAGGGCAGGGTGAGACGGAGCCAGGACATCACTTGCTTCAGCTGTATCAGAAGCCATGCGTCGGATGAGGGGGACTTGGGACCACCAGGACCCTTTCTAGTGGGAGATTTGTTTTCAAGGTCCCTCGATTTCTCACAGCCCCAAGGAGATACCCCCATTAGCCAAGCCTTGGGAGAGCCTGCAGCTTGGCACTGGCCAGGGTCTAAGAAGAAGGGCTGAGAGAATGGCATTTCTGGCCTGCTGGCCCCATGCTGCAGGTGCCTGCCCTGTCTCCCCACCCTTGCAGGTCCTGAGCCAGCTGGAGGCCTGTGGCCTCGTGGAGACCATCCATATCAGTGCTGCTGGCTTCCCCATCCGGTGAGTGGGCTCGATCACGGCACAGTGCAGGGCCAGTACAGAGTGGGGCTCAGGACTCTCATTGGGCAAGAGCCTGCCCAACCCAGAGTGAGATGTGGAAATGAAGAGAAAGAGGCTGGTCTGTAGAAGTCAGCTGGGAACTAGGGAGCAGCACCCATTCGTTCATCCATTCACTTATTGTGCACTATTTTGTACCCAGCTGATGGCTGTGACAAAAGCCACACTGGTACAATGTTGGGGACAGAAGCCAGACTCAGGAGGGCTGACAAGCAATTGGGAGGAAGTGCAGATATCAGGTGCCAGCAGCTGTCTGAGAAGTGTTGCCTTGATGAGGAGCAGGGAGATCTGGGGGAGGCAGAGGAGACTGTGGGGTCAGAGAGGTCAGAGGGGAGATGTGGCCAAGCATGTCTGCGTCATAGGACTGGTCCAATTGTTTGGGGAGAGGCCTGTCAGCCCCTTTGGAGGGAGGCAGCCCGCAAATCCCCTGCTAACACAAGAGATGCTTTGTGTTGGTAGACCAAGGCAGCAGGGAGAGCAGACCCATTTTAAATAGTCTTTATGGGTTTCCAACTAAGTGATCCTAGAAATCGCTTCAAAACCACATTCACATTCAGTGGGGATACTCGGGGAGGGCAGCACCGTGCTGTGTTGTTGAGCAGATTAAATAGAATAACTTCTGATGAGCCCTGAACCGTTAACCTGGCTCACAGATGAAGTAATTCTCTACTTCTGCCTGCTTTGGCCTCCAGGGTCTCTCACCGAAACTTTGTAGAACGATACAAGTTACTAAGAAGGCTTCATCCTTGCACATCCTCTGGCCCCGACAGCCCATATCCTGCCAAAGGGCTCCCTGGTGAGTGGGACCCATGAGTTAGTCATTTGTGCAACCACAGTTTACTGAGCATCTACCCTGTGCCCTGTCTTAGGGCTAGGGGCTGGGGCTTACTGGTGAATAAAACACAGCCCTGGTTTTGGTTCAGTGGGGGAAACAGATTCAAAAAAGACAAATAGCATGGAAAGTGGAAAAGCAGAGCTATGAGCAGGATGCTGTGGGTGGTGCTAGGGAGGTGTGAATTGGGGAAGGCTTCCTGGAAGAGGTAGTATCTGAGAATAAATTGGATTAGCCAGGTGATGGGTGGTCCACATGATAAATGTAATCTGAACAAAGGCCTAGAGGCTTGAGGCAGCAGTGTGGGTATGAGGAACTCCAGCCAGTTCTGTGTTGCTGGTTCATTGAGGCAGAGAACTGGGGCAGGTGAGGCTGGAGTGGCAGGTAGGGCTCCATCAAGGAATCTGGACTTTATTCTCTGGGCAGATGAGCAGGCACTGCAGGGGAAGGAGCAAATGACTCTTATCAGCCTCACACTTTCTGGAGACCACTCTGGGGGCACCATGGAGGGCTGTGGGATTGAGGCTGCAAAGTTGCCCCAATAGAGAGAAACAAGAATTGTGGGCACAGTCGGGAAATATTTGTTGGAAGAAACTGGTCAGTCTTGGTAGGGGCTTGACTAGATGTAGAGGGAGAGGAAAGGAGTAAATTAACTTAGCCTGGGAAGTGAGGAAAAGCAAGAGGAAAAGAGGTTCAGGGAGGCTGAAGAGCCCGGGCATGGGTGACTTGTCCTGCAGGTCCAGTGAAGAAGTCTGCAAGGCACTTAGGCAGGCTTTAGTCTCAAAGGAAGGATCTGGAGGCCCTCATATGGGGGTTGTCGGCATGCAGATAAAAGAGAGGCTGTGGGAGCCACAGGGCCCAGACACAGGCAGAGGGAGAACAGGCCAAGGACAGGCTGCCGGGGGGCCCCGCCTCGGCAGGACCCCAGCCCAGCACCTCTGCCCCTCCCACCCAGCCTTACCCTGGGCCCCTCACAGCCATTGGGGCAATCCTGCTTTGTTTCCTCCCCTCCTGGGCAGTTTTCACTTTCCTTTCACCCTTTCTCCTTTCTTCTCCCTCTCCATGGTTTGCTGTCCTGTTCCGTGTCTCTTGCCCATAGCCCTTCTGGCCCCTGGTTGATTTTGCTGCTGTTTCTCATCTGTGGTGTCTCCTTTGGCAGCCTCTGTCTTCAGAGAGGCACTGGGCATCTAAGGTGGTCAGAGCCCTCAGGTAAATCCTACCTCTCCAGGAGTCAGCTCTGCGAGCTGCGGGAGGGCAGGCAGTGGGACACGGGACCTTTGCAGGGCTGGGATTTTTTAAATTTATTTTTTAATTTATTCTTTTTATTTGCAGTAGAAGATTCCCAAACTAAGGGCTGGGATTGGATCTCCCTTTTCCCATACATGGTGGGGAGTTGAGGGGTCGGGGCTGAGGGAGTGGCCTATAGCTGCCCTATTTGGCCCTCAGGATGTGTGTTTGGGCCTTGGAAACAAATGCTGGCTGAGCAGCCTGGGATTCCAAGCTTGGAAGGAGTCACCCTTCCAGGTGTCAAGCACCCTCTGCCAGCCTGCCCAAAGGGACTCATGGCAGTAGAGGCTGTGGGACACCCCAGGACACACAGGCGCAAGTGGGTATTCCAAGGCTCCACGGAACAGCTAGCACCCTGAGGGACAACAGAGAGGCTGTTTGTGGCTTCCTCCAAAAGAAGAACAAGGAGAAAATGGCTAGAGCCAAGAACAGCAGGAAAGAGACCTGTAGAGTGCTAGGGAGGCCAAAGCCAGTTTCTTCAGGCCACAGAGGCATGTAGAGATGACCATGCACTGATGGGGCCATCTCCCTCCCCCAGAATGGTGTCCACACAGCGAGGAAGCCACGCTTGAACCTCTCATCCAGGACATTCTCCACACTCTGCCGGTCCTAACTCAGGCAGCAGCCATAACTGGTGACTCGGCTGAGGCCATGCCAGCCCCCATGCACTGTGGCAGGACCAAGGTGTTCATGACTGACTCTATGGTGAGCTGGTTTGGGGATGAGGAGGTTACAGAGGCAAGCTGTGTGCTCTCCTCAGCAGGAGGGGGCAGGGGGAGAAGAGGCTGCCCTCAATGGATGCCTTTTCTCCCAGCTGGAGCTTCTGGAATGTGGGCGTGCCCGGGTGCTGGAGCAGTGTGCCCGCTGCATCCAGGGTGGCTGGAGGCGACACCGGCACCGAGAGCAGGAGCGGCAGTGGCGGGCCGTCATGCTCATCCAGGCAGGTAGGTGGGCAGGTCACCTGTCAGCACTGCTCACAGACCCCACAGGATGTTGGTTTCCTTTGAAACATAGCTCGTCGAGTCCCCATCTCCTGAAGCTGTGTCCCAGCCTGAAGAGATGTCCCTGTGGTGTGCTGGGATTCAAATTCCCTGTCCCCCTCACTCATAACGTCTCTCCAGTTCAATGGAAACCAAGTCACTCCACAAACAAAGGTGCTCTGTAAGAAGTGGAGGCTAAGCGTTGTCTAAGCGTTGTCTTTAATTCCTTTCTCAGACCCTGACAGCTGTTTAGGCCAACTTTTTTTCCCTTTATGACAACTCAAACCATTACCTGCTGGGCTCTAGGGCTGGAATGAATTTAAGGAGAAGGTAAAAACCAAAAGGAGTTCATCAGATGAAAAGATGTATTAACCAACATGTTCATAGTGGTCTTATTTTGAAAAGGAAAAGTGTTGGAAAGAACCCAAATATCTAACAGTGGTGACATCATGGCCAAATGATGGACTGGACCATCCCTATGATGCAGCTAAGTGTTTTTGAAGAATATTATAAATTTAATGGAGAACCACTTCCAAAATGATATTCATACCTAGATGTCAAACTACATATTAAGGGCGATGCCCTCCTTTTAAGGTGTGTTTGTGTGTGTGTAGGCATTAAAAAATTGTATAAGGAAGCTGGGCACAGTAGTTCGCTCCTGTAATCCCAGCATTTTGGGAGGCTGAGGTGGGAGGATCACTTGAGCCCAGGAATTTCATACCAGCCGGGCAACATGGCAAAACCCTTTCTCTACTAAAAATACAAAAATTAGCCAAGTGTGGTAGTATGCACCTATAATCCTAGCTACTCAGGAGGCTGAGGCAGGAGAATCACCTCAACCCAGGAGGCAGAGGTTGCAGTGAGCTGAGATTGCACCATTACACTCCAGCCTGGGTGACAGAGCAAGACTCTGTCTCAAAAAAAAAAAAAACAACAAAACATAATTAACCGTGCCTGGTGGCACATGCCTGTAGTCCCAGTTACTCCAGAGGCTGAGGCAAGAGGATTGCTTGAGCCTGGGAGATTGAAGCTACAGCCTTACGGAGGCTACAATAAGCTGTTCGTGCCACTGCACTCCAGCCTGGGCAAGACCCTGTCTCAAAAAAAAAAAAAAAAAAAAAAAAAAAAAGAAACAAAAAGAAAAAGAATATGCTGAAATTGCAGAGAAGGGAATAAAAATTACCACCATCTATTAATTGTATCAGTGTTTGGGTATATGGTGATGTGAGATCAGGGATGCATAAAGCGAACAAATTCAACTGAGGATTAAAAACAAAACAAAAAAAAAAGTTTTTAAAGGCACAGACAATCCAGACCCCTCCCATTCCCTGGGTGCTGACCTGGACCCAGCCTGAGACGGGAAGTGATTGCTGGGCCCTCAGCCAGTCCTTCTCCCCAGTGCCCCTTCACTGTGTTGTGTAGGTGTATTCAAGTGTGTGGGCAGTGTAAGGAATGTTTAAAAGCCAATTTTGCCTTATGTATTGATTTTAGAACCTTATTTGTAGCAATTTATTGAAAAAAAAAAAACGTATTTGAAACTTTGACAGCAACTGTGGTGCTGCTGCAGCGAGGTCACTGACAGCTCTAATGGCCCCTTTATTATCTCTTTCCTGTTTCTGGGCAAACCTCTTAGCCATTCGTTCCTGGTTAACTCGGAAACACATCCAGAGGCTGCATGCAGCTGCCACAGTCATCAAGCGTGCATGGCAGAAGTGGAGAGTAAGTAAGACCCAAGAAGTCGGGGTGGGCAGTGGATCAATTTTGGGGACCAGATGGACCCGAGTGGGAATGCTGGCTCTGCCACTGCAATGCAGGTGGCCTTGGGCAGGTTGTTTAGCCTCTCTGAGCCTCATATTCCTCATGTATGCAGTGGGCACAGTAACACCTACCCTGCAGGGTGGTTATGTAGGTGAAGAGTGGTATAAGCAACTCTGGGAATATACCAAACTCTGGGATGTACACTTTAGAAGACTGGGTTTTATGGCATATCAGTTATATCTTGATGGACTCTTATCTTGTTTTCAAGTAGCATATGTAAGGCCTAAGCACAGTTGCCTGGGGTGTATAGACTTGTGGCATATGGAACCAGTTTGGTTCAGGGCAGCCAGCTGTTTGCAACCAGGTGCCTTCAGTTCACCTTGTTAAGATGATTTGTTAAAGATAGTTTTGATTTCCATTTTCTGCTAAGAGGGCTAGATAAATCTAAAGCTATAAAGGGATATTTGCTTTTTAAGATCAGAATGGCCTGCCTTGCTGCTAAAGAGCTGGATGGTGTGGAAGAAAAACACTTCTCTCAAGCTCCCTGTTCCCTGAGCACCTCGCCGCTGCAGACCAGGCTCCTGGAGGCAATAATCCGCCTCTGGCCCCTGGGACTGGTCCTGGCCAATACGGCTATGGGTGTAGGCAGCTTTCAGAGGAAATTAGTGGTCTGGGCTTGCCTCCAGCTCCCCAGGGGCAGCCCCAGTAGCTACACTGTCCAGACAGCACAAGACCAGGCTGGTGTCACGTCCATCCGAGCGCTGCCTCAGGTACGTTGTGTGTGATGGCCATGACAGCTTTGTTCCTGAGAACAGCAGGAGCAAAGCCTACAAGTTCACAGCGGGAATGAGACTGAGGCTGGGACAAGATCCATCCCTAACCCTACTGGGTAAACCAGAGGGCTGCATGTCCCAATCAGCTGCAGGTTTGGATTATTTATTTTGTTATAACTGGGAATCTTCCAGAGCCCTTTATCTTTTTAAAAACTGCTTCTAATTATTTCAGCATCTCTAAATCTTCTAGTCCCATTTCCAAATGCAATGCTGCGTTTCTAGCAAGCTCCCAGCTGATTCTGATGCTCCATGAACCACACTGTGAGAACCAAGGCTTTAGATGAGTCAGGAGCAGGAGGTGATGAAAGTTTAGCTTAGGGCCTGGAGCGGTGGCTCACGCCTATAATCCCAGTACTTTGGGAAGTCGAGGCGGGTGTATCACCTGAGGTCAGGAGTTCAAGACCAGCCTGGCCAACATGGCGAAACCCCATCTCTACTAAAAATACAAAAATTGGTTGGGCGTAGTGGCAGGCGCCTGTAGTCCCAGCTGCTCGGGAGGCTGAGGCATGAGAATTGCTTGAATCTGGGAGGGAGAGGTTGCAGTGAGCCGAGATTGCGCCGCTGCACTCCAGCCTGGGTGACAGGACGAGAGTCCATCTAAAAAAAAAAAAAAGTTTGGTTTAGGGTAATAATAGGTCAATTACAGAAAAGAGGAAAAATTCACGAGACATAGCAAAAAAGAAACTACCCAAGACTTGAGAGCAAATAATCTAATTAGTCCCACATCACAACTTGGGTTGTGAGGAGTTTGTTACCTCAAATGGCACTGGATTTGGCACCATGTTTTCCCCAAATTGTATTGCTTGGTTTTTTCCTTTTCTGGCTGACGAAATGACAAGCAGGGTCAGTGGTCCAAGTTCTCTGTGGGTTTTTTTTTTTTTTCATGTTATTTAATTTTTTGAGACGGAGTCTCACTCTGTCGCCCAGGATGGAATGCAGTGGGTTTAAGCGATTCTCCTGCCTCAGCCTCCCGAATAGCTGGGACTACAGGGCATGTGCCACCATGCCTGGCTATATTTTTTTTTTTGTATTTTTAATAGAGACGGGGTTTCGCCATATTGGCCAGGCTGGTCTCAAACTCCTGACCTCAAGTGGTCTGCCTGCCTTGCCCTCCCAAAGTGCTGGGATTACAGGTGTGAGCCACCGTGCCCAGCTGTTTTTATATAAGCATCCAGGGAAAAGTCAGCCAGCACACTCAGGAAGTCATTGTCACTCAGGGCTTTGTGAGTCACCCCAGTAAGCCAGGCCTCATAGAATTAAAGTGGCCGAGGAAAGGTGAAAGTATGTTGCACTGGGAGGTAGAACCCCAGGGTCTGGATCCTGGTTCTGCCCCATTCACTGGATGATCTTGGCTAAGACACATTTTCTCGGAGCCTGTCTATAAAATGGGCTAATACTCAACCTACTGCATGGAGTCACAGCAAGGAGTAAGTGAAATGACAAGGCAGAAGGAAACACCAAATTTCCATTCAGAGGAATAACTATAGGCCTTAATCTGGATGAAGTCTCCCATGAAAACACACAGGCCTGCTAAACAGAAGGGTAAATGTTTTGCCCTTCTGGCTTTAAGCAGTCATAGGAATGTGACAGACATTCCTCTTAGGGAGCGCCTCCTCCTAGGGTTTCCTCATCTGTCTCACACTGAGTGGATGTAATGCTATTTTAATCCTGCTGTGGCCCCCAATACTAGTACTTGTCCATACCTTCTTGCATTTTTAGCGTCTGCTCTGTGGGGTTGTTAGGCCCTGGCACTCCCAGGAACTAGTGCTAAAGCTGCATCTCTCTCTCCCCTCTAGGGATCGATAAAGTTTCACTGCAGAAAGTCTCCACTGCGGTATGCTGACATCTGCCCTGAACCTTCACCCTACAGCATTACAGGCTTTAATCAGATTCTGCTGGAAAGACACAGGCTGATCCACGTGACCTCTTCTGCCTTCACTGGGCTGGGGTGATCCTTGGTGCCTTTGTTTCCACAAGGCCTTTTCCTGCCCCCTGCCTTGCCAAAGACATTTAATCAGCACACAGCTGCCAGACTATTCCCACAGTGCTCCAAATGCACATGAACAACAGTGACGGCTCCAGCCTTCGACCCAGAGCCCCGTGCCCAGTGCGTCAGTGGGCCTGGGGTTCCAGGCTACATCAAGCACTGATGGTGTCAGGGCTGGTAGTTACCAAATCAGGGTTAAGAAACATCAGGGCCACATTTCACTACCTTCACAGATCAAACTCAGCAGCAGTCATGACTGTCTGTCACTACACTGGGGATCCCAATTCCACATAAGCACTTTTGGAAGAAAACAGCCAAAGTTGGCCTAAAATTGGCGCTGGAATTTGGGCTGGGAAAAATCTTGTGGTTATTTCCTTTAAAAAGGAACAAAACTTTAGTATTTAATTAGTTGATTTATTTAATGTAATTTCAAACAATTAAATTATGAATAATGCAATGTACAGTAGAATCACGTTTTGATTTTATTAACACTGACCAAGTTTAACTCCATATGAAGTGTAAGCTTGATATCGTTTATGATGTCTATCAACTGTACCAAAAGTAAAACATTTAAAAACAATCATCTGAATGTCAAGTTTTCTCTCCATAAAGGACTTGCCACCTTAAGGACCCCAAGTCTGCCTGAAACATGAGCCACATCAATGCCGGTAAAGGCCTGCATGACCTAATCTGCATCCTGGAAACCTCTTTTGCCTGAGCTCCCCAGCCCCAAACTAGCTGGTCTGGGAGAGGGAGCAGGCAGGTTCCAGGAGTCAAGCACACGCTTGAGCAAGCAGCACAATAATCCATCTTAAGACTCCTCATTCTGGGATGGCTCCACAATTCCTAAACAGCAGTCTGCAAACTCCACAAACAAAGGCTCTTGCATGTAAGCTCTCATGAGCTTTGCTTTGTCTTCTCCCTGATCGAGGTTGACCATCAACTGCCTGAGGTGTGGATTGAGCAATAAGCTTCTTAATGTTGCAGATTCCCCTAAAAATTAACAAGAAAAAAAGCCAGTCTGAGTTCAAGTGGAAACACATGGAGATGGCTGAAAAGTGAAGAGCTATTTCAAGTGTAATAAAACTATCAGCAAGGTGTGGTGGCTCATGCCTGTAATACCAGCAACTGGGGAGGTCAAGGTGGGCAGATTGCTTGAGCTCAGGAGTTCAAGACCAGCCTGTGCAACATGGCGAGACCCCACCTCTATAAAATGAAAGGTAAGACCAGCATATCAAACTATTTCCGCATTAAATGCAGTAACAGATACCAGTTCTTGGTATCTTTGTAAATATTGTAACTTCGTGCCACTTCAGCTAAGAAAAAAATGCTTTATCAGCACAATCACAAAGCAAATAGTAGCATTAAGCTGCTGGCATGTTTTCTTTCTTTCTAGCCATAAAAGTTGCCAGTGGTGAAGACGGCTATACGAAATAATCTGAATGATGTCTAAGCATGCCATTTGGCATGCAGCAGCACCAGTAGCAGGGAACCAACAATAATACCTGCATGGTACTTCACAGTCTGTAAAATTTTTCACACCTATTACTAGCTCATCTCCAAACTCAGTCTAACTAATCATTACCATGAGACTAAGTGCAAAACATAACCTTTTAACATGATTCTGTGAAATGGGAAGAATGAAATTAACAGACCCCATGCACATGTAACAGAATGTTGTAAGGACTGAATAAGCAGTGCTACAAAAATGGCAACACCTGTTTCCCCCTAAATCAAATCATGTGATAACCAGTTTGTGTTAAGGGCTGGACTGTGAGCTGAGCACTGGGGATCTGGGAATACAGGTCCCTGCTGTACAAATCGGTATGTGAGAGACAAATTACCATGAAATGTAACAGTGATTTATTACTATTAAGTCCAAGTTGCTATGGGAAACCAAAAAAGTGCCTAATTCTGAAAGAGACACAAAAGGTCAAGAAAAGCTTAGCTGAGTGAAGAAAACTTGAACCAAGGCTTGAAGGAGGAGCAGAATTTTGCCAACCCACAAGACCAGCAGGATTCCAGGCAGAAGGAATGGTGTGGGCAGGCTGGGAGGTGTGAAACCCTGTATGTTTACAGATTATGTGGCTAGATAGTAAGAGCCCTACATGCCATACTTATTCAAGAAATTAAAAACTTTTTAAAAAATCACAATCCTTACAACACAGTAAATGTATCTCAACGATTGACAAGCATAGCACAGACTTACCTAAATTCTTTAAATTCTGCAAAGAAACTCTGTCTTCTTCCTCATCACTATTGAGAAAATCAGCTATAGAGTCATCATCATCTAAGGAATACAAAACAGTCAATGGCTCATGGCTAAAAAGGAGGCCTGGGCACCAGATTTTAACCACTACTTGAACAGGATAAAAATGTGTGCACGCACATGTGATAGTGATAGGGGTATTCAAGCAGGTACAGACAAAAATCCTCTTCTCCGGAGTCTGTGACTATACTAACACTCCTTTTTTAGAAGAGGGAGGCTAAGTGAAAGAATTGGTGATTTTAACAAATGCACTCTAGTGTTCACATCCTTACTGTATATGTGGTCCTGTGGTCTTTAGGCTTAGACCCCGGTTGTCTAATAACTTAATACCCATCCCCACCTCAACATGGCTCCAACCCTGTGATGGGCCAATTAACTGGATGCTCTGTAAAAACCAGCCAAGTAGAATCTCCTGTGCTTTCAGCATGGGCAGAAACTGCTGGCATTGCCTGAACCCAACCTGGAAATTTCTCAAAGGGCAAAAATGGGCCATGCCTTTGGAGTGAATGTTCAATACCTCTTTGGTGGCACCAGAGGGGCTGCTTTCAGAGCCTGGCATGGTGCTTGACACCCAGGAGGTATTAAAGAACGTTTAGATGGCTGGACGGATGGGTTGACAGCCCACTACTGCTGTGAGCTCTGAACCCCCAGCAGCAGCGAGATGATCTAGGACAAAGAAAGCCTCCTGCCTGGGCTGAGTTCAGGTGAACTGACAGTCCCAGCCAGATTCATGGAGGGAGACCAGCAGCTATGGGCTAGAGAAGGCTCCTGCCAGCAGGGCCCACCGCAAACCCCCAAACCACAGCCATGGCCTTTCTCATCTCTGTCTTCTGCCCATTTTTCTTCTCCTGAATACTGCTTTCAGGCTGTTGCCTCAATATCACCCATGATGACATGGCCCCACTCCTGATGCTCAAGGCTAAGGAAGCTGTTCCTTCCCAATGAAGCTATTGTTCTGGATTCCCTGACCAGCCCCACTCTCCCCTTTTCCTTCGACTTATTCTATGTGAAGTCCCTTGTAGATTTGTTTGAAGTCAACCAACCCACCTTTGTTTTCCACAGGCTTTACGGTTTTGGTAGGAAGAGCTGATCTTATTTTTTTCTCAACAGGACGAGTTTCAGGGTTGCACTGTTCTGAAAAAGACACAAATCCCAGGCCCACATTACCTCCATTTCAGCGACAAGGCTGCACCTCCCTACCAAGGTAGCATCTAGGTAGGAAGCAAGTGTCTGGGGTAAGGGATGTGGGTGGGTGCCCAGGAATGTGGAAGAAGTGAGAGATCAAAGCAAGAGAGAGATTAAGGAAAACCGCCAGCAGGCTGAGAAAGCAGGACTCATTCATGCACCCCAAGAACCTGTCCCCATCCTCCCTACCCTGCCGAATCTTACAAAATTCTCACCACAATTAACTGAGGTGTTTGAAATAGCTGCTGTAAACCAGATACCAGATGGGATAAAACTAGGGGCAAAACCACCAAAGAACTTACAGAGTCAACAGAAGGCCAGCTGTGCTGGCTCACGCCTGTAATCCTAACATTCGGAGGCCAAGGTGGGAGGATCACTTGAGCCCAGGAGTTTGAGACCAGCCTGGGCAACCTAGCAAGACTATGTCTCTACAGAAAATAAAAAAAATCATCCAGGCATGGTGGTACACACATGTGGTCTCAGCTACTTGGGAGGCTGAGGCAGGAGGATCCCTTAAGCCCAGTGTGTCAAGGCTGCAGTGAGCTGTGATTGTGCCACTGCACTCCAGCCTGGGTGACAGTATCAACAGAGCATGAAGTCACAGGAAAGGGTTCTGAGGACATAAAGGCAGGACCAGATTGTAGAGACTTAAAATGTAGATTTGACAATATGCTACGGAAAGGTTCTAGTCATGTAGGTGGCAGTTACAACAGCTGCCAGTGACTAAGTGCCGAGCACTGTGCCAGGTACACAGTGAGATACATAGTGGCTCAATGAACCTTTACGAAGCCCCCATGACATGGAGACTGTTAATTCCACTTACAGATGAAAGGATTAAATTTTCTTGTAATAAACTTGTCCATTGGGGTCCACAGCTAGTAAGTAGCAGAGGCAGATTTGGAATCCGGGTCTAACTTTACGGCTATGCTATATGTGTAAGGAACACAGCAGGAGGGACTGAAGGAGAGGTGAATTTTCTGGGTTGTACCTGACCCCAAAATACATTTGTGTCTAAGGTGCTCAAAAAGAGGCTGGAGCTAAACAGTTGGATGTCAGCAAGAAAAAAAAAAGTTTAAAGTGAAAGAGAGATCACCTACCTAGGAATAAAAGTCAAGGACCACATTTCAAGAGAGAGATCTAGCAAAAGGAAGGAGAAGCTGGGCACAGTGGCTCCTGCCTGTAATCCCAGCAATTTGGGAGGTTGAGGCAGGAGGACTGCTTAAGCCCAGGAGTCCAAGACCAGCCTAGACAATACAGTGAGACCCTGTCTCTACGAAAAATAGATAAAGTTTGTCTCCGTTACTCAGGAGGCTAAGGTGGGAGGATCACTTGGGCCCAGGAGGCCAAGGGTGCAATGAGCTGTGATCACACCACTGCACTCCATCCTGGGCAAAAGAGCAAGACCCTGTCTCGAAAAAAGGAAAAAAAAGAAAACGAGAGTCTACAGCTAAGCCACCCTGAATGCACCCTATCTCATCTGACCTCAGAAGCTGTAACAGGGTCAGGCCTGGTTAGGACTTCGAAGGGAGAAAGGGAGGAGAGAATACCACAGAGCGGTATCTTCCCAGCCTCCAAAGAATATCAAGAAAGAAAAAGCCAAACACAGCAGATATTCATGGGAATCAAGAAAGATGACAGGCTGAGCATGGGTAGCTCACGTCTGTAATCCCAACGCTTTGGGAGGCCAAGGTGGAAGGATCACTTGAGCCCAGGAATTCAAGACCAGCCCAGGCAATACAGTGAGACTTCATCTCCACAAAAATTAAAATTAAAAATAAATAAGCCAGGCATGGTGGCACACGCCTGCAGTCCCAACTACTTGGGAGGCTGAGGTAGGAGGACTGCCTGAGCCCAGGAAGTCAAGGCTATAGTGAGCACCACTGCACTCCAGCCTGGGTGACAGAGCAAGACTTTGTTGCAAAAAAATAAAAAAGACAAATGAAAAGTGTACAACAGATGTGGCTATTAGAAATTTCTGATAAAAATTATTTATTAAATACCACTTTAACACTGCCTATAGCAGCAACAAAGGCAAAATTAATGTAAATATCCACCAATAAGAAAAATAAATATTAAAATGACCATACTACCCAAAGTAATCTAGAGTCAATGCAATCCCTATCAAAATACCAATGATCCTGTTCACAGAAATGTCAAAAAAAAATTCTAAAATTAATATGGAACCACAAAAGACCCCCAATAGCCAAAGCAATCCTGAGCAAACAGAACAAAGCTGGAGGCATCACCACTACTTGGCCTCGAAATATACTACAAAGCTATAATATCTAAACAGCATGGTACTAGCATAAAAATAGACACATAGATCAATGGAACAGAATAGAGAACCCAGATATAAATTCACACATTTACAGCCAACTGACTTTTCACAAAGGCACCAAGAGCATATACTGGGGAAAAAAGCACTCTTCAATAAATGGTACTGGAAAAATAGGATAACTGTAAGAATAACCATATGCAGAAGAATGAAACTAGATCCTTATCTGTCACCATATATAAATATCAAAATGGATTAAAGACCTAAATGTAAGACCTGAAACTACTACAAGAAAACACAGGGGAAATGCTTCAGGACATTGGTCTAGGCAAAGATTTTATGAATAAAATCTCAAAAACACAGGCAAGAAAAGCAAAAATAGGCAAATGGAATTCTATTACACAAAAAAGCTTCTGTACAACAAAGGAAACAATAGAATGAAGAGACAACCCACAGGATGGGAGAAAATATTTGCAAAATATTCACTTGACAAAGGATTAATATCTAGAATACACAAGGAGCTCAACAGCCAAAAAAAAAAAAAAAAAAAAATTAAGTGGACAAATGGGCCGGGCATGGTGGCTCACCCCTGTAATCCCAGCCCTTTGGGAGGCCGAGGCAGGTGGATCACCTGAGGTCAAGAGCTCAAGACCAGCCTGGCCAACATGGTGAAACCTTGTCTCTACTAAAAATACAAAAATCAGCCAGCAGGCACCTGTAATCCCAGCTACTTTGGAGGCTGAGGCAGGAGAATCACCTGAACCCTGGAAGCGGAGGTTGCAGTAAGCAGAGACTGCGCCACTGTACTCCAGCCCGGGCGACAAGAGCAAGACTCTGTCTCAAAAAGAAAAAAAAAAAAAATGGGCAAATGAGCCAAACAGACACTTCTCAAAAGAAGACATATAAATGGCCAACAAGTACATGAAAAAATGTTCAACATCACTAATTATTAGGGACATGCAAGTCAAGACCACAATGAGGTATCATCTCACCACAGTAAGAATGGCTATTATCAAAAAGAAAAAAACATGTTGGCAAGGATGTGGAGAAAAGGGAACTCTTATACACTGCACTGTTATTGGGAATGTAAATTAGTATAGTCATTATGGAAAACAGCATAGAGGTTCCTAAAAAAAAACTACGAATAGAACTACCATATGATCCAGCAATCCCACTACTGTATATATATCCAAAGGAAATGAAATCAGTCTGCCGAAGAGATACCTGCACTCCTGCGTTTACTGCTAGTCACAACAGCCAAGATAAGGAATGAACCTAAGGATCCACCAACAGATGGATAAAGAAATGCGGTACATATATACACTGGATATTAGCCATAAAAAACCATGAAATCCTGTCACTTGCAGGAACATGGATGAGCCCAAAGAACATAATGTTAAGTGAAACAAGCCAGGCACCATAAGATGTTCTTGTTAACATGTGGATGCTAAGCAAGTTGATTTCACAGAAGTAGAGAGCAGAATAGTGGTAACTGGAGGCTAGGAAGAGTAGAGTGTAGGGGGCTAGGGAGAAGTTGCTTAATGGATACAAAATTACAGCTAGATGGGAGGAATAAGTTCTAGTGTTACACAGTACCTTAGTGTGACCATGTTGGCAGCAATTTATACTTTCAAATAGCTACAAGAGAGGATTGCGAGTGTTCCCAACATGAAGAAATGATTATTTGGGGCGAATATGCTAATTACCCTAATTTGATCCTTAAACATTGTATACAGGTATCGAAGTATCACACTGTAACTCAAATTGTATGCAATTATGTGTCAATTAAAAACAAATATTAAAAAGAAAAATCAACCAATAGGAGGCTTTATATAAATAATGGTCGTACCAACTATATAATGAAATAACATACAGTCCTTTAAGTCAGTGAGCTAGAACTTGTATGCACTAGTCTTTATTTTTAATTTTTTTAATTTTTTTTTAGATGGAGTCTCACTCTGTTGCCCAGGCTGGAGTGCAGTGGTGCAGTCTTGGCTCACTGCAACCTGCGTCTCCATGGTTCAAGCAATTATCCTGCCTCAGCCTCCTAAGTAGCTGGGATTACAGGCGCGCACCTCCACACCCAGCTTATTTTTGTATTTTTAGTAGAGATGTGGTTTCATAATGTTGGCCAGGCTGGTCTCGAACTCCTGACCTCAGGTGATCCACCCACCTTGGCATCCCAAAGTGCTGGGATTACAGGCATGAGCCACTGCGCCCAGCCTGTATGCACTAGGTTTTAAAAAGTGCCCAATATATAAACTCAAATGAGGATGTTGGGTACAGTCTCATTGCTGAGATTCTAAAAGCTAAAAAAAAAAGTTCTATATATTGGTACAAGAGTGGAAATAAGCTGAAAGAATCTACATCAAGCTTTTTTTTTTTTTTTTTTTGAGACAGTCTTGCTGTCTCCCAGGCTGGAGTGCAGTGGTACGATCCTGGCTCACTGCAACCTCCTCCTCCCAGGCTCAAGCGATCTTCCCACCTCTGCTTCCTGAGTAGCTGGGACCACTGGCACAGGCCACCACGCCTGGCTTTGTTTGTTTATAGAGACGGGGTTTCGCTATGTTGCCCAGGCTGGTCTCAAACTCCTGAGCTCAAATGATCCGCCCGCCTCGGCCTCCCAAAGTGCTGGGATTACAGGCGTGACCCACCGCGCCCCACCTACATCAAACTTTTTTTTTTCTTTTTTTTTCCAGACTGAGTCTGGCTCTGTAGCCCAGGCTGGAGTGCAGTGGTGCGATTTCGGCTCACTACAACCTCCGCCTCCCGGGTTCAAGCGATTCTCCTGCCTCAGCCTCCTGAGTAGCTGGGATTACAGGCGCGCACCTCGCCCGCCTAATTTTTGTATTTTTAGTAGAGACGGAGTTTCACCATGTTGGCCAGGCTGGTCTCGAACTCCTGGGCTCAGGTGATCCACCCGCCTTGGCCTCTCAAAGTGCCGGGACCACAGGCGTGAGCCACCGCGCCCGGCCAGGTCACTTCTTTTTAACTGTACAAAAGTGTGTTCACATCATACACAGAACTTACTTGGTTCTTTTTTTCTCTTAACAAATCAAGGACGTCTCCTTGTATTGTACATGGACTTACCTCTTTGTTTCTAACAAGACATTATTTACACGAGTGAAAATACTGTTAAAGTTAGCGCAGTTTCAGCCAAATGGTGAGGGGCTACATCAGAATACTGAGGAAGAAACTGCTAGGGTAGACCTCGGTGGGAAAAGCAATCGGAAACTATTTCTAAGCAAAAAAGAGTAACACGCAGAAGGAGAAGCGGGGTAGAAGAAAGGCTACTGACCAAAACCCTGAGAGCGATTACAGGCAGGGACAACAGAGGGAACTGTCCGACACACAGAGACACCAGGGACCAAGTCAGAGGAAGCAAGGTTCCTGCAGAACCCGCGGAGACCCGAGGCGGGAAAGGAAGCGCAGCCCAAGGGTCCACGCCCCCAAGACGGAGGCTGGACGTGGGGGCTGCCCCGTGCGCAGTGGTACGAGGGCTGGCGGGGACGGGGCTCACCTTTGTGCTTCCGGAAGCAGACTACCGAGCAGCTGTAACAACAGAGGCCACAGGCCGCGTCAGCCCCGAGGGTCCCCGGCCCCTCCAGCAGCCCGCCCGCTCCCGCCCGGCCTCCCGGCCTCCCGCCCTCCCGCCATGGCCGGACACCCGCGCCCCTGGACCCCGCGACCTCCCCGCTCACTAGGGCACGCGGCAGGCTGGACAGCGGTATTTGGGCTTCTCCAAGCAGATCACGCAGACGACGGTGCTACATTTGAGCGACGCCATGGTTTTGTGGAAGGAGACTGTTCACTGCGCCGCCGCGCGCCTCTCACGCAGCCGCGCCCGCGTGCACGCCCCTTTTTCCGTTTCCTAAACGGGGACCAATCAGCGCTCAGCAGGTAGGCAAAAGCAATGGACTGATCCTGCTCACTGTTCCAGCCCTCGTACTTAGAGCGTCGATACACTCGATGCGCATCTATTAGCTGCGTCCCAGGTTTTCCTTGATTAGATCACAGCGTCGAAGAACTTGTTATGTAGCCCAGTCCCTGTCCCTATGCGGCCGTGTGGCTTGGAGCAAGCCATCGACACTGTCCAGGTGTGTTGCCCCGCATGTAAAAAAGAAAACAATACATGGAACTAAACGTCCTTTACTTTCTGGCTGGGACTTCCTGAATCTTGCAGGGACATTGGGGTTCATCCGCCCATCTCATCTGCTTATTCTTGGCAAAGGACAAGTCCAGACATTGGGCGAACCAGAATCGGTTGGATCACGCAGTAGACAGGAACCTGCCCTTCCCAACCTAGACCATTTTTCACTGGGGAAAGAAAGATGAGCCTGAACAGTGGCAAATGTTTGAGCTCCAACTGTGAGCCCTTCCGGGCTGGGGACCCCCCGGGGTCTTCTAATGAAGAAGTCGTCTCTGTCCCCTGGGAACTAAATGCTTAGAGTGAAAGTAGGACGGGGAAACGGGGAGGAAAGAGACTCACTCTTAGAGTCCTGCCGTCGCTACCCTGCACCTGCACGCCCCTGAGACTGAGTGCTTCTTAAATTTTGCACTCTAGGCTCCTCACACCTCCCCCTAGTCCCGGAAGCTAATTGACCAGGAAGCAGGCCAGTGACCACTAGTCCCAAGACGGGGATCCCAGGCAGATGAGTCTGGATAGATGGGCTATGATGGGACTTGAATGCCACCACAAACTTTAGGTTTAGAAAAAGTAATGTTTTTTGTTGTTTGTTTTTTAAGGAAATTTGCTTGCAGCTAGGCATGGCCCAGCCTTACCTTAGCTCCCATCCTACCTGCACTGGGCCCTCCCAGGGCCATAAATCACCCTTACTCCCAAGTGCCTCCTCTTCTGTGTTGGCCGTTCAGCCTTCAGGGTCCCTCTTCAATAAAGGTGTCTGCAGGGATGTATCTGCAACAACCGAGGCAGTGGTTTGAACCTTGGCTCAACCCCCTCCCTGGCTGTGTGACCTGGAGGGGTTGGTTACCCCCTCTGAGCTCCCTCATCTATTAAAGTGGATGTTTGGGCCTACTTTCCTGAGCTGTTGTAAAGCAGAGAGGAGACCATGTGCAAAAGTTTTGTAATCAGAAGTGCTACCTGATATCTAGAAAGAGTCTTAACTCTCATGGATCTCCGTCTGGACCGCATGAACATAGGTCCCAGGCCCCAAGCCATGCTCTCCAAAACAGTTCTGCCGCCTGCTTCTTGAGTGGGAGGTGAGTAATTATCCTTCCTTTGGGCGTGGCGACCCAGTCCAGTCCTCAGTGCTGAAGCTGCTGGGCCCTCTGGCCACCTGCCTGTCCTGCTTGCAGCTGCCCCAGCCTCCAACTTCTGCCCAGGACCCAGCTTAGAATCCAAAACGGGTCCACACAGGCCCAGTAACCCGCAGCGTTCCTCATATTGTTCAACAGTTGTACCACTGATGATTTGAACTTGAAGCATCCCAGAAAGTCCAAGCTTACCTGGGAAGGCCAGAGAAGGCCAGTGACTTGTCCAGGGCCATATTTAAATCCTGTGCCAAGTCGGGCATGGTCGCATCAGCCTGTAGTCCCAGCTACTTAGAAAGTTGAGGCTGGAGGCTCACTTGAGCCCAGGAGTTCAAGGCTGCAGTGAGCTATGATTGTGCCACTGCATTCCAGCCTGGATGACAGAGAGAGAGAGACCCCGTCTTAAAGACGAAAAATTTAGGCCAGGCGCAGTGGCTCACGCCTGTGATCCCAGCACTTTGGGAGGCCAAAGCAGGCAGATCACTTGAGGCCAGGAGTTCAAGACCAGCCTGGCTAACATAGCAAAACCCTGTCTGTACTAAAAATAGAAAAAATTAACTGGGTGTGGTGGTGCACGCCTGTAATCCCAACTACTAGAGAGGCTGAGGCACAAGAATCGCCGGAACTCTAGAGGCAGAGATTGTAGTGAGCCAAGATCATGCCACTGCACTCCAGCCTGGGCGACAGAGCAAGACTCTGTCTCTAAAAATTAAAAAAAAAAAAATTTAATTTAAAATCCTGTGCCCCACCAGGTAAGGTGGCTCACGCCAGTAATCCTAGCACTTTGGGAGGCCAAGGCGGGCACATGGCTTGAGCCCAGGAGTTCAAGACCAGCCTGGGCAACATGGCAAAAACCCATCTCTACCCAAAAAGATACAAAAATTAGCGGGGGGCAGTGGCTTGAGCCTGTAATCCCAGCTACTGGGGAGGCTGAGGTGGGAAAATCGCTTGAGCCCAGGAGGTGGAGGTTGCAGTGAGTGGAGATCACGCCACTGCACTCCGGCCTGGGTGACAGAGCAGGACCTTGTCTCAAAAGGAAGAGAGAGAGAGAAAAAAAAACAAAAGATCCTGTACACTGTCTGGCACGGGTAGAAATTTGCCCACTGTGGCGGACTCACCACTGTCTGCTTGATTTGTCCTGTGATGTGTGTACCAAGGCTGAGGCCAGAGACAATCCTAACCATTTTCAGGGGCTCAGTCCCTCCCACCTGCATACAAACCACGCTGACTCCCTATCTGCGAGTGGAGAGATGATGACTCCAGAAAAAAAAAAGAAAAAAGAAAATTCGGCCAGGCGCGGTGGCTCACGCCTGTAATCCCAGCACTTTGGGAGGCCAAGGCGGGCAGATCACGAGGTCAGGAGATCGAGACCATCCTGGCCAACATGGTGAAACCCCCGTCTCTACTAAAATACAAAAAATTAGCCAGGTGTGGTGGCACGCGCCTGCAGTCCCAGCTACTAGGGAGGCTGAGGCAGGGGAATCCCTTGAACCCGGGAAGCGGAGGTTGCAGTGAGCCCAGATCGCGCCACTGCACTCCAGCTTGGTGACAGAGCGAGACTCCATCTCAAAAGAAAAGAAAATTAAATTCCTGGAATCCTTCCCATGCACATCCACGCAGGGAAGAGGCCCCTCCTCTACTCTGGATATCTGGATGCCCCCAGCTTTCCCCGACCTTCGCACCCCTCGTCCTCTAATGTCCGGGAAAGGAGGTGGGCTCAGCCGCGATGGCGGTTAGGTGGTGGCACACTAAGGCGCACAGCGCAGCTCCTCCGGGCAGTGGCCAGTTCAGACAAGAAAGGGGGCTGTGACCCCAGGCCCAGCAACTAGATGTCCACACTGATGTCCCCTCCAGACCCGTCCTAATGGCCACCCAGGGCTGTCTTGGGCCTCCTTGGCGTCAGCCTGGGACGCAGTGCGGGCACTGAAGAGAGAGGCGTCGTTGTCGAGGTTTTCAGAGCTCTGCCTCCTGGCAGCGCTGTCCGGTGCGTTGAAGGCGAGTCCGGGCCAATCCCAAGGCTGGAGACGCGCAACGCCGCGCACCGTCCCGCCAGAGGGCGCTCCAGGCCCGCACTGCCCGGGTGGAGCGCGCTCGCCCGGATTCCCGCGCAGCTGGCGCCCCGCCTGCGCCCCACCACGTGCGGGGAGGCTCAGCGGTCTGGTAGCGCTGGGAAGACCAAGTCCATGCTCTGATATGCACTTCGGACATCGCCAGGCGGCAGGAAAGTGCGTCTAGAGCGCGGGGGCGAAGCGGGCGACCCGATGCCCACGAGTGTTCCTACGGGAAAGCAGGGCCTGCGCTCTCCGAGGTCTCCGCGTGCCACTGGCTGTCCGGGGGCTGTTCCCCGCGGTGCCCACCGCCCCGCGCTTGCGGACAGCTCCTGGGGGCGGAGTGCCCGCTGACAGCTGGCCGGCCGCCCGCAGTAGCCTGGTGAAAGTTGAACCACACTTCCAGAGCATGTGGGTTGCTCGCTAGGGCGCGATCCGCTGCCTTCCACCCTCCTGGCCTCCCGCGATGAGGCAGGCAGATCGGCCTAATCTCCCCTACGTGCTGTGTGGCCCTTGTTAGAGGCGGAGGTTGATAAGGGCGAGCCCTGCTAGATCTCAGCTCCTTTCCGCAGCTCTGACACTTGCATTTCTCCCCCAGGGCACGGATGAGCCAGGGCCAGCACCAGAAGTGACTTTTAGGGACTGCTGCCACGTTCTCACCTGCATGCCTCCGTTTCCCCTCTGGTATCTAAGAGAGAGTAATTCAGGTGTTAAAGTGAGTGACGTTGCCGGTGGGAGTCAAATGAAGGAGACCTGAGTTCTGGTGGAGTGGGTGGGCCCAGTTGGTGTCCAACAACTCTGCATATTATTTCATACTCATGAAATTATATCCATCCTCCAACTCTAGACTAAATGACAATATGACCTGCAGTTAGACTTCACGGAGAACTTCCAAAATACAAAAGGGATACAGAACAATTGCATTCCCCACAATCCCAGAACTGTTGGGAGAGCACAGACAACAGAGGTCACCATTGCTCCCTGAACACACCCTACCAGCCACAACCCCACATTTTTCTTTTCTCACACTCACTCCCATTTGCAAATGCACATCGATCTTCCACCTGACATTCCCAAGGACACACAGAGATGCGAGGAGTCAGAGCTACCCGACCAGCTTCCCCAAGAAGCCTCTAAAGGTGCCCTGTGGAGTGGGCGTGCAGCGCGTCAAGCTTTTCACAAACCTCTGAACCCATCTCCACCTCCCACATGGCAGCAGTGCATAAGAACTCTGCTCAGTGAGGGGCGGGGAAGAGGAACTGAGACCCCAGGTTTATTTCCTTATCATTTAAAAATGAGGACAAGAAACAGATTTTTTTAGACAAAACCCAACAGGATTCTTCACTAGCAGATCTACGCTACAAGAAATGTTAGTTATTCGGGCAAAAGGAAAATGACATGAGATGGAAATTTGGATCTGCACAAAGGAGTACCAAAAATTGTAAACCTATAGGTAAAATCAAAAAAACATTTTTACTTTTTGGGGGTTTTTTTTGTTTTTTTTTTTTGTTTTTTTGAGACAATGTGTCATTCCGTCACCCAGGCTGGAGTGCAATGGCGCGATCCCAGCTCACTGCAACCTCCGCCTCCCAGGTTCAAGCGATTCTCCTGCCTCAGCCTCCCAAGTAGCTACGACTACAGGTGCCCGCCACCACGCCCGGCTAATTTTTGTATTTTTAGTAGAGACGGGGTTTCACCATGTTGGCCAGGCTGGTCTCGAACTCCTGACCTCAGGTGATCCACCCGCCTTGGCCTTCCAAAGTGCTGGGGATTACAGGTGTGAGCCACCACGCCCGGCCCATTTTTACCTTTTTAATCTCTTTAAATGATAACTGGTTCAAGCAAATATAACAGTACAGTGTGGAGTTCTTAGCACATGCAGAATTAAATATATGAAAGTAATAACATTTTCATAAAACATAAAAATGATGGAGGGAAATAGAAGTTACTAGGTAAGACTCTTACACTATATGTGACATGGTCTAATATTATTATCTCCACTGTGGAGGTAAAATGGCATCGGGTACTTAGTCTCAAAGAAGGCAGCATTGTGGAGTAGTACTTCAATAAAAAAGAGAGGAGCTAGCAAAAAAGAAAAAAAGAACAAGCAAATGGGATAAATAAGAAGAAATAGCAAGATGATAAACCTTTCTGTATCAACATATTAAATGTAAATGGTTGCCCGGCGCTGTGGCTCACGCCTGTAATCCCAGCACTTTGGGGGGCCAAGGCAGGCAGATCACTTGAGGTCAGGAGTTCAAGATGAGCCTGGGCAACATGGTGAAACCCCGTCTCTACTAAAAATATAAAAATTAGCCAGACGTGGTCGTGGGTGCCTGTAATCCCAGCTCCTCAGGAGACTGAGGCAGGAGAATCACTTGAACCCGGGAAGCAGAGGTTTCAGTGAGCGGAGATTGCCCACTGCACTCCAGCCTGGGCAACAGAGTGAGACTCTGTTTCACAAAAAAAAAAAAAAAAAAGGAAATGGTTTCTAAACACTTACTTAAAAGACAGATATTGCCATATTGGATTAATCCTGGCTAATTTTGTTTTTTTAGTACAGACAGGGTTTCACCATGTTGGTCAGGCTGGTCTTGAACCCCTGACCTCAAGTAATCCACCCGCCTCGGCCTCCCAAAGTGTTAGGATTACAGGCATGACCCACCACGCCCAACCAGAATATAAAAACCTTGAACAACGCTATCAACCCACTTGACCCAATTGACATTTATAGACAACTCTATCCAAGAATACGTTATTTTCACGTGCACGCTGAACAATTCCCAAAATAGATCACATGCAGGACCATAAGACACATTTCAACAAATTCAAAAGAATTGAAGCCATTCAAGTGTGTTCTCTGACCACAAAAGAACTAAATTAGCAATCAGTAACAGGAATATTTCTGGAAAATCCTCAAATATTTGGAACTAAAAAATACACTTACAAATAATGTATGGGTCAGCCAGGTGCGGTGGCAAACACCAGTAGCCCCAGCTACTCAGGGAGGCTGAGGTGGGAGCAACAATTCAGCCTGGGAGTTCAAAGATAGCTTGGGTAACATAGAAAGACCCTGTCTCTAAAAAAATAAAAGTTTAAAAAAATATAGTATTGCATGTGCCAAGGAGGAAATCGCAAAGGAAACTAAGAAAAAATTTTCAACTAAATGAAAAAAATGTCAAAATTTGTGATACACAACTGAGGTTTCTATCATAAAATGCCTACTATAGCAGTCATTCTCAGCCAGGAGCAATTCTCCCATGCCCAAGACATTTGGCAATACATGAAGACACTTTTGGTTGTCACAACTGGAGAGGGGTGCTGCTGATATCTAGTGACTATAGGCCAGGGATGCTACTAAACATCCTGTCGTGCATAGGACAGTCCCCCAACAATTATAAAGCCCCAAATGTCAACAGCGCTGATGCTGAAAATACTGCTAAATTAGAAAAGCCTCAAATAAATGATTTAAGCTTCCTCACTAAGAGACTAAATAAAGAATACCAAAGTCAGCAGAAGAAACAGATAAACGAAAAGCAGAAATCAATAAAACAGAAACTATAGAAAAGTAATAAAACAAAAAATGGTTCTTAGAAAAAATTCAGTAAGATTGAGAAATCTCTAGTCAGACTGATGAAGAAGAAAGGGGTGAGGAGGGAGGGATATGACATACATGGATCAGATGATTCTATATGGCTAAGATGTCAGTTCTCCCCAAATTGATCTGTAGAACAATGCAATCCTTATCAAAATCCTAGAAGGCTCTTCTGTTGAAACTGGCAAGATGACTGTAAAATTTAAAGGAAGTTCGGGCACAGTGGCTCACGCCTGTAATCCCAGCACTTTGGAAGGCTGAGGCAGGCTGATCACGAGGTCAGGAGATTGAGACCATCCTGACTAACAGGATGTAAACCCCGTCTCTACCAAAAATACAAAAAAATCCCGGCGTAGTGGCACGCGCCTGTAATCCCAGCTATTCGGGAGCCTGAGACAGGAGAATCGCCTGAACGCGGGAGGCAGAGGTTGCAGTGAGCCAAGATTGCGCCACTGCATTCCAGCCTAAGCGACAGAGTGAGACTCTATCTCAAAAAAAAAAAATTAAAGGAAATGCAAAGGATATAGATTAGCCAAATCTATTTTATAAAAGAAAGAAAAAATTTGAGAATGTATATTACCTGATTTCAATACTCTGAAAAGAATACAGTGAAGAAGACAGTATCGTGGTTTTTTGTGTTTTTTTTTTTTATTGCTGTGGTTGTTCTAAGACAGACGGTCCCAGCCAGGTGCAGTGGCTCTCATCTATAATCCCAGCACTTTGGGAGGCCGAGGCAGGAGATCACCTAAGGTCAGGAGTTGAAGACCAGGCTGGCCAACATGGTGAAACCCCATCTCTACAAAAATACAAAAATTAGCTGGGCATGATGGTGGGTGCCTGTAATCCCTGCTACTCCAGAGGTTGAGGTGGGAGAATCACTTGAACCCAGGAGGCAGAGGTTGCAGTGAGCCAAGATCACACCATTGCACTCCAGCCTGGGCGACAAAACGAGACTCCATCTAAAAAATAATAATAATAATAAGAGAGAGGGTCTGTGTTGCCCAGGCTAGATTTGAATTCCTGGGGTCAAGTTTTCCTCAGGCCTCAGTCTCCAGAGTAGCTAGACTACAGGCATGGACAGCATGGTATTGATGTGTGAATAGACATAAAGGGACAGAGAGGAGTCCAGAAGTAGAGCCACACCAGTATGGTCAATTGTTTTCAACAAAGAAGCCAAGGTGATTCAATAGTTGCTTCAACAAAAAATGACTGAAAAATTGGACTTCATAGCCAGGCATGGTGGTGCACATCTGTAGTCCCAGATACCTGGGAGGTTGAGGCAGGAGGATTGCTTGATCTCAGGAGTTTAAATTTACAATGAGCTGTAATCGCACTACTGCACTCCAGCTTGGGCAACAGAGCAAGACCCAGTCCCCACTCCCCCCAAAAAAAGGACTTCCATATGCAAATAATAATAACTTGAAATGGCTCATAGACCTAAATATAAAAACTAAAACTAAAATTTCTAGAAAAAAATGAGAGAACATCTTTGTGACCTTGAGTCAGGCAAGCATTTCTTAGGTTAGACATAAAATCCACAAATCACAAAAAACTAGTAAGTTGAACTTCATCTAAAAAAACCCACAAACGCCAAACTTCTATTCTCCAAAGACACTGTTAAGAAAAGGAAAAAAGCCACAGACAAGAAAAAATATTTGCAAAAGACATCTTAGATAAATAACTTTTGTCTTTTACCACCAAAGAATATATACAGATGGCAAATAAACACATCAGTAGATACTCAGCATAAACAGCCATTAGGGAAATGCAAGTTAAACTCACAATACAGCACCACCACACATCTACTAGAATGACGAAAATTAAAAAAACTGACAATACCAAGTGCTGACAAAGAGGCAGAGCAACTGGATATCTCATATATTGCTGCTGGAAATGCAAAATGATTCAATCACTTTGGAAAATAGCTTGGCCATTTTTTTTTAATGAAGTTAAACATGTACTTATCATCCAACCCAGCAAACACAGTCCTAGATTTTTAGCTAAGAGGAATGGAAATGTATGTTCACACAAAGTCTTCTCTGCAAAAGGTTATATCAGCTTTATTCCTAAAAGCAAAAAATTAGAAACAACCCATTTGTCCATCAACTGATAAGTGGATAAACAATTTATGGCAGATTTATAGAATGAAATACCTCTTAGCAACCTAAAGAAACAAATCACTGATAAAAGCAAAATCGTGGATTAATCCAAATCATTATGTTAAGTGAGAGAAGCTAGATACAAAAGACTACATACTGTCTAATACTTATATGAAGGTGTAGCAGCCAGGCACGGTGGCTCACGCCTGTAATCCCAGCACTTTGGGAGGCCAAGGTGGGCAGATCACGAGATCAAGAGATCGAGATCATCCTGGTCAACATGGTGAAACCCCGTCTCTACTAAAAATACGAAAATTAGCTGAGCGTGGTGGTGTGCACCTGTAGTCCCAGCTGCTCAGGAGGCTGAGGCAGGAGAATCACTTGAACTCAGGAGACGGAGGTTGCAGTGAGCCAAGATCGTGCCACTGCACTCCAGCCTGGTGACAGAGCAAGACTCTGTCTCAAACAAACAAAAAAAAAGGTGTAGCAAAGGCAAAACTATGGTGACAGAGGCTGGGGTGGGGGCAGGGTGGGGGTTGATGGCCAAGTGGTATGAGGAAATTTTTCAGGATGCTGGAACTGTTCTATATCATGACTTCAAAGCTGGATAAAGGTCAACCGATGCCTTAAACACAGCCCAACAATGATACCCCCTTGGCCCTTTCACTGCCTGAAATAAAGAACTTAGGGGTCCCTCACACAAAGCATCTGATGAGTTAACACTAGCCAGATCCAGGCAGCTATGTTTGCATTGAATGGAAGCAAAACTTTCCTGCCTTGAGACAGAAACAAAGGTGATATCTGATGACACCTTCAAATCAAAGTTTTTAACTACTCACTTACCAGCCAAAGACAATTGTTTTTATTCTTTTGCAGATTACAGTTGAACATGGCAAATAAAGACAATTACCAAACAAACAGACGAAAAAAAATCTGACTAAAGTTGAGTGTAGCTGTGAAAAGTTAAGGGCATGACACCTAGGGTAGGGGTGGAGGGGATGGACAGTCTGTAGTGTCCCCTTCCCTTGGTCCCCTAAGCAAATTCCTTTTTAACTTAATGATTATCCAAGGCTGCATGGCTTTTATCTTTTTATTCCGCCTCTCAGATCCATAGCTCTAGTCCTAGTGATAGTGACAAGAGGCAGAGAAATTCTAGGCAGAGAGGGGTGGATCCCTGGTGAAGCCCCACCCTCAAGCCAAAAAGCCTGAGACCACAGCCCAAAGTGAGAACTTATATCCCCATTTTCCTGCTTGAATGTTGCCTTTTCCTAAACTACCATGGTCCTGCCCTGCCCCATCCTGTGCCTATAAAGACCCCAGACTCAGCCGGTAGAGAGGAGAAGCAGCTGCATGTTGGGGACTATGGCCAAAGTCAGAGAGAACCAGCTTGACTTCAGAGGGACAGCTTGACAGTGTAACTTCAAAGAAGAATCTGGCCAGAGACTGCTGGACCTCAGGGGAAGATTACCTACATTCCCTGGCCCCTTTTCAACCTCCCTTCCCTCTGAGAGCCACTTTCATCAGCAATAAAATCCTCCACATTCACCATCCTTCAATTCATTTGTGTGACCTCATTTTTTCTGGATGCTGGACAAGAGCTTGGGGGCCACAAGTGTGGATACAAAAGGCTGTCACACTGGCCCTTTGCCCTCACTAGTGGAAGGCAGCCATCCCACATGAAAAGGCAGAGGGCCCACTGAGCTGTTAACACTTAAGCTGTCTGCGGATGGCAGAGCTAAGTGAGCAATGTAACACGCCCTCTGGGGCTTCAGGGGTCACAGGCACCCCCACCCTAGATGCTGCCTGGGACCTGCACAGCATTCGCTACTGCCAGTGCCTAAAAGTGCTCATGCTGGCTCCTGCACCTGCTCACCTGCACGCTCCCTCCTGTGAGTGGTGCAATACAGCCAGTCTGAGTGAGTGGAGTTTGCTGCTGCCAGTGCCAAGGTGGCCAGCTGGTTCCAGCACTCATGCACTCCAGTTCCTGTCTCATTCACTCCCACACTCCCTCCTGTGAGGAGTTGAGAGCTGCAGGCTGAGTAAATGAGGCACCCTTGTTGCAAGTCCCTTGAAGGGGTCAGGGAAATAGCCTGCTTCCACAGGGCCTATCCAGGATTTCTCAGAAGGGCAAATAAATGCAGATCTGCCATATCTGTCTCTTCACTTTTTTCCTAAGACTTCTTGTCCTCAGACTTTCCTCTGAGCTATGCCATTTGCAGAGGACAGGATGCAATCCTGCCACCTATCTCTTTGTTTCAGGTGAAAGGAATGTTGGCTCTGTTTCCCTTCAAAGAGGTCTAGCCATCGGGTGGGACCAGAATAAAGTCCTGGGGCAACTGAAGGCATCTGGAGGAGGCCACTCCTTGGTGTTGCCAGAAGGCCCCTAAACTGGATCCCATCCCCGATAGCACTTAAGGCGTTGACCAACACCCCTGGACCTTTCTATGGTATCTTTCCCTTTCTTCTTTCATGGTTAAAAATGGCTCCTCTCTCTCCCTTTATAATGATAAGGGTTTTGCTGCAAACTGCAGAAATGTTACTAGGTAGAATGAGCATTTGGCTCAGCCACCAGATATGCAATTCAGAACAATGTGACTTCCATTTGTTCTTAGAGGTGCGACCCCCACGCCCAACCCCAACAGCCACAAAGGTGTGCAGCACGTGGCTGTTCCCCTCCTCACCCTTCCCTCCCAGCTACGGCACCTGGGCGTGTCCACAGCATGCACATGAAGTGCCCAAGGGCAGGGTGGGAGAGAACTGTGGCTGCTGCCCAGGCCCCAGGGCAGTCTTGGGGGCCAGGGGCCCAATGCAGCCAGTTGGCCAGCATTTCCCACTCACCATCCCCTCCTTCCACATGCCCACAGAGTCTTTCCTCCCCCAGACAGCCGAGGGGTCCAGCTCCGTCCAAACCAGAGGAAGGATATAGTGATTAAAGGAACCCATTTACAGAGAGCAAGAGGTTCTTCCCCCTCTTAAGCTGTTTTGTTTTTTCCCTCTTTCCTTTTCTATGCGAGGAGGTTCTTTTCCTACCTCAGCACTCTGCTTATGATAGAAAAGCAGTGGAGGAGCGAGCCCACTGGCTAATAACTGCAAATTTGGCAAGGCCTGCCTGGGACTTAATCTAAATGAATCCATGCACCCCCGAGACACCTTTTCATCCCAAACTCATTTTTTTTTTTTCTTGAGATGGAGTCTTGCTCTGTTTCCCAGCCTGGAGAGCAGTGGCACAATCTTGGCTCATTGCAACTTCTGCCTCCTAGTTCAAGCAATTCTCCTGCCTCAGCCTCCGGAGTAGCTACGACTACAGGCGCCCGCCACCACGCCCAGCTAATTTTTGTAGTTTTAGTAGAGATGGGGTTTCACTATGTTGGCCAGGCTGGTATCGAACTCCTGACCTCTTGATCTGCTCTCCTCGGCCTCCCAAAGTGTTGGGATTACAGGCGTGAGCCACTGTGCCTGGCCCAATCCCAAACTCAATTCTAAACTTCAGGTTGAAGCCCTAGAAAGGAAAATCAGATCTGAGGGATTCAAAGCCAAGCAACAGGCACAGTATCAATGGGCAGGACTAATTCCTGCCAATTAAGCCCCTGCTTCATGGAAGGAGGCCACACTCCATGGCATAGATAAGGCCCAAGGAACCCAAAGGTTGCCGACAGTAGGGGGCATGGAGGCGTAAGTGAGTGCAGATAATTCCTATTCTCTAGGCCCTCCCTGCTTCACGGGTACAGGCCACAATGGCACCTATGGATGGTGTCCATCTAAGGTTGCCAGAACTCGGGGATAAACATATAGAAGAGAAAAGGAGGACACCTGTTTTCTCTTGGGGAAAGAGGGAAAGAAAATGAGCGATGCCTATTTCCCTCTCTTTCAGAATGGGCACCAACTACTTTCACCATCCTCAGTCTATACGCCTCTGGAGTGTATCCTGAATCACTGGGACTGCTTTAACCCTCAGACTCTAGAGGGAAAACACCTCATAGCCCTTTGCACAAAGGTTTGGCCAAATTATGATCTGTAGGAAGGACTGGCGTGGCCTCAGGAAGGAACCATTAATTTCGATAACCATCCTGCAGGTGGACCTTTTCTGTAAATGTGAGGGCAAATGGTCTGAGGCTCCATATGTGCAGGCCTTCTTTACCTTGCAGGGCAATCCAGACCTTTGCTGACAGTGTAGGATTGCTCCAGACCTCTTGTTTGCCATCTCAGAGAACAATACCAGAGAACTAAAGAAATGAACTCCAGAGGCACCTCCAGCAAGGGAGCCAGCTCCCACTGGCCCTGCTCCTCTGGGTCCACCCCATCCTGCCTACCCAGTTTTTCTCTCACTTGGCCCCTCCTAGAACTCCTCACCCTAGACAAGCCCCAGTCTCATTCCTGCCCTCCATCAGATGCTTGGTGAATTTGGCCCCCTGGTCCAGGTCCCCCTTCTCTCTACAGGACTTAAAGCAAATTAAGGGGGATCTTGGCAAGTTTTCAGATGACCCTGACAGATATATAAAGGCTTTCCAGAATTTAACCCAAGTATTTGAACTCTCCTGGAAAGACATTATGTTACTTTTGAATCAAACCTGACTAACACTGAGAAGCAGTCTGCTCTGCAAGTGACAGAGAGATCTGGGGATGAGGTTTGTGTCACATATAGTGTCAGGGAGGGGGTCAAACTTTATCCAACTGGAGGAGAAGCAGTACCAATGAATGACCCTAAATGGGATCCCAATGACAAGACGGGAGAATGTAAGAGGAGACAGTTTCAGGTGGGCATAATAGAGGGCTTATGTAGGACTAGAACTAAGCCTCTCAACTATACCAAGCTATCCAGGATGGACCAGGGATTCAATGAGCATCCTACTGCCTTCCTGGAGAGGCTAATAGAGTCTTGGTAAAGCACACCTCACTAGCTCCTGATTCCATCAAGGGACAAGTAATCCTAAAGGATAAATTTATTACTCAGGCAGCCCCTGATATCAGGAGAAAGCTGCAGAAACAGGCCCTGGGACCAGATAGTACCTTAGAGAATCTCCTGAAAGTGGCCACCTCAGTCTTTTGTAATAAGATAGGGAGGCCCAGAAGAGAGAGAGAGGAGACACAGGCAAGAGGCAGAGGCTTTAATGGCCACCATGCAAACCCACAAACTCCAGAATCCCCAAGCTACACCTGTTAACTGCTACAGATGTGGTAAGCCAGGGCATTTTAGGAAGGATTGCCCAGGCAACATGAGGAAGCCACCCCAACCCTGTCCAATGTACAATGGGGACCACTAGAAAGTGGACTGTCCCCGGGGGCACTGGTCGCCAGGCCCAGAGCCAATCTCCCAAATGGTCCAGCAAGACTGACAAGTCCTGGGGCTCCTCTCCCTGGCTCCGGTGGTCCAGACCACCATTACCATCCAGGAGCCCCAGAATTTACAATTCTGGATATGGAAGGGAGGAAAGTGGACCTCCTTCTGGACGCTGGGGCTGGTCTCTCGGTTTTCATCTCCAATTCAAGCCCCCTGTCCTCTCTTAGCATGACTGTGAGGGGCATCCCAGGAAGGCCTTAAACCCAATATTTTTTCCAACCCCTTAGTTGTAGTTGGGGAGACCTCTTGTTCACCTGTGCCTTTCTAATTGTGCCTGAAAGGCCAAATACTCTGTTGGGTAGGGGTATTGTGGCCCGTGTAGGAACCACCATCCTGATGGCCCCAGGACAAACTCTTTGTCTCCCCTTAGTGGAGACTGATTTTAACCCAGAAGTTTGGGTAACTCAAGGGAAAATTGGCAGAGCCACAACCACCATACCAGTCTGAACCAGACACAATAGCCCCTGAAACCAGAAGTTAAGAAAAGACCAGAAGCCATCATTGATAACTTAAGGTTGCAGTACCTCCTCAAACTCTGCAACAGCCCTTGTAATACCCCAATATTGGGGGTACAAAAACCCAAAGGGGAATGGAGACTAGTTCAGGACCTTCATCTTGTTAATGAGGCTGTGGTTCCAATTCACCCAGTGGCTCCCAATCTGTATACCTTGCTAGCTCACATACCTGAGGGAACTAAAAGGTTCACAGTCCTGGACCTAAAGATATAATGGTATGCTTCTTCTGCATACTGTTATATAAACCCCCAGTATTTGTTTGCATTTGAGGATCCCTCTAACCAGACCACCCAGTTAATCTGGATAGTGTTACTTCAGGCATTCTGAAACAGCCCCCACTTTTTTGGGCAGGCACGGTCAAGAGACTTCTCCAAGTTCCTTTATCCTCAGGTGAAAGTTTTACAATATGTAGATGACATTCTCCTCTGCACTCTAACTAAAAAAATCTCTCAGGAGGGCAGTAAGGCTCTTCTTAATTTTCTGGCTAACAGAGGATGTAAGGTTTACTAATTAATGAGATAATTCCTCGCTTTGGACTCCCTAAGTACCTCCAGAGTGATAATGGCCCCTTGTTCAATGCGGCTGTCACCCAGGGGATCTCAAAGGCACTAGGCATACAGTACAATGAAGATGGTTCTTCATTGTGCTTGGAGACCACAATTCTTAGGAAAGGTAGAAAAGACAAATGATATTATCAAAAGACACCTCAGGAGACTCACCTCCCCTGGACTACCCTTCTGCCCATATCTCTACTATGTATTAGAAACACCCCTTCAAGGCTAGGTTTGAATCCCTTTGAAATGATGTATGGATGGCCTTTTCTCACCAATGATTTCTTGCTAGACCAAGAAACCTTTGATTTGGTTAAACATATCACTTCTTTGGCCCATTTCCAACAGGAACTGAAACAACTGTCAGAGAGGCACAATCCCATGAACCAGGACCACCTCTATTCAACCCTGGGGACCTAGTACTGGTAAAGGTACTTCCTTCCCTTTGTCCCTCTATAAGCCCAGATTGGGAGGGACCTTACACTGTACTTCTTTCTACTCCTATGGCAGTGAAGGTCACTGGAATAGATTCTTGGATTCATTATACCCTAGTAAGGGCCTAGGAAGCTAATGGAGTTACCTCCATTAACCCAGAAGAGCACTCAAAGTACCAATGTGAAGAGATCAGGGACCTCAAGCTAAGAATCACAAAAGATAAGTGTTAATAATTAACCTTCCATGGATATCTTCCTTAAAAGTCTTGGCTATGCTTGCTGTTCTTACCTTTGCTCTGTTCTATACCACAGGATATAATGTTGTTTTCAGAATAATTTGTATATTTTACTTCTTATTTCTGTAAACTTTGCCACTAGATTCTTTCCTTTTAACCCCTTTTTGTATAATACACATATTTGATTCATGCATACTTAACCTTGTAGAACTTGTTTCTTCTCACCTAGAGACCATCAAACTCCAAATGGTCAAGGCAAGCAGAGCCCTGGATGATGGCTCCCTTTTGCTGGGGACCCTTAGGTAGACCTCTGGGAAGAATCTGACTGCTCTTCTCCCCAAAACAATGCCCCCTCTCTGCAGGAAGCAGCTTAGATCGGTCATTGTCTGTATCCTAACAGCAGTTAGATGTGCATCTTCAGAGGGGGGAAATGATAGCTACAGGAGGCCGAGAAATTCTAGGCAGACACGGGGTTGGCGGGGGGGTCCCCGGTGAAGCCCCCCCGACTCAAGCCAAAAAGCCTGAGACCCAAAGTGAGAACTTCTATCGATGTTTTCCTGCTCAAATGTTGCCTTTTCCTAAACTACACATGGCCCTGCTCCACCCCATCCTGTCCCTATAAAGACCCCAGACTCAGCCATCAGAAAGAAGGAGCTGGACATCAGGCACTCTGGCTGAATGTCAGAGAGAAATGGCTTGACTTCAGAGGGACGGTCTGACAGCGTAACTTTGGAGAAGAATCAGCTGGAGATGGCCGGACTTCAGGGGAGGATCACTTACACCCCCCTGACCCCTTTTCAGCTCCCATTCCCACTGAGAGCCACTGAGGGCCACTTTAATCAGCCGTAAAATCCCCGCATTTACCATCCTTCAATTCATTCATGCAACTTCATTTTTCCTGGATGCTGGACTAGAGCCTGGGAGCTACGAGTGCAGATACAAAAGGCTGTCACACTGGCCCTTTGCCCTCGCTGGTGGAAGGCAGCCGCCTCATGTGAAAAGGCAGAGGGTCCACTGAGCTGTTAATGCTTAAGCCATCCATGGACAGAAGAGCTAAAAGAACACCGTAACACGCCCTCTGGGGCTTCAGGGGCCACAGGAACCCTCCTGCCTAGATGCTGCTGTGGAGCCCACACAGAGTTTGCTCCTGCCGGCGCCCAAAAGCACTCTCCCCAGATCCTGCACCCACTCACCTGTGTGCTCCCTCCTGCAAGGGGTGGTCCAAGTGAGTGAAGATCGCTCCTGCCAGCACCGAAGTGGCCAGCTGGTTCCAGCACTTGTGCACTCCAGTTCCTGCCTCATTCACTCATGCATTCCCTCCCACGGGATGTTGAGAGCTGCCGGCTGAGTAAATGAGGCACTCCTGTTGCAAATCCCGCGAAGCGGTCAGGGAAATACCCTGCTTCGCTAGAACCATCTGTCCACATTTGGGGTTCGCTCTCCTCTCTATTCTCCTCATCCTCCCTACTTCCTAGTGTGTAACACAGCCTTAGAGTTAGACCTGGGTTCACAGTCTGTCTCTGACACTTTCTAGCTGTGGAGCTTCGACCAGTTTCTTTATTCCCTGAAGCCTTTGTTTCCTCATCAGTAAGTGGAAATAATACCACTGTCACAGGCTTTTTTGCAAGAATTAAACGAGACACTATGAATAAGTGCCTGGCTGTTAGTAAGTTTTCAGTTATTGGTAGCTGTCCTCACCAACTCCCTGGTTAGACCCCTTTCCTTCACTTCTCACATCTGATTGCTTCCCAAGTTTTTTCAAGCCTGTCTTTCTTCAATCTGACCCTTCTCTGTTCTCAGAGACCCTTTCTAGGTCCTCAACCTATTGTATTTTGCTCATTCTCCTTGGATTTTTTTTGCCTTTGGTCTTATCCACTCCAATCTCTCTCTTTTTTTTTTTAATTTGTTTTGTTTTGTTTTGTATTTAGAGACAGAGCCTTGCTCTGTTGCCCAGGGTGGGGTGCAGTGGCATGAACGTAGTTCATTGCAGCCTGGAACTCCTGGGTCAAGCAATGCTCCTGCCTTTGCCTGCCAGGTAACTGGGACTACAGGTGTGTGACACCCATCTGGCTACTTAAAAATTTTTTTTGTACAGATGGGGTCTTGCTTTGCTGCCGAGGCTGGACTTGAATTCCTGGGCTCAAACGATCCTCCTGCCTCAGCTTCTCAAAGTGCTGGAATTACAAAAGCGTGAGCCCCCACACCTGGCCCCAATCTTTGTTTTTGCAGCAGTAGTTTTCAATCTTTTTAAAATTAATATCTCTAGATAAATCTTTAAACAGAAGAAAGCACTCTTCTGTAATCAGGGATAGGATATGGAGTCCCAAACACCTCCCTGGATCCCTCATTCACTGCAGCCCTGCGAAGCTCCACCAGGATCCCTTAGGGCATTGAGAAAGTCATTTTTGCCACCCTATTGCTGCCAGCGGTGATGTTTCTGAACATGTGGATCTGACAAGTTCACTCCTCTGGTGAATTTCTCCAGGGTTCACTAGCACCTCACGTAGAGGTTCCTAACCTGGGTATTGCCCTCTCTAGTCAACCTCCAACTTCACATGATGTTGTAGATATATATTTTTTAAACATGGCTCTGATTGTGTCACCCATGGCTCAGCATGGCGGTAAAGGCCCTTCACAGTGTGGCTCCAGCCTCTCTTTCTGCAAGGCACCTCTACTTCACCCATGCCAGGCCTGGCACTGCTTCCCCACTGCCTTTTTTCTTTGCCCTTGCACCTCTTTTTGCTGCATGCTAAGTCACCGCTTGTGTCCTCCTGCCTGAATTCCTCTTTTTCCCAGGAGACTCAGGCTAGGGTGGGGAGAGTCTTGCTAAAGCCCTAAGCAAGGAAGATTGATTTCCAGGAGTGTAGACAGGCTAACATGGGCAATTCAGGCCTTCACCTTTATCTGTGTAGATAATGTTTCAGACACACGGAATAGTCCAGGTGTCAAATTCCTTGTGGAAAGAAAACTTGACATTGATCTACTGTCAAATGGTTGCTTTGGTTTTTCGAATAGTTAAGATAGACATAATCAAAGATCACATCATTCGGCAAATTTTTATTTATTAAATACCAAAATTTGGTTCCCTTTTAACTACATGCCTAATCCTACTTCCTTTCTCAGCCAGAATTGTAAACCTTATTTTATTCTGGCTTTGCCTGGGTAGTCCCACCATTGTCTTCCAACATTCTCAGGGGAATCTGTAAGATTGCTATCCGAAAACTTTGTGGGGGAAATTATACAACAATTTGAAAAACTTTAAAGAGTACATAAATGATGGAATGTTAGTCCTATGTACTAAAAATGCCAATTATCTTGTAATTCATTTAAACAGTCAAAGAGATTCTAGTCTAGGTGCAGTGGCTCATGACTGTAATCCTAGAAGTTTGGGAGGCCAAAGCAGGAGGATCACTTGGGCCCAGGAGTTAGAGACCAGCCTGGGCAACATGGCAAAACCCCGTCTTTACAAAAAATATATAAAAATTAGCTGAGTGTGGTGGTGTGTACCTGCAGTCCCAACTACTTGGGAGGCTGAGGTGGGAGGATAATTTGACACTGGGAGGCAGAGGAGGATCACGTGCAGTGAGCCATGATTGTGCCACTGCACTCCAGCCTGGGCGACAGAGCGAGACTCCGTCTCAAAAAAAAAAAAAAAAAAAAAAAAAAAGTCTTTAGCCAGAATGGATCACCATTGAATGGGCCTATATTTTCCAAGCAGGATTTGATTAAATCTGGTCACACTTTAGGCCTCAAATTCAGAGATGATGTAGGCAACGCTCAGTGGAGACATCCCATAATGGAAGTGGACAGAAGTCCAGGAAGAATGACCTGACTCTGCAGTGCCACCAGAGTTGCTATAAAGTTCTGAAATATATTATGTTTCTTCATAAAAGTTAAGTTCTACAGTCAGCATGAAAGTCAGAAACTACATTGCGGTTTTTTTGTTTTGTTGTTTTTTTGAAACAGAGTCTCACTCTGTCACCCAGACTAGGCTCACTGCAGCCTCCACCCTCTGGGCTCAAGCCATCCTCCCACCTCAGCCTTCTGAGTAGCTGGGACTGCAGGCATGCACCACCACGCCTGGCTAATTTTTTATATTTTTTGTAGAGACGGGATTTCACCTTGTTGCCCAAGCTGGTCTTCAACTCCTGGGCTCAAGTGATCTGCCTGCCTCAGCCTCCCAGAATGCTGGGATTACAGGCCTGAGCCACCATGCCCAGCCAGAAACATGTTTTAAACCAACCCTCAACCAACCCATACTTTGGAGAAATACCTACAGAAACTAAGATTGGTGGGAGGCCCAGCAGCGTCTCACCTCCCATCTCAGACTCAGTCCAGGACACAGGCTCAGGGGGCAGAAGGAGGGCTGATTCGCCTGCATCTTTTGAAATTCTTTCTTTCTGTCTCTGCCTCTGCCTCTCTCTGTCTTCCTCCCTTCCTCTCTCTCTCTCTCTCTCTCTTTCTCTCTCTCTCTCTTTATTTATTTCACCTGAGTTTCAGAGTCCTTGGCTGAATTTGTCCACAACTTCCTGCAGCTCTAGCTGGGAGCCGAGAAGCATCACTGAGGACCACAGCCCCTTGCTTCCCAGAGCCCGGTCCCCTGCACTGAGACTGCTGTTTTGGCGCCTGTGGTGGTCCTCTTCATCCTCCACTCTGCTTCCCAACTCACTTACCACATATGGTCACCACCTCCTGGGTCATGTCACAGGGTACCAGGGCTGGAGTTGTTTCACCAGGTCAACAGGCATGGCTGCTGCCCTAGTTAGAGAATGTCCTAGAAGACAGGTCAAACCATCATGACATCCTTGGGACCAGGGGATAGGAGACAGAGGCCCCCAGTGCACAGTTGTGTGCATTGGTGCCCATATCCCCTTGCTCAACTTCTAGGAACTGGCTCTGGCCCCCTGCACACTCCACAGGCCCCTCCTGCCAATCTGCCTCTAACAATTTTCCTGCCTTCCCCTTTGGAGGGCAAAGACCAGAGGTGGCCCCTTGTTTTGTTGAGAAGCTCAGGGATCTGGTTCTTCCAAGGAGTCTTGGAATCAATCCCTCCTTGTCACTGTGCCCTAGAGTGTCTTGTAGCCTCCATTCCCATGGGTCTTCTTGGGCAGGTGGCAAATAGAGCTGACTGAGCAGTAGGGTGACTCCTTCCAACCTAGAATCCCAAGCTGCACAGTAAGGACGTAAGAGGACCGCCAGGCCCAGCACTCCCACTCTCCCCATGTGAGGGTAAAAGTTGATGACATCTCCCAGCCCTGCGAAGGTCCCGCATCCCACTACCTGCCCTCCCGCAGCTGGAAGGGCTGACTCCTGGAGAGGGAGGATTTACCTGAGGGCTCTGACCACCTTAACTGCCCAATGCCTTTCTGGAGACAGTGGCTGCCAAAGGAGACACGGACCTGTTGCCCATCTGGACAGTGTTTGTCAGGGAAGAAAGGGCGGCTTATGCAGCAGCCAGGCAGCACCGGGAAGGAGCTGGGTTGCTCCCGCCTTCCCGTTTGCATCACGCGACTCCGCGGGTCCCAGCGCGGCCCTGGCTAACCCGGATCGGCGCCACTGCCGGGTCACTGAGCCTCTCCAGGACGGAGCCTCGCTTCGCGCAGGAGCCCAGGCCATCCTCGCTGCGGAAAAAAGGCGGGATTCCTCTCCTGACCCATAGTAAACGAGCTGCGCTGGGGCGCGGGGAGCAGACTGCTTTTCTGGGGAAGCCGTGGGGCTCTCCACTTTTCGGGGTGGGGAGGGGAAGCTGAGCAGGGCGCAGACCAGGGGCCTGCCACATGGCCTCTGCGCCAAAAGAGTAGAGCCCAGGATGAGGGGCCCCTAGCCAGGCAGACCCAGCCCAGGAGGTTTTGGGTCTTGGGGCCTTGGGTGTGGACTGGTCCTAGATGAGCCCGCCAGGTTGGGTGCCACCGGCCTTGACGGGTTCAGGAGATGGGACGTTATGTCTAGACGCCGCCACGCTTTATCGCAAGCCCGGGCCTCATCTAGACCCCAAGGGGCACCCCAACCTGTTTAGGGTTCCCGGGACTCGTGCGCTTGCCCGCCTAAGGCGGTAAATTGCCATCGTCTCCAAAGGCCGCCCCCACTTCGTCCGCTCCCCACCCGCCCCCAACCCCAGGCTCAGAACCCGCCAGAGCAATCCAGGCCCGTTCTCTAGGTCAGAAATGCCGGCCCTGGGGTCATTTGTCCCTGTAGGGAGAGCGCCACCCGCTTGCCCCGGGGCGCTGTCCAAGCCGCGGTGCTGAAGCGCTCCGGGCCCTGACTCAGCGAACACACAGTCGTCACCGCGTGCAGCCGCCACTCCCCAGCCTGGGCCCGCTCCAGGCCGCGCCCACACCGGCTAATCATCCGCCCGGATGCACGTCTGCCTCATCAGGCTTAAACTAGAATCGCCTCGGAGGTTGGAGATTCCTGAGGAGGCCCAGAAAGGGCCAATGCTTGTCCCGGGCCAGGCAGCTGGGAGAGTGTGGAGCTCCATTCCTGAGCTCCATCCCGGATCCCGCAAGCAGCGGCTCACTCTGCCTGCTCCAGACCCGTCCCCTCCAGTGAGCCCAGAGGAGGGTCCACTCACTCTCGAAGAACGCATTCTTCCCACTGGCATCCAAGCCCAGCAGACCCTGCTACCTATGGGGTGGTGGGGGGGAGCGCAGTCAGACAATCCCTGGAATTGGTCCCGCACACCGCCAGCAGTGAAGATGCCTCTCTCCCTTATTTCTGGATGCCCCCCACAGCTTCTATGGATGCCCACAACCCCTTCCTCCCTCCACCCTCAATGTCCAAGCAGGCAAAGAAGACCGGGTGTCCCCAGTGAAGGGCTCTGCAGTGAGGGGTCTAGAATCTTGCCCTTGAAGGAGTAAATGATATCCCTCGAGTTGAGCGTGATCATGATGGCATGATATTGGGCCAGGCACTAGTCCAGCAAAGAGAGGCCAGAAGAAGCAGCCAGATGGCAGTGCTGGTGCCCAGAACCATGACCTGTCTTGCCCCAGGCCCCCACGGGTGACTTCTTAGAGTCGGCCAAGGATCAGTGCAGGCCAGGAGAGAGATGAGATAATAGTCAAGGCAAAAGGGTTTTGAGAGGATGTTCCAGGGGAGCAGAGCTAGCTGCCAGCACTCATTTGGTAGATACAAATGTCGTGTCCTGGTCTCTGGTCTCGGCAGATGTGTTCAATAACTCACGTCTGGCATCTCCAACTGCTAGGCCGTTCCATTTCGAGCTGTGGAGAGCATTCTGGCTAGACCCCGTGAGCAGGGCCCCAGGGGACTGGGCTCTGTGTCAGGGATGAGTTCACACTATGGCAAAGAGCAGGTGGTGGCCTCAGGGCTGTTGAGCTGTCCCAGAACAGGATTCTTTTCTTTTCTTTCTTTCTTTCTTTCTTTCTTTCTTTCTTTCTTTCTTTCTTTCTTTTCTTTTCTTTCTCTTTCTTTCTTTCTCTTTCTTTCTTTCTTTCTTCCTTCCTTCCTTCCTTCCTTCCTTCCTTCCTTCCTTCCTTCCTTCCTTCCTTTCTTTCTTTCCTTTTTTGAGATGGAGTCTCACTCTGTCACCCAGGCTGGAGTGCAGTGGCATGATCTTGGCTCACTGCAACCTCCATCCCACGGATTCAAGTGATTCTCCTACCTCAGCCTCCCAAGTAGCTGGGATTACAGGTGCCCACCACCATGCCCAGCTAATTTTTGTGTTTTTAGATAGACATGGGGTTTCGCCATGTTGGCCAAGCTGGTCTGCAACTCCTGACATCAAGTGATCCACCTGCCTCAGCCTCCCAAAGTGCTGGGATTACAGGCGTGAGCCACCTCGCCCAGCCCAGAATCAGGATTCTTAAAATGATTGTGCTGCATACTGAATCATGTTGCTTTTGACTCTTGTAGCTGGCCCCCTTCCTTCTCTAGGGTGCCTGCTGGTACACCCTGGATGATGTCTGAGACAGATGGTGCTGCTCAGCCCCTTGAGGGGCTGCTCTGCCCCATGGTTGAGGTGGACTGTCAACCATGGGGCAGGAAGATCTAACTCCCCTCCCTCATGGTCCTCACATTGTGGGTCCCCTGGCAATAGATAATAACAAGTGTCACCATGGACATTAGAGTGACCCCAAGAGACAGAAAAGGTGGGTATTAGTGAACACATTAGGGGAGACAGAAGGGCAGAGAGGGCACGGGACAGTCACCAAGACTCCTAATGACTAACTTCTTCAAACTTCTCAGCAACATCCTCTTCCCTGTCCCCTGCTCTCCACCTCATCCATCAAGGAGCTGATGCTAATGGGGTTCCCTTGTTCAGAGCCAGACTGCTATGGTTACTATGGTAGTTAACAAACAGCCACTCCAGGCTCTTAACAAAGTAATCCTCCTGGAGGGACAGAAGAGGGCTTCTGTGGCCCGAGGACCAACATGTTACCTCTTGGCTGGCTTGGCAGCCATGGCAAGGACATGAACAGCATCCACTGAGGAAAGGAGACTGCTGGGCACACCGTGGGGAGGGGCAGGAGCCTGGAGGAAGTGCAGATGTCGGGATTTGGCTGCCGGCCACACCTGCTGGGCCCTCAGGTCGTGAGACACAAAGTGTTGCTTTACCTTCTCATTGCGGTAGCCAATCCAGAGCTGTGACAGCAGTTGTTGGGGAAGAATGTGAATCCAAACGCATTCAGCAAGCCTGCTAGAATGGGAAAAACCCAGGGGGCCCTGGGAGAGGGTCTCCCTGAAGCCCAGGGTGGCAAGGCTCCCGCCAAATAGAATAATTCAGCATCTGTATAAACCAGAATAATTCTACCACCTGGATGACCTACAGTAAGGCTGAGGAACATCACACTGGGCAGTGCACAGAGCAAATGCAACCCTCCATACACCACCTGGAATGGTCCCCGTTTCCCATTCTGCTCTCTCTGTGAGCCTAGAACAGATGCAAAGGCCCAGTGGAGGATGAGGGGCAGCCCCAGCGCACCAAGGCCTACTTTTGAGTCTGTATTTTCTGGTCCTGTGTCTCTTAGGAGTAGCCCCTTCTGCTGGAACTTCTGAGCAGCTTTTTAATGCCTCATCCCCAGACAGGAAGAGATAGTCAAAGATTGTTAGCCTTTTTGAGGCCAGATGTGGTGGCTCATACCTGTAATCCCAGCACTTTGGGAGGCCGAGGCAGAAGGATCACTTGAGGCTAAGAGTTCGAGACCAGCTTGGCCAACATGGTGAAACCCCATCTCTACCAAAAATACAAAAATTAGCCAGGCATGGTGGCAGTCCTGTAATCCCAGCTACTCGGGAGGCTGAGGCACAAGAATCACTTGAACCCAGGAGGTAGAGGTTGCAGTGAGCCAAGTTTGTGCCACTGCACTCCGGCCTGGGCGACAGAGCAAGACTGTCTCAAAAAGACAAAAACAGAAACAAAATCAATTTGATGGAAAGAAAGAACTAGTCTAAGAAAAAGAAAGAGCTTTTAGAATTTAAACTGTTTAGCCAGGTGCGGTGGCTCACACTTATAATCCCAGAGCTTCTGAAGGCTGAGGTAGGAGGATCTCTTGAGACCAGCCTGGGCAACAAGTGAGACCCCATCTCTTAAGAAAAATGTTTTAAATAATTTAAGCTGTTTAATAAAAATTCAGTAGGATTGGAGGATAAAGTTGAAAAAATCTCCCAGGAAGTTAGCTGGAGGTAGGGGAAGGAGAATTGGAGTAAAAGAAAAGGAAGGAAGGAAGGAGACGAAAAGAGTTAGTTGATTAACTTCGTATTAGTAGAAATTCTAGGAAGAGAAAACAATAGGGAGGAAATTATTATAACGAATTTTTGTAAATCCCCAGAATGGAAGAGCATATGTTTACCAGCTGAAGGAACTGATACCACATATCCACATAATGCGTGAAAAAAATACCATAGAAAGCACAGCACTGGCAATTTTGAAAAATGCCTACAGGATAAACAAAAGATCCTAAAACTTCTGGGGGAAAAGAAGTCCACCCCCTAGGGACTAGATATTGTCACAGCAACACCGGAAGAATACAGAAGTAAACTTCAAATGTTGGAGGGAAAACTATCTCCATATGGAAGTACATATCTAGTCAAAATATTGATCAAATGTAAGAGTAGAAAAAAGATATCATTAGATGTTCAGGGTCTGAAAACTTTACCTTCCATGTACCTCTGCCAGGAAACTTCCAGAGAATGTACCTCACAAACGTAAAGAAGTGAACTAAAATGCAGAAGCTGTGAGACTCAGAAAAATGGGATGTCATGGGGTGGGAGTGGAGTGCCTGGGGACCCCATAAATGAAGGGGCAGAAACACTCATGCATGACAATTCATAGCAGGAACACGAGGCAGCCAGCCCAAACAGAAGCGGGAGGTCTGAGAGCTCCAGAAAGCCTGGGAGATGCCCTGGTCATTTCCCTGTCCCACCCTCCTACCCCTGGTGCCTCACCCAGGGCTGGCAAAGGAAGGGAGCTCAACTCATATGTGGATGATGGCAGATCCAGCGCACAGGCACGAATGAGTTCATGATGAAAGTGAAGTGCCAGGGCATGAGAGTGAAGTGCCGGGCAGGCAGTTCCCTCTGAGCAGCTGTGCCACTACCACTTGACACACACTACATGCTCCTGCAGCAGCCCTGTTGCTGCCACCAGACGCCCACACCACCCCGGGAGCCTCTGTCCTCGCCCAGCCAGTCCTCAGCATTGTCCCTACCTCCATGGGAACAGATATGAGAGGGATGCTGGTGAGCGGCAAGCAGGCTGCTCCAGCAAACCCTCTTTCATAAGTAACCCAGTTAACTTCTGAGGTGCCCTGAGCATCTGCTATGCTTGGCACCAAGTGCTTTATATGTGTACTTTTTAATCCACTGGGAGGCCATTTTATAGGGAGGGAGCTGAGGCTTGGGGTCTGAGGTGGGGGCACCAGGCTCCATCTCCTTCCTCATGTCCTGTGCCGACCCTGGGTGATTACCCTCAACCTCAAGTCAGAAACCTGCCCCTTGTGGGCAGGGACCCAGCATGGCCGGAAAGGGGTCTTTGGTTGGGTTTGTGTGGTCTACATCATGAGTCCAGTCACATGGGATTCCCAGTACATGATAGGGTATTCTGGTACCTCCAAGACCTGGGGTGGCAGGGCAGTGAGAGGGAGGGTATTTGTAGACCAGATAATGCCAGATTTGGGTTCAGTGCTACTGGACCCATTCTGTATGTGGAGCAGAAACAAGGGAGCCGGGGCCCTGTACTCCGATGTCTGTAGCTCAAGGAAGGGTCTGACGCATGCCCTAAACAGAAATCCACCATGGCTTAAGGCCAGGGGCACTGGGCAGAAGAGGACCAGGCAGAGGATTGCGGTGGGCTTTGGAGAAACCAACACTGTCCTGAGCTCACATGTCAAGTACAACACAGGAACGAATCCCTTCACCTTCCTCAGCCTCAGTGTCCCCAGCTAGAAAAAGGGGGTCAAGACAGCCCCTCCTTCAGGGTTGTGGTGAGGACTGTCCTGGGCCAATTGGCCTAAGACCATAAGAGACAGACCTGTACTTCAACTAAGTAAAGATTATTGACTCTCTTAGTAATAGCAGAGACCACACACCAGAGGACACGGAGATTGCCTCACCAAACAAAGGAAAATATAGTTATTATGCTATAGTATTGGAAAAAAAGGTAGAGTGTAGATGGAATTTTTATTGCACCAGCTTTTTGGCTGGGTGCAATAGCTCGCACCTGTAATCCCAGCAATTTTAGAGGCCAAGGCAAGAAGATCACTTGAAGGCAGAGTTCCAGACCAGCGTGGGCAATATAGCAAGACCCCATCTCTACTTTTTAATAACTAAAAAAATAAATAAACCTTTTTTTAAAAAGACATGATCTTATTATATTGTCCAGGCTGGACTCAAACCCCTGGGCTCAAGTAATCCTCCCACCACAGCCTCCAGAGTAGCTGGGACTTCTTACAACAGGGAGCCACAGTGCTTGGCTAACGCACTTTTTTTTATAGACTCAAAGCTAAGGCCTGGACTACGAAGGGCCCAGTATTCTATTTTCCTTGAAAACTACATAAACTTGGAATGTGGTGCCCAGAAAACTTTTTTTTTTTTTTTTTAGATGGAATCTCAGTCTGTTGCCCAGGCTGGAGTGCAGTGGTACAATCTCAGCTCACTGCAACCTCCTCCTCCCGAGTCCAAGTGATCCTCCTGCCTCAACCTCCTGAGCAGCTGGGATTACAGGTGCGTGCCACTATGCCCTGCTAAGTTTTGTATTTTTAGTAGAGACCGGATCGATGATCCCTCAGGGATCATAGGATGGAGAGACAGAGGATCCCTGGGGAGGTAGGGTGGGAGGGAGCTGATGAGCCGTGCCACTTCTGAAATGCAGGGTGTGTGGCTCTGGTGCAGGGAGAGGCAGGTGGATGCTGGGAGGTCAGAACTTGCAAGGGCCTTGGGGCTGTCATGGGGGATGGGCCCCTGGGGCACCCAGAGTACACCGGGCAGGTCTCAGGGCAGGCTCCCTTGACCCTGGCAGGGTGATGTGGTCACTCCCTGAGGGACTCCTGTCAGGGCCCGGTCGCCCACCCTGGGCGGCCCCCATCCCACCTCAGGGCTAACCTTTCTCAGCTCCAGCAGAAAGCACCACCTCGAGTCCAGGACGGGCAGCCCCACTGGGCAGCCTGACCGCCCCCCACGCCAGGGGCCCCAGTAACCCCAGCCAGGCTGTCCCTACACTCCTTCTTCTCCCAGGTCCTGCCCCTTCTGGGAGTCAGCCCCACAGGAAGGCCCTTGTCCTCCCTTCCCTGTGCCTTCTCCTGGGTTGAGCCCTGAGCTGGATAGGGACAGAGCCAGTCCTTTCTGGGGATTGGCTCCCAGTCTGGGATGGCTCCAGGCCCTGTGCAGGTCCTCAGCTTTGCCTGGGTTGTCTTACAGTGAGACGGAGCTGCCTCCTCTGACTGCGTGGGAGGTGAAGGTAAGAACCTGATGCATGGAGGGGCTGGTCCAGGGATGTAGGGACTGGGCAGGTGGTCGGTGAGGCAGAGGAGGCAGCTGGCCTGGGCGGTGGTGGGTGAGGGCAACACGCTGTCACTGGGAGGGGCAGCAGTCCCTGCTGGACCTGACCCCAGGTTGCTGTGACTTTGGCAGTTTGATAAAATTCCAAAGTGAGAACCACAGTCCTGGCTTGGGAGTGGCTGCCCGCTTGTGTCAGGACCCCACCTAGAGGCTGGGACCTAAGACTGGTGTGTTTGTGGCCTGAGGATGGCATGTCCCCAGGTCCCAAAGCCAGCCCACTGGTGCTCATTTGCTCAAAGGCTCTCAGCCATTGAGGTCTGCCCTTCCCTGGCTCCTTCCAGCTGGCTCCCACCAGGGGTCCAGAGCCCAAGACCCAGCATCCACGGGTGGCTCTGGAAAGCCTGGCAGCTCCACTAACTCCAACATACCTCATTTGACAGCAAATGTGGTGGGAGATGAGACGAACGAGCAAGTGGATGGAAATGCTGGGAGAATGGGAGACATATAAGAACAGTACCAAAGTAATGTGTGGAGGGAGAGGCCCCTGGAAGCACTCTCTGCAGAGACAGGGGACAGGCACCCATGGCTGTGGCCTGGCACCGTCAGCCTCTCAGAGGGTGGGTGGCACACTGTCCTCGCCCAGAGGACTGCAGGCCTGGTCGCCAGATTTCCTGCCTATTCGTGCAAGCGTCACCTTGCTGGGAGGGAATCTGAATCTAGGGCTGGGACTACCCGGAGCTCAAGGCTAGGGATGCCCTGGTGACCTGAAGGAAGGAAAAGGTTCAGATCAGAGTTTTGACTCTGAGTGTCCATCCACTCTCAGTCCTGGGAAGAGAGGCCCTGTCCCAGCTTGATCTCACCTCTACCGAGGAATCATGGGGCCAAAACCGACAATTTCCAGAATCCTTGGGCTCTGGTCTTCACTGGGGTCACCCGGTGGCCTGTGATACCAGATTGTTTTTTGCACACAGCTGATAGATCTAGTGTACAAGGGCATTCCCATGAACATCCGGGGCCTGGTGTGGTCAGTCCTCCTGAACATTCAGGAAATCAAGTCGAAAAACCCCAGAAAATACAAGGTACGCTCAGCCAGAGCATAACAAACAGGACAGGCCGTGTCAGGGGCCCAGGTCTCCAGCTGGAGGGAACGTCAAGCACACCCTGGAGGGGGTGGGGGCAAAGGTCAGATGAACACCCTGGGCACAGATGGTGACACAGTCACCACAGACAAACTGGGCTCTGGTGACCCTCCCCGGCTTCAGTAACAAGCCAAAAAGCAGCTTTCTGCACAAAGAAACCTTCCTTCTGTCCTTCCTTCCCAAAGTGCTGACTGTGGGCTGACTGCCACTGGGGGCAGGGAGCCTTCCATCTGTTCTGAGGCTGCTTCCTCCTCTTGGCCCTGCCCTACAGATCATGAAGGAGAAGGGCAAGAGGTCATCTGAACACATCCACCACATCGACCTGGACGTAAGCGGGACATTAAGGAAGCATATATTCTTCAGGGATCGATACGGAACCAAGTAAGCCTACGGGAGCCACAGGGTCCCAGCAGAGATGGGGTGAATGAGAGGGATGGGGGCTTCCCTGGAGTAGAAGCCAGGGTCACCCAGGAGGGATGACACAGGTGCCAAGAACTGTCCCGACCCAGGGAGCAGCCGGCACCATGAACCGAGCACCTCCCTGGTTCCAAGCCCTGGGCCAGACTGGAACATGTGGGGCCAGAACCCAGGAGGATCCTGAGGAGATGGAAGGCAGCAAACAAAATCATGCACAATGGTGAAGGGTGCTCTCCCTGACCCATGGGGACCCATGGTAGGACCCACGGGAGGGTGGCAGGATAGAGGGCCCATGAGCTCCCCCAGGCAATAATGACAGCACCAAATGCTGGGAGAATTAGGGGTCCTGGAAACTCTCATCCAGGTCTGCTGGGAACATGACATGGCACAGCCACGTTGGCAGCCAGTTGGGAGTGGCTCACAAAGCTCAATGGACTTGAACCACACATCCCCAAAGTGTCACAGATATTGAACCCACTGATTTGGAAACTGACATCCACATGAAACCTGCATGCCAGGTTCACTGCTTGATTCCTCGTCACTCACACACGGAGCCTTCGGGGACGGCCTTCAACACGGGGATGGGGAGAGCAAGGCTGGTCCTCCCTTCAAACAGAAGACCCAGTGAGAAAAGGGAACGAGCCAGTGATGCCCGCACGAATGTGGGTGGATCCTAGATGCATTTTGCTGAGGGACAGAAGCCAGACCCAATAAGCTACCACCGTAGGATTCCCATTCCTAGGCCATTCTGGAAAAGGCCAAACCACAGGGACTGAGAAGCAGTCTGGGTGGCCAGGGGCTGACGGATCGGGGAGAGGCTGGGTGCATAGGGGCCACCCTGGAGACTTGGAGGATGAAGGAGTCGCCCCAGGAGGGGCTGGAGCGGTGGCCGGGAGACTCTGCACATTGGTTTGGAACCGTGGAGGAACTGTACACCCACAGACTGAACTGGCGTGTGTGCAAACTGAAAAAAAAAAAATCATTCAGAGTGAAAAGGATCAGGCAAGTCACTGTACAACAGGACTATTTGCATGTCACAGATGTGGATTTTACTGAAACTTTTCTTCAACAGTCTCAGGCCCTGAAGAGCTCACTGCTTATCTGGTGAATCATCTGAACCTGAAATGGGATTTGCTGTTAGGATTTGTAGACAAAGTGAAATTAACAACATCTGCACAAAACAAACCAAAGCCCCCTTTCTCTGTTTCCTAGGCAGCGGGAACTATTCTACATCCTCCTGGCATATTCGGAGAATAACCTGGTGAGTATTCCCGGCAGTGAGGTTCCCGGGCCATATTTCCATATTGACAGGAGTGGGTGTCTGGTGGGGGTGTCGTTGCTTCTTTTAAAGTTAGTATTTGTGACCCACCAGGATATAGGAGGTAGGATTCCAGCTCACCGATGGCATAAACCTTCAAGCAAGGGGGTGGTCTCAAGGGGTCAAGCTGAGACACAAAGGAGTCAGGGCCCGGACTCCTGGTGTCACCTGGGCCTGACCACCACTTCTCAGAACAAGAAATGACGCCCTCCTCCTGGGGCTGCCCCAAAGCCCATGAGCTTGGCAGCATCGCACACAGGATGGTGCTATCAGCAGACATTTTGGACAAGGTGCTGAAGTGCCTGATGGACTTGGCTCTTGTCATGAAATGAATGTGCATCCTGAGGAAGCCTCTTTTTCAGAGGAAGCCTCTTCTTCAGAGGAAGCCTCTCCAGTCACCTCTGCTCTCTCCAATGACATGAGTCCTCCCAGGTGACCTCAGCCCTCCCAGGTGATGTCCTTCCATGGTGACTCTGGCTCTTGCAGGAGGTGGGCTACTGCAGGGACCTGAGCCACATCGCCGCCTTGTTCCTCCTTTATCTTCCTGAGGAGGATGCATTCTGGGCACTGGTGCAGCTGCTGGCCAGTGAGAGGCACTCCCTGCAGGGTAAGTGAACAGCTGCCCCGGGGACCTCCTGCAGCCAGACCTGGGGATGGCCACCCTGACCAGGTGATCACAGCTTTCAGCCAAGGCACCCTCCTTGTGTCGCCAGCTTGTTGGGAGACTTTAGGATGTCTCTGCTGAGGGTCCCACAGGAGTCCACGGCTGACCCCCAAAGCCCAAATCAGACGCCTCTCATCCCCATCAGCAGAGGGCATCTCATCCTCCCCGTGGCCACCCTCTGTGTCCTGGAGCCACGCCCTCTGGCTCTGATTCTGTGCAGCTGACTCTCCCCTCCCTGAGAGTCCTCCTGCCCTCCAGCTGCCCGGGCTCCTGCTGCCATCGGTGCCCACGAATGGGCCGACCAAGCCCAGGTGGCAGCATCTCCCCATCCCCTGTTCCCTGGCCCGACCCCACTACCAGGAGATGACCGGGAAGCCCAGCGCCCACCCAGTTCCGGCCACCCTGTCGTGGCCTGAAAGTCAGGCTTGCCCTTTTTGCACCCTGGCCCAGGAGGCCTCCAGGGGAACCTCCAGCCAGGCTCCAGGGAATGTTCCCGCCCCACCTCCCCAGGGTAAAGGCCGCATGTTGGGGTCACCAGAGGGGAGGGTGGGAGGCCTTGGGGTTTGGGGGCCTCTCCAGCTGCCCAGCTCTTGCAGCTGATGGCTCCACATCTTGGGGGAAGGCTCTGATTTCATGATGGGCTGGGGGCTTCTCAGGATTTCACAGCCCAAATGGCGGGACCATCCAGGGGCTCCAAGACCAACAGGAGCATGAGGTAGCCACGTCACAACCCAAGACCATGGGGCATCAGGTGAGTTCATGGTCCCCTCAGCTCTTCCCAGAGGCCCTGCCTCCCGTGGGGCTGTAGGAGCAGCGGGGCTGGAGCCCCTCGTGGGGCTGGTGACTGGCTGAGTCCCAGCCAGGGCCTGACCTGGGACGTCGGGTTCTCCATGGGCTAGCAGTTGGTTTCCTTTCCTGCCCTGGAGGAGACAGAGGCACAGGGATGGGGGCCCAGCTCCCGCAAAGCAGGGCAAAGGGCAGTGTGTCCACCGGGAGTGTGGGAAGGTGACAGTGTTGTGGGGAGCTCTGGACACCGCCCAGTGTTCTGCACTAGGGGAAGGGTCTTCAGAGACCCGAGAAGAGGGAGGTTTTTAGGGCAGCCCAGTGGCCTGAGCACCTCTGTTGCTTCCATCAGGACAAGAAAGATCTATGTGGGCAGTGTTCCCCGTTAGGCTGCCTCATCCGGATATTGATTGACGGGGTAAGGAGGCATAGGGAGACCCTGGCTCAGGGACCTTCCTTGCCCTGCAGTGCCCTGCTTCCCCAGCCCGGGGGTCTGGCTCACTCCCAGCCCACAGGAGGCTCAGGCGGGTCCCCAAAGGACACACAAGCAAAACCCTCTGCCCAAGAGGGGTCATCCCAGGGCAATGGCTGGGGCTCAGGCCCAGCCTCATGGGCAGACTGGGCCAGGACCCGACTTGAGAGGGCTCAGGGAAGCCTCAAGCCCTGGGCAAGCCCCTCGCTCCAGGAGCCACATCCCCACTCAAATGAGTGCCCCCCATGAGGAGCTTCAAGACCTTGTCTGACCCAGCGTCCTGGAGGGCTCAGGCGACCCTCATGGGGAAGGTCACTGACTCTGGAGACTGAAGCCCCAGTGTGCGCAGCTCGAGCCACCAGCCCCAGCCTGGAAGGACCAGGTTCTTTCACACCTGCTGTCCCCACAGATCTCTCTCGGGCTCACCCTGCGCCTGTGGGACGTGTATCTGGTAGAAGGCGAACAGGCGTTGATGCCGATAACAAGAATCGCCTTTAAGGTTCAGCAGAGTAAGTCTACGTGTGCCCAGCGGGGCCTGGGGAGCCCTGGGGTCAGACCCCGACTGGCCCGAGGGCAGCTTCCTCACACTGTCCTCATGATCCGCTGTTCTGGCCCAGAGGGAGGTCCGGCCAGGTGGGCTGGGCAGGACACTGTGACACCGAGCCCATCCCTCACATGACCCAGATGAAAGTCGAGAGTGTGGTGAGCACTTCCCTGTCCGGATCGCCCCCCAGCCACAGTCTCCTGTGTATATCTGGACGCCTGCGGTGGCCAAAAAAGGATCCGGCACCGCCCAGTAGGAGGCTGAAGTGGCCACGGGGTATGAGCTGTGACCATTCCCAGGTAACTCCCCTGGCCTGATATCCACCCTGTCCCTAGAGCGCCTCACGAAGACGTCCAGGTGTGGCCTGTGGGCAAGTTTTTGGAACCGGTTCCTTGATACCTGGGCCAGGGATGAGGACACTGTGCTCAAGCATCTTAGGGCCTCTATGAAGAAACTAACAAGAAAGCAGGGGGACCTGCCACCCCCAGGTGGGCTCCAGTGCCATGTCCCCTCCCATGTCACCCTCTGGGGTAGTCAGTAGTAGGGGAGTGCCCGGGACCCGCAACCCTACTACCTGGGCCTTCCTCTTCACCTTTTCTTCCTCCTCTTCCTCCTGGACTCTAAGAAAGTACAGGAGGCCCACCGGTCCTCAGGGCAGGCGCTCAGTGCGTGTATACTGGACATGCTGTGCACGCAGGAGGGGGATGTGGGCAAGACCCTCCAACAAGCCCCCTCCCACTTTCCACAGTGTCTCCCTCTCCCCCTCGCAGGGCCCTCCAAGTTACTAGACGAGCCCAGACCCATTTGTGGGAGACCCCGCCCCTCCCTGCAAGCACCCACAGCCGCAGAGAGCAGCAGAGGCCCCTCACTCCTGCACGCTCCTCCAAGGTTGCCAGGACAAGAAGCCTGGAGCCAGGGAGACAAGGGAATCCGTGTCCCTGACCCACAGAGCATTCAGGGAGAGGGCACAGGCGGGACCCCGGGCCCAGAGCCAGAGCCAAGAGTTCAGCCAGAAGTGGGAACGGTCAGTCCTGGCATGGACTGGGCAGCCCAGGAGGGCAGAGGGTGACCCACGTCCGGGCCCAATCACCCACTGCGGAGACGGGTCCCCACGTGAGGTGACAAGGGGCTGGGTGACATCCAAGGCCCCTCCCACCTGAGTTCTGACTGGGGGCCGTATCCCAGGCCCAACAGCCCTGGGACGAAGGTGTGTGGCAGGAAGCCCCCAGCCAGTCTGAACCCTGGGGGCAGTCCCAGGAGCCACCCGCCATGCCACGACAGCTTCCCCACGCCAGGCAGCATGCACCCCTCCCTCTGGGATCAGCAGACTACAGGCGTGTCCTCGGTGTCAGGCCACGGGGGCCACACAGAGACCCCGAGGACTCCAGAGACGCAGGCAGGTGGGGCCCAGCCCGGAAAGGCCTGCGTGGGCTCACTGGAGATGCTGACCGCGTCTGTTTTCCTTTCAGCCAAACCCGAGCAAGGGTCGTCGGCATCCAGGCCTGTGCCGGCTTCACGTGGCGGGAAGACCCTCTGCAAGGGGGACAGACAGGCCCCTCCAGGCCCACCAGCCCGGTTCCCGCGGCCCATTTGGTCAGCTTCCCCGCCACGGGCACCTCGTTCTTCCACACCCTGTCCTGGTGGGGCTGTCCGGGAAGACACCTACCCTGTGGGCACTCAGGGTGTGCCCAGCCCGGCCCTGGCTCAGGGAGGACCTCAGGGTTCCTGGAGATTCCTGCAGTGGAACTCCATGCCCCGCCTCCCAACCGACCTGGACGTAGAGGGCCCTTGGTTCCGCCATTATGATTTCAGACAGAGCTGCTGGGTCCGTGCCATATCCCAGGAGGACCAGCTGGCCCCCTGCTGGCAGGCTGAACACCCTGCGGAGCGGGTGAGATCGGCTTTCGCTGCACTGAGCCACAACGTGGGCATGGACTTCCCGGCCCTGCAGTGCACCCAGCACTGATTCCGACCAGGGCACCCCCTTCAGAGCTAGGGACGAACAGCAGTGTGCTCCCACCTCAGGGCCTTGCCTCTGCGGCCTCCACTTGGAAAGTTCTCAGTTCCCTCCAGGCTTCTAGAAGCATCTGGGCCACGGCTCATGGCTGGATAATTTCCCGAGGCTTAACAACCCAAGCAAGCTTCGCATCCTCGTTTTATTTTTGGTTAAACTTATGAAAATGTATTAAGAAAGAGTGCAGCTCGAGAGAGATTCAGAGATGGAACACACCAGACCCCAGATCACAAAGCCAACCATGCCCGGCCCCTCCCAGCACCCCCAGCCCCACGACCATCGTTCTGAATTCTGACGACACCGTGAGCCTGCCTTTGTACTTTAAACTCATGGCAGGATGACCACCTTCACGTTTTGAAATAAATGTTTCCTGTTGAAATGATTTTAGATTTTAGACAGAAGTATTGAAAAGGCACTATAGTGTCCTCCTACACCTTCCATCCAGCTGCCCCTAATAATGATGTTTTGCAGTCCCATGGCACATAAGAAATTTAGGCCGGGTGTGGTGGCTCACACCTGTAATCCCAGCAATTTGAGAGGTCGAGGTGGGAGGTTGAGGTTCACTTGAGTCTAGAAGTCTGAGACCAGCCTGGGAAACCTAGGTGGACCCGGTCTCTAGAGAAAAGTCAAAGAAATTAGCCAGGCATGGTGGCGTGTGCCTATAGTCCCACCTAGTCAGGAGGCTGAGGCAGGAGGATTGCTGGAGCCCACGAGTTCCAGGAAGCAGTGAGCCATGATTGCACCACTGCACTCCAGCCTGGGTGACAGAGTGAGACTTTATCTCTTAAGAAAATTTAAGAAATTTAATGTGGGTACAATTCTATTAACTAAATAATAATGTGAACTATTATCTAAGGTTATGAAGGCTAGAATTATCCCATAATGGTGTTTTCTCCTTGGTGTAATATTTCACAAAGAGACAAAGAATACATATGTGTGTATGTGAATCATTCATGCTAGTTACCACGTAAATAAAAACAAGCAGCAAATACGAAGTTAAAAGTGAAGTTGAAGTGTAAATGCTGCTGTCCAGATGGGTGAGGCTTACTCATCCGCCAAGCGACGTCCTCAACCTCGCCTCCACCGCACACAGCGTTGAAGTTTCCATCTCAACAGAACATACACATCATGAAGCTTTACGGTTCATAAACGGTTGAGAAAGCTAACATCAAATTCTTGCATGCCAAGAGTCTACAAATTATTCCATTCACAGATGTTATAATCGGATTTATTTATTTATTTATTTATTTTGATACGGAGTCTTGCTCCCAGACTATAGTGCAGTGGCGCGACCTCGGCTCACTGCAACCTCCGCCTCCGGTGTTCAAGCAATTCTCCTGTCTCAGCCTCCCGAGTAGCTGGAATTACAGGCACGCGCCACCATACCCGGTACTTTTTTGTATTTTTAGTAGAGACGGTGTTTCGCTATGTTGGCCAGGCTGGTTTTGAACTCCCGACCTCAAGTGATCCGCCCACCTCAGCCTCCCCAAGTGCTGGGATTACAGGCGTGAGCCACCTCGCCCGACTCTGATCATTACTTCATTAGGATAAAACCATTCCTTAGAAAGGTCATTCAATTCTGATGATTGTATATCTCATATTTTTCAAATACTCTCATTGTTAATAAGCGTTTCACTCCACTAAGGCTACCCTGGCATCAAACGTATTTCAGATTTGGCTAGGCCCGGCAGCTCATGCCTGCCATCCCAGCATTCTGGGAGGTCGAGGCGGGTGGTTCACCTGAGATCAGGAGTTGGAGACCAGGCTGGCCAGCATGGCAAAACCCCATCTCTACTAAAACTACAAAAAATTAGCTGGGCGTGGTGGCAGGTGCCTGTAATCCTAGCTACTCGGGAGGTTAAGGCAGGAGAATCCCTTGAACCTGGGAGGGAGAGGTTGCAGCGAGCCGAGATTGCGCCCCACTGCACTCCAGCCTGGGCGACAGAGCAAGACTCCATCTTGAAAATAATAATAATAAAATACAGTGAGGAGTTTTTTTTTGTTTGGTTGGTTTTTTTGGGTTTTTTTTTGTGTTTTTTTGACCGAGTCTCGCTCTGTCACCCAGGCTGGAGTGTGGTGGCGCGGTCTCAGCTCACTGCAAGCTCTGCCTCCCGGGTTCACGCCATTCTCTTGCCTCAGCCTCCCTAGTAGCTGGGACTACAGGCGCCCGCCACCACGCCCGGCTAATTTTTTGTATTTTTAGTAGAGACGGAGTTTCACCATGTTAGCCAGGATGGTCTCGATCTCCTGACCTCGTGATCCGCCCACCTCGGCCTCCCAAAGTGCTGGGATTACAGACGTGAGCCACCATTCCCGGCCCAACACAATGAGTTTTAATAGACAGTCAGGATTAGGTGACATTCATCTATCTAGTCCTACATGCCATTTTGGCATTGAAGGGTTCCACAGGGCTGGAGTCACTTAGCCCTAGGTGCACAATTCTAGTGTATGAGTATACTTTTCTATTCTAAAGCCGCAATGGGCAAAATGGGTCAGTGTAATTGTAGAATTCATCTTCTACATATCAAGCACTGTAATAGGTAAACATTTTATATACATCCTCTCTAATCTTTGCAACATTCCACAAAGTAAGGGTTATTTTACCCATTGAAAAATCACTGGAAAGTCAGAGGATTTAGGGCCATTGCCCCCAACATCTACAGCCCACACCAGGATTTGAACCCAGATCTGTCTGGTTTCAAAACCCTGCCCTAATCATTTCACTGTATTACCAATCCAAGGAATAAATAAAGTTAAGGTATCTTAGTCAGATAAAAGTGGCAAATTAGACCAGGCGTGGTGGCTCACGCCTGTAATCCCAGCACTTTGGGAGGCCGAGGCAGGCAGATCACGAGGTCAGGAGATCGAGACCATCCTGGCTAACACGGTGAAACCCCACCTCTACTAAAAAAATACAAAAAATTAGTCGAGCGTGGTGACACACGCCTGTAGTCCCAGCTACTCGGGAGGCTGAGGCAGGAGAATCGCTTGAAGCTGAGAGGCAGAGGTTGCAGTGAGCCGAGATCGTGCCACTGCACTCCAGCCTGGGTGACACAGTGAGACTCCATCTCAAAAAATTTTTTAAAAATGTGGCAAATTAATGAGAGGAAAATTTAAAAAGTTAACCCCACAAACCAAGAAATCTATTTATGATTATGTTTTTTGTAAGAGACAGAGTGTTGCTCTATTGTCCAGGCTAGTCTCAAAGTCCTGACCTCAAGCAATCCTCCCGACTCAGCCTCCTGAGTAGCGGGGATTATAGGCATTACAGGCATGAGCCAATGCCCCAAGCAAGAAGTCTGTATGTTCTTATCATACGTGCGACGAAACAAAATTATACTTAAGAAACTGACAAATCATGGTAATATTTTAAATATCATGACTACACTGAAACCCTGCCAGAGGTATTTTTAAAATGTCAAGGATTTTTTCGATTTTTTTTTTTTTTTGAGACAGAGTCTCCCTCTGTTGCCCAGGCTGGAGTGCAGCAGTGAGATCTTGGCTCACTGCAACCTCTACCTCCCAGGTTCAAGCGATTCTCCTGCCTCGGCCTCCCGAGTAGCTGGGATTGCAGGCACGTTGCCACCACACCCGGCTAACTTTTGTATTTTTAGTAGAGACGGGGTTTCACCATGTTGGTCAGGCTGGTCTCACACTCCTGACCTTGTGATCCGCCCACCTCGGCATTCCCAAGTGCTGAGAATACAGGCGTGAGCCACCGCGCCCGGCCAAAATGTCAAGGATTTTTACGCTGATGTGCTTAATGTGCCCAATCTGCAATTCTAGTGGTAATCAGTGACATACCCATAAATCAGAGAGTACTTCTATGAAAATAATCACAGCCTACAAATACGGATAAAACTCCTCAGCTTTACCTCTTAGATGGTTCTAGACAGTTTCAGAATTCATGCCTCTTTCTTCAACTCTCTCATTAATTTTATTACCCTTGGCAGTAAAATAATCTTACCAATTGCTCTCCCTATGAAATTGTGAATGAAAATTCCCATTTCTTTTGCTAGGTCTTGTTAGCTGCCATCTCTGGGAAGGAGAAAGTGTTTTTATAGATAGGCATGGCAAGGACAAATAATGGAGCTGAAATGCAAGGGTGGATGGCAAATAAATTGCATCTTGTGAACTACCTCCAACTAACTTCTGCCTGGAGCACTGTGTTTAAAAGGATTCCTAGGCCACATCTGGAGGGATCCGGGAAAAAAAAAAAACAAAAGAGATGTAACGAAGGTAAGCGGAGAACCAGTAAAGTGTAGTGCTACAGTAGCCTAGGGTTTCAAGGAAAGGAGATTATAATATCCAGTCAGGCAGAGCAGCAGTCAAACAACATGAAGAAAAATGTCCATGAGACTTGGCATGTAGGAGATCACTGATGTGCCTATTGACAAGTTCAGTAGCGTTGTGAGGGAAAAGTCAATGGGCTAAAGCGGAAATGAGTGCTGACACAGAGACAGCAGGTGTAAACCAGAGACAGAGCCAGTGTACCGGATGGCTGAAGTCAAATACTTACGTAGCAAATGGGGATAGAGACACGTGTCCGATGGATGTATTGGCCTTCTCAGGACAAATATTCCATCCCCTGAAAACCACAGGAAAGGGGTAAAGAAGGATACTCCTATAGGTCAATTTACAGAAGAGAGCAAAACCTTAAAATTGTCAACGAAGTAGGAGCTAAGAACCTCTGTATCAGGTGAAGAGACAGGAAGGTCAAGACGGGGAAGGAGAAGATTTGCTAAAGATGTTGAAGAGAATGAGAGAACTAAACAGGGCTGGGCAAGCAAAGGCATCAGGCAAGGCTGAGTACTCAGATGAGGTTGAAATTATGGAATAGTTACATTAAAACAGGGTTAATCTGTATGACTAGGTGCTTTTTCTTTAGCCTTCAGATACAGAAGTAGAACAACAGACTGTGGATTGGGCTGGCATTTTGCCAGGATACAGCAGGAAGACGGGCACAGGAAAGGCCCAATGTTGGGAGTATTTCCATTAATCTCCTATGAGATCCAGGCTGGCTAGGGTAGCAAGGCAGGTTATAAGAAGAAAAATACAGACAAACTCGTGAGACTGCAGAGGCTTGGAAGGAGAAAATGTGTTGGGTGACAGTGAGATGCAGAAGATTTCTAAGGTGATACACCTGTAGAGGAGAAGGTGGAGGTCCCAGCCCGGGGAAAAGGTGGCTAATCTGCCCCTGGTGATGACCACTGGCATTAAAGGAATCCAGAAGAGATGAGGCTTTTTCTGTTTGTGGAAGTTATCTCCTTGTCCAAGTTTCTCTTCACCACTGAAAACCTCTGAAAGTTGTCAACTTCATTAAGGTAGATTCAGAAGACCTTTTGATTCAAAACGACAAAATGCTTCTAGAGAAAAAGCACATATGTCTGGTCAGATAATGCGTGTATGACTTCGGACAAATCATAGCATTTCAGTGTTTGAGGTAATCTAGTCTGTCTGTCCTCTTTATTCCTTAACTCTCCATCTGTACAGACAGAAACAATGTAATCAGCCACATAACTTGTATAAAATAAATATGAGGAGAGAACCAATTATGAAGGCAGAAGTTCTTGGGGTGAGGGGAAGAATTTTAAAATACAAAATTAACTAGCTACTTCTTCAAGAAGAAAAATATCAGGGAGTACTGAAAGAGAACAATTGCAGAAAGGAAGAGAAATTAACGTGAACAGCAACCAAAAACCTTCTAAGAATGTATCAACAGTCCAGTGGAAAACAAATACCCACCCTGATGACACCTTGATCTTGGACCCATGGCCTCCAGTACTGTGAGACAGTAACATTCTGTTGCTGAAGGTGCCCAGTCTGTGGTACTGTAAAACAGCCCTAGGAAACTAACACAGCCTGTTAGCCCACAGATGGTGGAGAGAAGGAATGCTCAGTGGAGCTCCAGGCTTACTGTCTACAGCTCCCAAAGTGTGCTACGGGACCCTTGGATGGGTGTAGGTATGCAAGATAATTTTGGGTGGTGCAGGGTGAATAATTTCAATTGACATAAAAATGTGTTTCTTTTACTGGGTAAATCAGGGGTCCCCACCTGTTAGGAACCAGGCTGCACAGCAGGAGGTGAGCAGCCAGCCAGGGAGCAAAGCTTCATCTGTAGAAACAGCCGCTCCCCATCCCTCGCATTACCGCGTGAGCTCTGCCACCTGTCAAATGAGTGGTGCCGTTCCATTCTCATAGAACCCAACTGTGAACTGAGCATGCCAGGGATCTAGATTGCATGCTCCTTATGAGAACCTAGTGCCTGATGACCTGTGACTGTCTCCCATCACCTCCTGATGGGACCATGTAGTTGCAGGAAAACAAGTTCAGGGCTCCCACTGATTCTATGTTATGGTGAGTTGTGTAATTATTTCATTATATATTACAGTGAAATAATCATAGAAATAAAGCACACAATAAATGTAATGGGCTCGAATCATCTCTGCACCATCCCTTCCCCTTCTCCCAGGTCCGTGGAAGAGTTGTCTTCAAGAAAACTGCTCTCTGGTGCCAAAACGTTTGGGGACCGCTGGTGTAAATGTTTCTAAGAATAGTTAAGCAACTTAAGCTTCACATGCTACGAAGAATACAGCTTTAAATGCTAATAAAAATAGGTGCAAATGAAAACACTCTTTCTGTGGTCCAGGGAATCTTAACCATTCTATCAGAAAGACTTGCAGCTTGGAGCTGCAGCTGCCCTCCCACATCCTGTCCACTGTAAAGCCCTGCAACACACACATACACGCGCGCACACACACACACACACACACGCTGTGCTTCATGCCCTCACTAGGGTGGTCTGGGAGGAAATGCGTGTCTTTAGGAGAAATGAAGACAACTCAGGCCCCTCATTCTCCTGGTGTTTGCACAAGTGCCTTCTCTGCAGACCATGCTTCAGTCTCTTTCTTGGTTCTCCCTCTTACTGAAAGAGAGAAGCAGAGGCCCGGCACATACTCGGCTGCTTAGGGCTCAAGCCAAGTTCGCAAGCTTCCTGGGGAGCCTAGTGAGATGAAGGCACTGCAGAGCCTCCCCAAAAGAGTCGTCGGCTTTTCGTGGATCCTTGAGCCCAGGAAGGCGATAGGTGAGACATCACAGTTCATCAGAAGACACGAGCAAACTCCGGCGAGAAAGGGCAACGGTCAAAGATTTTATTCTCTCGGAAAAGGGTTCTCGGGCTGTAAGCAGCAGGCAGAAGACTTTATTGCACGCGTAGTTAGGTGATGGCGACCTACGGTTTTCACTGGGGACTGGGATCGAGAGTGATCCGACCTCCTACTCATGCTCGTCTCTCCCTGTCTCTCTCTTTGCCTTTTGTGTCTCTCTGCCTGTCTCTCTCGCTCCTTTTCCTCTCAGCCTCCTCTGTCTCTCTCCTTATCTCTCATCCTCTCTCTCTCTATCTCACTCCCTTCTCCCCATCTCTCTTTCTCTCTCCTTCTTTTCCACTTCTCTCACCCTCCTCATCTCTCTGCCTGCCACTGTTCAGGCTCCTGGGGCCCCACGTGGATGGGCGGACACAGGACTCCTAGGCTACCTTTCATAGCGCAAGCAGAGGGCTGCAGGACCTTGGTCCCCACCTCCCAGCATCCTCAAAATGAGGGGTGTGGGGTGTGCCGTGCTCTCCTGAGTGGGCGCCCCACACTCCAGGAAGCAGAAACTGCAGGTCACAGCTGGCTCGAGTGGTGCCCACGGGGCTGCCAGCTTCCATCGTGTGATCTGCTGAGGCCAAAGCAGAGGACAGCAGCCCAGGCCCATCTCTGCAGCAGGGTGGGGGTAGGGGTGGGCTTGGGGGTGGGGATGGGGATGGGAGCCGCCAATGCAAACTGGCCCCTGGCTGGTTTCCTACCCTGCACCCTGCCATGCAAGTCCTCCTCTCCTACCCCTACCCCTGTCTGCCCCACCTCCACCCCTAGGCTGCCCCACACCCAGGCTCCAGAAGTCTCCCAGGATCCAGGAACTAAGGGCAGCCTCTGGGTTCCATAGCCCCTAGTCCATGAGTCAGCCACCCCTCTGCGTGCTGACAAACCTTGGCTCTCATGCCCCACCCCAAGCCAAGCACACAGCCCTGTCCCCCCACCAGCATTATCACCGCCTCCTGATTTTGGCCCTGACAGCCCTGCTTCCTGGTAACCTTGCCCCCTCCCACCCTGCTCCAGGCAAGCCCAAAGGCCAGGCCCTCCACCCACCCTTCCTGGGGGCCACTCTACTATCTCCTTGCCCAGATGTCTTAACCTGGCTTTACCAAGATAGAATAAATAACAGGGATGAGGCCCCGGACCCCGCCAGGAAGATGTGCCAAAATACCCTCCATTTAGAAGCGGGAACAGTGATGGGGCCTATGGATGACCCCAGGATTGTCACCCAAGCAGCAAGAAGGGCAAGGAGCCCGGTTTCCTGCCCTTACCTGGGGAGGACGTGGCCAGGGCTCCAAAAGGCCCTGGAGAGGGGTGGGCAGGAGAGCAGATCCACCCTCCTCTTGAGGAAGCAGCCACCATCCCCAGGAAGAGCAGATGGGGGCACACAGGCAGAGTCCCCACGTGCTGTAGAGCAGGGCCAGCAGAACTGTACTCAGCCCCAGCCCCAGGGGAGCTGCAAGATAGACTGAGACCCTCACAGGTTGGGCTCTGTGTCCCCACCGAAATCTCATCTGGAATTGTAATCCTCCTGTGTCAAGGGAGCAACCTGGTGGGAGGGGATGGGATCTGGGGACAGTTTCCCCCCTGCTGCTCCCCTGATAGTGAGGGAGTTCTCAGGAGAGCTGATGGTTTGAAAGTGTGGCACTTCCTGCTTCTCCGCTCACTCCCTCCTGCCGCCTTGTGGAGAAGGTGCCTGCTTCCCCTTCGCCTTCTGCCATGACTGTAAGTTCCCTGAACTGGGAGTCGATTAAACCTCTTTCCTTTATAAATTACCTAGGCTCAAGTATTTCTTTATAGCAGTGTGAAAACAAACTAATACCCCTTCCCTGAGGCGCCTTCTCCTTAGGCAACCCGCTGCCCCCATGCTCCTCCTCTGCCCCCTGTCCTTTCTTTTCCCCTCATGAGGCCCAAGTGATAAACGGGGCCAGCCCCAGTCCCAGCCCCAGCCCCAGCCCCAGCCCCATCCTACTGCAGGCCTGTGTGGCTGCTGGAGAGGCCGTGTTCCTTTCCTCTCCCCGAGCCTGCCTGATATGCTTTCTGGATCCTGGAGGAAACTGACCCCCTATTCTCATACTGGTGCAACATCTTCCAAGACCTCAAAGCTGTACCATTTGAGCCAGTCTTTTTTCTTATCTCCACTTGCTAGGGCTGTCATTGGGACAGTCCTAGAGGGTGGTGCCAATGGATGAATGGATGGATGGACAGTAGTCCAGGGATGATGTCCCTGTCTGTCCTGAACCGGGCCCTTCCTCCAATGAGAAGCCTTCCTGAGTGAGTATATACAGTCATCCCTTGGTATCCATGGAGGATTAGTTCTAGGGTCCCCGGGAATGCCAAAATCCATGGATGCTCAAGTCTCTGATAGAACATGGCCTAGTATTTACGTATAAGCTATGCGCATCCTCCCGTATACGTTAGACCGTTACTAGATTATGATGTGTAATACAATGCAGATGCTACATAAATGGTCGTGATACTGTATTCTTTAGGGAATGATGACAAGAACAAAGTCTGCACATGTTCAATAGAAACATAACCATCCAATTTATTTTCTGAATATTTTCCATCTGCTGTTGCTGAACCTATAGATGCAGAGCTCCTGGATACGAGAGCCAAGTGTGCTTTGAGAGTAGGGTGGGTGAGGTTGCTAATGAGTACAGGGGAGCAGGTGTTGATCAGGAGGGCCCTGCACTGGGGCATCTGGACGTCCTGCCTCAGGACTTGAGACTCCAGTTGGATGGCACAGACAGACTCAGCCCAGGTCAAAGCCGTCCCCTTGAAGTTTCATTTTATCCCAAGCTCTTTCTGGACCCTGGAATTTGGCATCCCCTAGGCCCTGCGTGGAAGGACAGATGAACCAGGTTTTAGATAACATGTCTAGAAGAGTGAGCCCCTACTGTGTGCTCGGCACTTTCCCCACAGGATCCTCTAGCTAGAATATCCAAGGGTCATGGAGAGAAATACCCAGTTAAAATATCAGAAATGAAAAAGCGATACCATTAGATACACTAAAAAGACCATTAGGTAATAGTATTAGCTTTTGTATTCTGAGATCCAACAGCAGCAGTCACTTCCCTCCACCCCTATGTGTATCCCACGACCACCCTGGGCGGGGAGGGCTGAGGTTAGGGAGCAGCCATGGATGCTCTGATGCTGGCCCTGGGCCTCGGGGGTGACAGTGATGAGGAACTGGGTGCACACATGAGTGGGGCAGCCGGGCCTGGCCAGAGAAGCAACACACATGTGCACAGACATGTTTACCCACATACACGTGTGCACGCACGTGCACAAACACGTTGCAGGCAGGCATGTTGACGCCTCAGGCAGCGGAGGACCCTGACTCTGGGTGCTGCTGACCCGGGCAAGGCCCCACTGTGATTCGTGCCATGACCTCAGAATGTCACTGGTGCTTAGCACCTATCTGCTCTCTGGCCTGCGTCAGTGGTCTACAGCAGTTACACACAGGCAGTGGTATCTGTGAGCAGCTCTGTGGACTCAAAGGTTTTCTCCCTGAGAGGCATGACCCAGGCCAGCTGATTCATCAGAATCAGGTGAGCGTGACCTGCTCTCTTCCCTCCAGGCGGACTTGGGGACAGTGGCTACGGTGCGGGCGGTGTTGGCCTCTGTGGGGCAGCTACCGAGGAGGGTCATCCCTGAGCACTCACCAGGCGCCCGTTCTACACTGCCCGTGTAGACGATTGGCTCTTTCGTCTCCATGGTGGCTTCGTAGAGTGGGTGCTGTTCCCAAATGTCCCCATTCGACAGATGAGACGTCTGGGGTCAGAGAGGCAGTAACCGGCCTGGGAATCCGGACATGACCCTGAGTTTTGCTCTCAGCCCTGCCGTGTGCTGTGCTGGAATTCAGGCCTGAACCCTGTGACCTCCCTGCCCTAGATCCCAAATCTGCCCAGGTTTCCCATCCCGATGGGGCAGAGCCTGGTCCTGGCAGAGCCACTGGTATAGAGCCACTGGTACAGATCCACTGACGGTCCTCAGAACACCTCTGTGCCCTAAGCTGGGTCCTGATGGTCGCTGTGGGCCCCACTGAACACACATGGTCCCTTGTCCGGGGGAGCCTGCTGCCCTTGGGCAGCTGTGGAAAATGAAGGAGCCCTGGAGGGCTGGCTGAGGGGAGACTATCTTCCCTTGTGTTCAAAGGGGTCCGGGCACTAGGGTTCTCCCCAGGTATTTCTTGCTCTGCGTGGTCCTCTTGAGGCCTTGCCCTCCTTTTGCCTCGAGTATTCCCAGGAGGGACGGTCCATCCAGCTGTTCTCCAGGACCAAGGACCCACTGTTCTTCCTCAGTGACCCAGGAAAATGAAGCCTCCTCCTGTTGGGACGGCTCAGAATGGTGGACTCCACAGTCCCTCCGCGAGAGACGTGGTTTCCATGCGTACAATAGATCTTCCTCATCCCCCAAACCCAACACCCTCCTGCTCAACAGGCGTTATTCCTAAAGTGGCTTCACTGTTCAGACTGAAGAGCCACGGTAGCCAAAGTGATGAGCGGAGTAGAACCGAGCAGTCGGGAGAGATCTTGCTCCCTGTAGGAAACTGGGCATCTCTGAGGCCCTGAGCATCCCAGGAGGCCGATTGCACAGAGACCTCTGGTCGCTGACCCCAGTCTGCCTCCACATCCCTGGAATAGCCCATCATGGGCCCTTCACCCTTGGCAGGTGGAAACCATTCAACCTGCTGGGGCCGGTGTGTCCCCATTTCATGGCATTGGGGGACAACAGGATTCTCTGTCTAGGTCCCACTGTACTCAAGTCCTTGGGAAGATGCCCACCCCTGCTTGGGACTTGAGACTCCAGAGACTGGAGCAGCTGTGGGCCACTGGGTCTGGCCCCTTTTTCCCTGGGGGCGGCGGTGGAATGGGGGTTACGCAGCCAGCCAGCATCTGGGAGCCCGGCGAGAGCGGTTCAGGTGTTCTCCGAAGCCGCCGCGTACAGTGTGACCTTTAGACAATTCTGTCTCACAGGATGGACGTGGTAGAGGTCGCGGGTAGTTGGTGGGCACAAGAGCGAGAGGACATCATTATGAAATACGAAAAGGTACAAGTCGGTCTGCTTCTTGGAGGGAGGCCTCTTCCAGTGTGCCCTGGTCAAAGGGTCCTGGGCTCCCTAGGAGCACAGGGCAGGGACGGGTGGCCAATGCCCCCAGGCCCTTGCACCCTTTACCTTGGACCCCTCAGCAAGGCTCCCTCTGGGCTACAGGGACACCGAGCTGGGCTGCCAGAGGACAAGGGGCCTAAGCCTTTTCGAAGCTACAACAACAACGTCGATCATTTGGGGATTGTACAGTGAGTCCTCTGCACTCCCCTCACCCCTAAAGCACCTGTCTCAGCTCAGGGATGGGTTTGCTTTTAGAAAGGCCTTTCTGATGCAGGACATGTCTCACCAGGTCGGGTCAACCTCCTTTCCAGGGACAGAACTCCTCCCTGACTCCCCTGCAGGTCCAGCCCGAGGTTGTTAGGCCAGAGGTGTGGGGCCCATCTAGGGAGCCGGTGGGAATGGAGACTGGGCTAGGTCAGGCCCCTGGGCGCTCAGCAGTTCTGTCGGCAAGTGAGCACAAGAGGAGCGGGGCAGCCTGAGGGTCTGGCCCTGTCTACTTGGAGACAACCCCGGTGAGATGCAAGGGTTATGGCCACAGGGTGAGGGGACGCCTGGCCCAGCCTCAGGGCTGTTGTCCAGCAGGTCTCTGAGGGCCCACCTGCCCCTGTTCTCCCCCATTCCCCTAGAGCTACAGCCCTCACTGTCCCGTGAGGGGAAAAGGCATGGTGACAATGGGGGCTGTAGCCCTAGGAGAACGGGGGAGAAGATGGGCAGGGCCCCGTTCTGGGCATCTCACGGTGAGGCCAGGGAGGCAGCAGGGCTCGCGGCTAAAGACCTGGGTCTGGTGCTGGGAAGGGATCTGGGGCCGGGTAAGAGGAGCCCAGCCAGGAGCCCATCCCTCAGGGATCACAGGATGGAGAGACAGAGGATCCCTGGGGAGGTAGGGCGGGAGGGAGCTGACGAGCCGTGCCACTTCTGAAACGCAGGGTGTGTGGCTCGGGTGCAGGGAGAGGCAGGTGGATGCTGGGAGGTCAGAACCTGCAAGGGCCTTGGGGCTGTCAAGTGGGGTGGGCCCCTGGTGCAGCCAGAGTACACCGGGCAGGTCTCAGGGCAGGCTCCCTTGACCCTGGCGGGGGGATGTGGTCACTCCCTGAGGGACTCCTGTCAGGGCCCGGTCGCCCACCCTGGGCGGCCCCCATCCCATCTCAGGGCTAACCTTTCTCAGCTCCAGCAGAAAGCACCACCTCGAGTCCAGGACGGGCAGCCCCACTGGGCAGCCTGACCGCCCCCCACGCCAGGGGCCCCAGTAACCCCGGCCAGGCTGTCCCTACACTCCTTCTTCTCCCAGGTCCTGCCCCTCCTGGGAGTCAGCCCCACAGGAAGGCCCTTGTCCTCCCTTCCCTGTGCCTTCTCCTGGGCTGAGCCCTGAGCTGGAAAGGGACAGAGCCAGTCCTTTCTGGGGGTCGGCACCCAGGCTGGGGCCGCTCCAGGCCCCGTGCAGTTCCTCAGCTCTGCCTGGGTTGCCTTACAGTGAGACGGAGCTGCCTCCTCTGACTGCGCGGGAGGCGAAGGTAAGAGCCTGATGCGTGGAGGGGCTGGTCCAGGGACGTAGGGACTGGGCGGGTGGTCAGTGAGGCAGAGGAAGCAGCTGGCCTGAGCGGTGGCGGGTGAGGGCAACACGCTGTCACTGGGAGGGGCAGCAGTCCCTGCTGGACCTGACCCCAGGTTGCTGTTCACTTTGGCAGTTTGATAAAATTCCAAAAGGAGAACCACAGTCCTGGCTTGGGGGTGGCTGTGCGCTTGTGTCAGGACCCCACCTAGAGGCTGGGACCTAAGACTGGTGTGTCTGTGGCCTGAGGATGGTACATCCCGGGGTCCCAAAGCCAGCCCACTGGTGCTCATTTGCTCAAAGGCTCTCAGCCCTTGAGGTCTGCCCTTCCCTGGCTCCTTCCAGCTGGCTCCCACCAGGGCTCCAGAGCCCAAGACCCAGCATCCGCGGGCGGCTCTGGGAAGCCTGGCAGCTCCGCTAACTCCAACATGCCTCATTTGACAGCAAATTCGGCGGGAGATCAGCCGAAAGAGCAAGTGGGTGGATATGCTGGGAGACTGGGAGAAATACAAAAGCAGCAGAAAGGTAACGTGTGGAGGGAGGAAGCACTCTCTGCAGAGACAGGGCACAGGCACCCATGGCTGTGGCCTGGCACCATCAGCCTCTCAGAGGGTGGGCGGCACACTGTCCTCGCCCAGAGGACTGCAGGCCTGGTCGCCAGATTTCCTGCCTATTCGTGCAAGCGTCACCTTGCAGGGAGGGAATCTGAATCTAGGGCTGGGACTACCCGGAGCTCAAGGCTAGGGATGCCCTGGTGACCTGAAGGAAGGAAAAGGTTCAGATCAGAGTTTCGACTCTGAGTGTCCATCCACTCTTTCAGTCCTGGGAAGGGAGACCCTGTCCCAGCTTGATCTCACCTCTACTGAGGAATCATGGGGCCAAAACCGACAATTTCCAGAATCCCCGGGCTCTGGTCCTCACTGGGGTCACCCTGTGGCCTGTGACACCAGATTGTTTTCTGCCCACAGCTCATAGATCGAGCGTACAAGGGAATGCCCATGAACATCCGGGGCCCGATGTGGTCAGTCCTCCTGAACATTGAGGAAATGAAGTTGAAAAACCCCGGAAGATACCAGGTACGCTCAGCCAGAGCACAACAAACAGGACAGGCCGTGTCGGGGCCCAGGTCTCCAGCTGGAGGGAACGTCAAGACCACCCTGGGGAGCTGGGGGTGAAGGTCAGATGAACACCCTGGGCACAGATGGTGACACAGTCACCACAGACAAACTCAGCTCTGGTGACCCTCCCTGGCTTCAGTAACAAGCCAAAATGCAGCTTTCTGCAGAAGGAAACCTTCCTTCTGTCCTTCCTTCCCGAAGTGCTGACTGTGGGCTGACTGCCACTGGGGGCAGGGAGTCTTCCATCTGTTCTGAGACTGCTTCCTCCTCTTGGCCCTGCCCTACAGATCATGAAGGAGAAGGGCAAGAGGTCATCTGAGCACATCCAGCGCATCGACCGGGACGTAAGCGGGACATTAAGGAAGCATATATTCTTCAGGGATCGATACGGAACCAAGTAAGCCTACGGGAGCCACAGGGTCCCAGCAGAGATGGGGTGAATGAGAGGGATGGGGGCTTCCCCGGAGCAGAAGCCAGGGTCACCCAGGAGGGATGACACAGCTGCCAAGAGCTCTCCCGGCCCAGGGAGCAGCCGGCACCATGAACCGAGCACCTCCCTGGTTCCAAGCCCTGGGCCAGACTGGAACATGTGGGGCCAGAACCCAGGAGGATCCTGAGGAGATGGAAGGCAGCAAACAAAATCATGCACAATGGTGAAGGGTGCTCTCCCTGACCCATGGGGACCCATGGTAGGACCCATGGGAGGGTGGCAGGATAGAGGGCCCATGAGCCCCCCCCAGGCAACAGTGACAGCACCAAATGCTGGGAGAATTAGGGGTCCTGGAAACTCTCATCCAGGTCCGCTGGGAACATGACATGGCACAGCCACGTTGGCAGCCCGTTGGGCAGTGGCTCACAAAGCTCCATGGACTTGAACCACACATCCCCAAAGTGTCACAGATATTGAACCCACTGATTTGCAAACTGACATCCACATGAAACCAGCATGCCAGGTTCACTGCTTGACTCCTCGTCACTCACACACGGAGCCTTCGGAGACGGCCTTCAACACGGGGATGGGGAGAGCAAGGCTGGTCCTCCCTTCAAACGGAAGACCCAGTGAGAAAAGGGAACGAGCCGGTGATGCCCGCACGAACGTGGGTGGATCCTAGATGCATTTTGCTGAGGGACAGAAGCCAGACCCAATAAGCTACCACAGTAGGATTCCCATTCCTAGGCCATTCTGGAAAAGGCCAAACCACAGGGACTGAGAAGCAGTCTGGGTGGCCAGGGGCTGACGGATCGGGGAGAGGCTGGGTGCATAGGGGCCACCCTGGAGACTTGGAGGATGAAGGAGTCGCCCCAGGAGGGGCTGGAGCGGTGGCCGGGAGACTCTGCACATTGGTTTGGAACCGTGGAGGAACTGTACACCCACAGACTGAACTGGCGTGTGTGCAAACTGAAAAAAAAAAAAATCATTCAGAGTGAAAAGGATCAGGCAAGTCACTGTACAACTGGGCTATTTGCATGTCACAGATGTGGATTTTACTGAAACATTTCTTCAAGAGTCTCAGGCCCTGAAGAGCTCACTGCTTATCTGGTGAAACATCTGAACCTGAAATGGGATTTGCTGTTAGGCTTTGTAGACAAAGTGAAATTAACAACATCTGCACAAAACAAACCAAAGCCCCCTTTCTCTGTTTCCTAGGCAGCGGGAACTACTCCACATCCTCCTGGCATATGAGGAGTACAACCCGGTGAGTATTCCCGGCAGTGAGGTTCCCGGGCCATATTTCCATATTGACAGGAGTGGGTGTCTGGTGGGGGTGTCGTTGCTTCTTTTAAAGTTAGTATTTGTGACCCACCAGGATATAGGAGGTAGGATGTCAGCTCACCGCTGGCATAAACCTCCAAGGAAGGGGGTGGTCTCAAGGGGTCAAGCTGAGACACAAAGGAGTCAGGGCCCGGACTCCTGGTGTCACCTGGGCCTGACCACCACTTCTCAGAACAAGAAATGACGCCCTCCTCCTGGGGCTGCCCCAAAGCCCAGGAGCTTGGCAGCATCGCACACAGGATGGTGCTATCAGCAGACATTTTGGACAAGGTGCTGAAGTGCCTGATGGACTTGGCTCTTGTCATGAAATGAATGTGCATCCTGAGGAAGCCTCTTTTTCAGAGGAAGCCTCTCCTTCAGAGGAAGCCTCTCCAGTCACCTCTGCCCTCTCCAATGACATGAGTCCTCCCAGGTGACCTCAGCCCTCCCAGGTGATGTCCTTCCATGGTGACTCTGGCTCTTGCAGGAGGTGGGCTACTGCAGGGACCTGAGCCACATCGCCGCCTTGTTCCTCCTCTATCTTCCTGAGGAGGATGCATTCTGGGCACTGGTGCAGCTGCTGGCCAGTGAGAGGCACTCCCTGCAGGGTAAGTGAACAGCTGCCCCGGGGACCTCCTGCAGCCAGACCTGGGGATGGCCACCCTGGCCGGGTGATCACAGCTTTCAGCCAAGGCACCCTCCTTGTGTCGCCAGCTTGTTGGGAGACTTTAGGATGTCTCTGCTGAGGGTCCCACAGGAGTCCACGGCTGACCCCCAAAGCCCAAATCAGACGCCTCTCATCCCCATCAGCAGAGGGCATCTCATCCTCCCCGTGGCCACCCTCTGTGTCCTGGAGCCACGCCCTCCGGCTCTGATTCTGTGCAGCTGACTCTCCCCTCCCTGAGAGTCCTCCTGCCCTCCAGCTGCCCGGGCTCCTGCTGCCATCGGTGCCCACGAATGGGCCGACCAAGCCCAGGTGGCAGCATCTCCCCATCCCCTGTTCCCTGGCCCGACCCCACTACCAGGAGATGACCGGGAAGCCCAGCGCCTACCCAGTTCCGGCCACCCTGTCGTGGCCTGAAAGTCAGGCTTGCCCTTTTTGCACCCTGGCCCAGGAGGCCTCCAGGGGAACCTCCAGCCAGGCTCCAGGGAATGTTCCCGCCCCACCTCCCCAGGGTAAAGGCCGCATGTTGGGGTCACCAGAGGGGAGGGTGGGAGGCCTTGGGGTTTGGGGGCCTCTCCAGCTGCCCAGCTCTTGCAGCTGATGGCTCCACATCTTGGGGGAAGGCTCTGATTTCATGATGGGCTGGGGGCTTCTCAGGATTTCACAGCCCAAATGGCGGGACCGTCCAGGGGCTCCAAGACCAACAGGAGCATGTGGTAGCCACGTCACAACCCAAGACCATGGGGCATCAGGTGAGTTTATGGTCCCCTCAGCTCTTCCCAGAGGCCCTGCCTCCCGTGGGGCTGTAGGAGCAGGGGGGCTGGAGCCCCTCGTGGGGCTGGTGACTGGCTGAGTCCCAGCCAGGGCCTGACCTGGGACGTCGGGTTCTCCATGGGCTGGGAGTTGGTTTCCTTTCCTGCCCTGGAGGAGACAGAGGCACAGGGATGGGGGCCCAGCTCCCGCAGAGCAGGGCAAAGGGCAGTGTGTCCACCGGGAGTGTGGGAAGGTGACAGTGTTGTGGGGAGCTCTGGACACCGCCCAGTGTTCTGCACTAGGGGAAGGCTCTTCAGAGGCCCTGGAAGAGGGAGGTTTTTAGGGCAGCCCAGTGGCCTGAGCACCTCTGTTGCTTCCATCAGGACAAGAAAGATCTATGTGGGCAGTGTTCCCCGTTAGGCTGCCTCATCCGGATATTGATTGACGGGGTAAGGAGGCATAGGGAGACCCTGGCTCAGGGACCTTCCTTGCCCTGCAGTGCCCTGCTTCCCCAGCCCGGGGGTCTGGCTCACTCCCAGCCCACAGGAGGCTCAGGCGGGTCCCCAAAGGACACACAAGCAAAACCCTCTGCCCAAGGGGGGTCATCCCAGGGCCATGGCTGGGGCTCAGGCCCAGCCTCATGGGCAGAGTGGGCCAGGACCCGACTTGTGAGGGCTCAGGGAAGCCTCAAGCCCTGGGCAAGCCCCTCTCTCCAGGAGCCACATCCCCACTCAAATGAGTGCCCCCCATGAGGAGCTTCAAGACCTTGTCTGACCCAGCGTCCTGGAGGGCTCAGGCGACCCTCATGGGGAAGGTCACTGACTCTGGAGACTGAAGCCCCAGTGTGCGCAGCTCGAGCCACCAGCCCCAGCCTGGAAGGACCAGGTTCTTTCACACCTGCTGTCCCCACAGATCTCTCTCGGGCTCACCCTGCGCCTGTGGGACGTGTATCTGGTAGAAGGCGAACAGGCGTTGATGCCGATAACAAGAATCGCCTTTAAGGTTCAGCAGAGTAAGTCTACGTGTGCCCAGCGGGGCCTGGGGAGCCCTGGGGTCAGACCCCGACTGGCCCGAGGGCAGCTTCCTCACACTGTCCTCATGATCCTCTGTTCTGGCCCAGAGGGAGGTCTGGCCAGGTGGGCTGGGCAGGACACTGTGACACCGAGCCCATCCCCCACATGACCCAGATGAAAGTCGAGAGTGTGGTGAGCACTTCCCTGTCCGGATCGCCCCCCAGCCACAGTCTCCTGTGTATATCTGGACACCTGGGGTGGCCACAAAAGGATCCGGCACCGCCCAGTAGGAGACTGAAGTGGCCACGGGGTATGAGCTGTGACCATTCCCAGGTAACTCCCCTGGCCTGATATCCACCCTGTCCCTAGAGCGCCTCACGAAGACGTCCAGGTGTGGCCCGTGGGCACGTTTTTGCAACCGGTTCGTTGATACCTGGGCCAGGGATGAGGACACTGTGCTCAAGCATCTTAGGGCCTCTATGAAGAAACTAACAAGAAAGAAGGGGGACGTGCCACCCCCAGGTGGGCTCCAGTGCCATGTCCCCTCCCATGTCACCCTCTGGGGTAGTCAGTAGTAGGGGAGTGCCCGGGACCCGCAACCCTACTACCTGGGCCTTCCTCTTCACCTTTTCTTCCTCCTCTTCCTCCTGGACTCTAAGAAAGTACAGGAGGCCCACCGGTCCTCAGGGCAGGCGCTCAGTGCGTGTATACTGGACATGCTGTGCACGCAGGAGGGGGATGTGGGCAAGACCCTCCAACAAGCCCCCTCCCACTTTCCACGGTGTCTCCCTCTCCCCCTCGCAGGGCCCTCCAAGTTACTAGACGAGCCCAGACCCATTTGTGGGAGACCCCGCCCCTCCCTGCAAGCACCCACAGCCTCAGAGAGCAGCAGAGGCCCCTCACTCCTGCACGCTCCTCCAAGGTTGCCAGGACAAGAAGCCTGGAGCCAGGGAGACAAGGGAATCCGTGTCCCTGACCCACAGAGCATTCAGGGAGAGGGCACAGGCGGGACCCCGGGCCCAGAGCCAGAGCCAAGAGTTCAGCCAGAAGTGGGAACGGTCAGTCCTGGCATGGACTGGGCAGCCCAGGAGGGCAGAGGGTGACCCACGTCCGGGCCCAATCACCCACTGCGGAGACGGGTCCCCACGTGAGGTGACAAGGGGCTGGGTGACATCCAAGGCCCCTCCCACCTGAGTTCTGACTGGGGGCCGTATCCCAGGCCCAACAGCCCTGGGACGAAGGTGTGTGGCAGGAAGCCCCCAGCCAGTCTGAACCCTGGGGGCAGTCCCAGGAGCCACCCGCCATGCCACGACAGCTTCCCCACGCCAGGCAGCATGCACCCCTCCCTCTGGGATCAGCAGACTACAGGCGTGTCCTCGGTGTCAGGCCACGGGGGCCACACAGAGACCCCGAGGACTCCAGAGACGCAGGCAGGTGGGGCCCAGCCCGGAAAGGCCTGCGTGGGCTCACTGGAGATGCTGACCGCGTCTGTTTTCCTTTCAGCCAAACCCGAGCAAGGGTCGTCGGCATCCAGGCCTGTGCCGGCTTCACGTGGCGGGAAGACCCTCTGCAAGGGGGACAGACAGGCCCCTCCAGGCCCACCAGCCCGGTTCCCGCGGCCCATTTGGTCAGCTTCCCCGCCACGGGCACCTCGTTCTTCCACACCCTGTCCTGGTGGGGCTGTCCGGGAAGACACCTACCCTGTGGGCACTCAGGGTGTGCCCAGCCCGGCCCTGGCTCAGGGAGGACCTCAGGGTTCCTGGAGATTCCTGCAGTGGAACTCCATGCCCCGCCTCCCAACCGACCTGGACGTAGAGGGCCCTTGGTTCCGCCATTATGATTTCAGACAGAGCTGCTGGGTCCGTGCCATATCCCAGGAGGACCAGCTGGCCCCCTGCTGGCAGGCCTGAACACCCTGCGGAGCGGGTGAGATCGGCTTTCGCTGCACCCAGCACTGATTCCGACCAGGGCACCCCCTTCAGAGCTAGGGACGAACAGCAGTGTGCTCCCACCTCAGGGCCTTGCCTCTGCGGCCTCCACTTGGAAAGTTCTCAGTTCCCTCCAGGCTTCTAGAAGCATCTGGGCCAGGGCTCATGGCTGGATAATTTCCCTAGGCTTAACAACCCAAGCAAGCTTCGCATCCTCGTTTTATTTTTGGTTAAACTTATGAAAATGTATTAAGAAAGAGTGCAGCTCGAGAGAGATTCAGAGATGGAACACACCAGACCCCAGATCACAAAGCCAACCATGCCCAGCCCCTCCCAGCACCCCCAGCCCCACGACCATCGTTCTGAATTCTGACGACACCGTGAGCCTGCCTTTGTACTTCAAACTCATGGAAGGATAACCACCTTCATGTTTTGAAATAAATGTTTCCTGTTGAAATGATTTTAGATTTTAGACAGAAATATTGAAAAGGCACTATAGTATCCTCCTATACCTTCCATCCAGCTGCCCCTAATAATGATGTTTTGCAGTCCCATGGCACATAAGAAATTTAGGCCGGGTGTGGTGGCTCACACCTGTAATCCCAGCAATTTGAGAGGTCGAGGTGGGAGGTTCAGGTTCACTTGAGTCTAGAAGTCTGAGACCAGCCTGGGAAACCTAGGTGGACCCGGTCTCTAGAGAAAAGTCAAAGAAATTAGCCAGGCATGGTGGCGTGTGCCTATAGTCCCACCTAGTCAGGAGGCTGAGGCAGGAGGATTGCTGGAGCCCACGAGTTCCAGGAAGCAGTGAGCCATGATTGCACCACTGCACTCCAGCCTGGGTGACAGAGTGAGACTTTATCTCTTAAAAAAATTTAAGAAATTTAATGTGGGTACAGTTCTATTAACTAAATAATAATGTGAACTATTATCTAAGGTTATGAAGGCTAGAATTATCCCATTTTTGCCTAACTTCTCGTACCTGTCCCAAGATCCCACCTTGGACTCACCCTCTGCCTTCAGCTCACGTCTCTTCAGCTTCCTCCACATGGTCCAGCAAACACACACCTGGGCTGAATGGTAGAGCTGATTGCTCATACACAAAGGTAGACCGGTGGGCAGGGATTTTCAGACTTACACAGTCAATGAGTTTTCCTTGGTGTTCTGGAGAGCACCGTTTGAGAAACACTTTGACAGTGAATCTAGGCCTCAAGATCCATCAGCTGCTCTAGCTTGAATTTTGCTCAAGCTCAGTGAACACCTGCTCTGCAGGGTGCACGTGAAAGGGGCAAGGAAGAGAAAGCTGTAGATAAAGAAGACAGGACGCAGGGGGTCTGTCTAAGCTCTATCCCCTGCCTTCAGCACTGAGGGATGAAATCCAACTCTTAGGGAACGGTGGCCACGTGCTGGGCCAGCCCCAGGCTCTCAGGATCTGACAGTGGGTGACGCAGAGCCAGGCCTTGCCCCTGGGGAGCTCTCCAGCATACACCTCCCTCTCCCCTCCCAGCGTGCCGCAAAGCAGGCGTCAACGCCATTGTTAATGCACGGAGGAGGAACCTGACTGTTAGACCTGGGTTTTCCAGGGTTGCACGGCTTCTGGGAGACGGATGTGACCCTGAGGACAGGGCACAGGCCAGTGTAATGCCAGGATGGGATGAGCTGTGATCTGTGCTGTATAGAGGCCTAGGCCAAGGTGGGACTGACGGATGACCAGGTCAGCCGGGTCACTGAAAACACTCTTGGGTCCTCACCTGCCGGTTCCCAGGAGTCCGGAACTGCCAGGAGAGTGGTGGCAGGTCCCCCATCCTCAGCTGGGTGGGCCTGGATAGAACAGCAAGGCGAGGGCACATTTCCCTGGCCATTCCCTCCAGGCACAGCTGTGACCTGTTCATTCCAAATTGGTGGAAGTATTTCCACACACACAGAACTGCAAATAGCAGTGGACGTGGTGAGAGGCGTTTGCACATGGGATAGGCAGGATTTTGGAGGCAGAGCCTCCAGGGCTTGCCGATGGGTTAGCTGCAGGGCTTGAGAGGGAACGGAGAATCCAGGATGATGTGTTCAAATCGGTCCATTCACCTCTTCCGTTCCACGCCTGTGCTGGGCACTGGGAGAGACAGATGCACACAGGAGCCCCGGCCGAGGGGAGGTGTGGGGGGAAGCCCAGAGTGTCTGGGCAGGGTAGGAAACCCAGAGCGTCTACTGGGAGCTGAAGGCTTAGGTCCACCTGGGTGCCGTCCAGGTTCTCTGCGTGTAGAAGTATAGGCTGAGCTTCCTGGAGGAGGAGTAGCTGCTGTTGCTGGTGACCAGCACATTCAGGAACGGAGACTACTCTGTCAACAGACAGGGGGATGACCTGAGGTCTGGATGGTCTAGGGGGTGGTAGGGCCCAGGAGGACCCAGGAAAGGGTCTCGGGGATGCAGAACATCCTATGGAGGGCATTTGGGAGTCAGTGCTCAGGTCACTCCGGGTCACTCAGGTCATTTGCCGGCCCCTGTCATAATTATTGCCATATGAGAGTGCCACCCGTCCTATGACATATTTTATATATTTCTGTGAATGGCCTACTTGTTTGTATTTATGAATTTATGTTTAAAGGATGGGCAGGGGTGCTCGAGAGGTCCCCAGGAGTTTCCCTCTGGGGAGAGAGGGGCCCACCCCTTCCCAGCAGCCCTCTGAGCCCCCCGATCGCTTGGCCACAGCCTCTGCCTGGAGAAAGCATCCCCCTCGGAGATATATGGACATCAGAAGAAACCTTTCTCTGTCACCAGGACAAATCCTGTTCTTATTTGAACCAAGGCCAGTTTTCCTAATGAATGCAGGGAGGACAGCACAGATCAATGAAACCAGCAGATAATCCACAAGACTGTTTCCCAGAGCTGGGAGATTTCCTTCCCTGCCAACACTTTTCCTGAAAGGTCTTAAGAATGAGGCAAACAGTTTAAGTCTCTCTTGCACTGTTCTTTTAGTGAAAGAGTTCAATGAGGAAGGAGAGGAAGTGGAGCATATGCTTAGTTTCCAAGCTGGAAAAGTGGCCCATGGTTAACCAAGACTAGATGTAAAAGCACAGGTGGCCGCGGGTCCAGGTGAGTCGGTCCTACGATGGCACGGCTGCTAATGCCAGCAGATGCTCCTGTCCTCTCCTTTCAAGACTGACTTCTTCTGGTCTTTCATTCGTTAAAATAAAATTGACAGGGCATCATCCAAGAAGCTCTACACTTTCCCTTACTTGGATTTCAGACTCTAGATTCTGCTGAGATTTGAGCTTCATGGTGAACACATTCTTGTTGTGCTTGCTGCTGAGGGGTGTGGAGGACAGAGAGATGGTGAAATGGCAAAGTGGCTCTTGAGCATGGGTGGGGGAAGCCCCCACATATCTGAGTCAGTGCCACCTGGACACTACCCTTGGAGCATCCTGCTGAGGTGGCCATTCAGGTTTTCTTTCCTTTCCTTTTATTCCACTGTTTCTGAATCACAAATAAAGATCCAAGGCAAACAGCACATTCAGATCCCCAAGCTCTCCACCTCCAATGTGACCAGGGACGTGCACCACTTCAGGCTCATGCAGGACCCACAGCCTTTGGACCTCAGCTAAGGGACCTGCTTCTCTTCAGCACACGGGGCTTGTTTGTGTTGGGGTCTGAGCCCTGAGCGCATGGTCAAGGAGACCCCCAGGTCTTTCTGAACAGAGACAGCTGGCCTGGCGGCCTCCCTCTCACTGCATGCAAGAGTCTGTTAGGGCGGCTGTCTTGCTTCTGTGTGTTGGGAAATTCAATTTAGGTACCTAAAAATGAAAAGTCCCAGGACATCTCCATGGCTTGGGATCCACAGGAGAGCATCATTGATGCTGGGGACAATTTAAACATATAGAAACCCACAGGGCTACCTTAGACAGGGCACAGGGCACAGCACCCGGGGATGCAGAGTGGAAAGTTCACCACTACAGCCTGGAATTGCCTCTGTGATGCCTTCTTCATGACACTTGGCTGCCTTCGTGGCTGGAAGGCTGAGGCCCAGATCCCAACATGGCCACAGGCTAGCAGCTTGCTTCACCTTCCTGAACTGCAATTTCTCCATCTGAGCCTCTCTCCTAAGAGGAGTGTGCAGGGTCACTTAGCCCATATGGGCCAGAAACCCCACACGGTGCCAGGCACACAGTAGGGCCTTGGCAGATGCTGCCCCCTTCTGTCTCCACCACCCTCCTGGGGCTCCCTCCTGAAACAGCCTCCCTCAGCGCCTTGAGTCTTGCACCCTAACAGCCTCTTGCACGCAGTGAGAGGGAGGCCCCCAGGCCAGCTGTCTCTGTTCAGAAAGACCTGGGGGTCTCCTTGACCATGGGCTCAGGGCTCAGACCCCAACACAAACAAGCCCCGTGTGCTGAAGAGAAGCAAGTCCTTTAGCTGAGGTCCAAAGGCTGTGAGTCCTGCATGAGCCTGAAGTGGTGCAGGTGCCTGGTCACACTGGAGGTGTAGAGCTTGGGGATCTGAATGTGCTGTTTGCCTCGGACATGAAACATCTCACAGACTGCCTGGAAGAAGGTGGAGCAGACTGGGGTTAATGGTCAGCAGCAGCAGCATCCCCACCACTGGGGCTATCCCTTTTTAGGCCTTTACCATGGGCCAAACACTGAGCCGTGGGCTTCGTGTAACTTCTAAGCACGCTTACCTGATAGAGTGCCAGCAAAGACTCAAAGAGGTGCCTGGGCTTGGCACATAGTAGCTATTGCTACTATTATGAATGTTGTTTTGTCTTTGTTTTTGTTTTGAGACAGGGCCTCACTCTGTTGCCCAGGTTGGAGTACAGCAGTGCCATCATAGCTCACTGAAGCCTCAACCTCCCTGGGTTTGAGCAATCCTCCCACCTCAGCCTCCCAAGTAGCTGAGACTACAGGTGTGCGCCACCAAGCCCAGCCAATTTTTTGTATTTTCAGTAGAGACTGGTTTTGCCAAGTCGCCCAGGCTGGTTTCGAACTCTGGGGTTCAAGCAATCTGCCCACCTCAGCCTCCCAAAGTGCTGGCATTACAGGCGTGTGCCACTGCGCCCAGCCATTATGAATGTCAATATTGACATGATCTTGTATCCTTATGCCCACACTGGGAGAGGTCTGATTGTCCCCATGTTCCTGGTGTGGAACCACATGGAAGAGGCCTATGTTATCCCAACAGTGCAGAAGCACAGCCTGAGTCTCTTCTTTGGCTGAGCCAAGGGTGTGCTGGAGAGGCCTGACAGAAGAAGGAGCGGCCCTTGTGACCAGTGCCCTTTTGGTTCACAAGGAACTTCTCCTCTTGTTGAAGTGACTTGGCTGAGCTTGCTACTTCTGCTTTGAGAGTCAAATATCAGGATCAAGACTTTAATTATCCCCAATTTACAGATGATGAAACCATATTGGGCAGGAAAGAAAGTCACCCCAGGAGAGCAAGTTGGACCTGAGCACTGGCTGAGGACAAAGGGGAATGATAATTTGGGATGTAACTTGTTAAGGGGTCTCACAAGTGTTCTTGTGATCCAGGTGTCGAGAGGATACAGCAGAAAGGTTGCCAGGGAGATGAGGGTAGGGTGCACCACAAGAGTGGGAGAAATTAAAGAGAACACGCAACAAAGCCTTGGGACACTGGGAGGGGGATGGACCACCCAGTTTTGTGCTATGGGAGAAGACAGCAAGAAAAGGAATCTGTGTTAAATCCCGACAGCCTGCATGAGAAGCAAATGCCCTTCATTTTCTTCATCAGCGGCGAGACTGGCATCCCTGCAGCTTTGGGAGACCATGCTAGTGTAGATGCCAGCTCACGCCAGCGGGCCTGACTGGGAGACCTTGGGCTGGGGTTCTGGTCTGGGGCTCCTAGGCCTGATGGGAGGAGAGTTCAGCCCCAGGTTTCCTGTACTTCAGCTCATATCCACACAATGGTCATTATTGAAATGAGAGACTCAAAAGAAGATGGAACGTGAACTTTTTTGTTGTCCCATGTGGACACCTGTGTTCGGTTTCCAGTTCTACCTCTTGCTGTCTGTGTGTTCTTAAGTAACTCACTTAAACCTTTCTGAGTCTCATTTTCTTCATTTATAAAATAAAAGACGTAACATTTATGTCAGATATTGTCCTGAGGATTAAATGGGAGAATGAACAAGCCTCTTCTGCATTCCCCTGGCATCCAGTGGGTGGAGGCCAGAGAAGCTGCTAAACATCCTGCCAGGTGCAGGACAGCCCCCATCACAAAGAATTGACCGGATCCTGATGTCAGTAAGGCAGAATTGAGGATCCTTGGTGTGGGGGAAAAAGAATAAACTCAGAAGCTTGGCAGATCTCAGTTCAAACCCTGGTTGTATCACCTCTAGCTGAGTGACCTTAGGCAGGTCTGTGAACTCTCTGAGACTCGGCCTCCTCATCGGTAGAATGAGGTAGATAAAAATGCCAAGCTCGGCCGGGCGCGGTGGCTCACGCCTGTAATCCCAGCACTTTGGGAGGCCGAGGCGGGTGGATCATGAGGTCAGGAGATCGAGACCATCCTGGCTAACAAGGTGAAACCCCGTCTCTACTAAAAATACAAAAAATTAGCCGGGCGCGGTGGCGGGCGCCTGTAGTCCCAGCTACTCGGGAGGCTGAGGCAGGAGAATGGCGTGAACCCGGGAAGCGGAGCTTGCAGTGAGCCGAGATTGCGCCACTGCAGTCCGCAGTCCGGCCTGGGCGACAGAGCGAGACTCCGTCTCAAAAAAAAAAAAAAAAAAAAAAAAAAGGTCTTAATTTTAAAAAATAGGCCAGGCGTGATGGCTCATGCCTGTAATTCCAGCACTCTGGGAGGCCAAGTCAGGCGGATGACATGAGGTCAGAAGTTCAAAACCAGCCTGGCGAACGTGGCGAAACCCTGTCACTACTAAAAATACAAAAATTAGGCCTGGCACTGTGGCTCATACCTGTAATCCCAGCACTTTGGGAAGCCAAGGCAGATGGATCACAAGGTCAAGAGATCGAGACCATCCTGGCCAACATGGTGAAACCCCATCTCTAAAAAAAAATACAAAAATTAGCTGGGTGTGGTGGCACATGGCTGTAGTCCCAGCTACTCGGGAGGCTGAGGCAGAAGAATCACTTGAACTTGGGAGGTGGAGGTTGCAGTGAGCTGAGATCCCAACACTGCACTCTAGCCTGACGACAGAGCAAGACTCCGTCTCAAAAAAAAAAATTTAGCCAGGAGTGGTGGCAGGCACCTGTAATCCTAGCTACTCAGGAGGCTGAGCCACGAGAATCACTTGAATCCGGGAGGCGGAGGTTGCAGTGAGCCGAGATCACGCCACTGCACTCCAGTCTGGGCGACAGAGAGAGACTCTGTCAAAAAAAAAAAAAACTCAAAATTCATTTTTATATAATTTCGATGACACCATAATCCTATTCTTTTGGACAGCAGTTAAGCAATAAGAATCAAGGAAAAAAATCTGATTTAATTGCTTCACTTTTAGAGAGCCAAAGCAAATAATATAAGATATAGCATGTATAAATTACCTTTGTGTCTTTTATATCATTTATATACTTTATCTTCAAGACATGAAAATGTATGCACAAAGATATTTTATATAACCATTTATAACCATACAACTTTTATAAAAGTCTGGCCGGCTGCAGTGGCTCTCACTTGTAATCCCAGCACTTTGGGAGGCCGAGGCAGGTGGATCACTTGAGGTTAGGTGTTCAAGACCAGCCTAGGCAACATGGTGAAACCCATCTCTACTTAAAAATACAAAAAATTAGCTGGACATGGTGGCGTGAGACTATAGTCCAGCTATTAGGGAGGCTGAGGTCGGAGGATCACTTCAGCCCAGGGGGTCGAGGCTACAGTGAGCTGAGGTCACACCACAGAACTCCAGCCTGGGTGACAGAGTAAGATCTCATCTCAAAAAAAAAAAAAAAAAAAAAGATCTGGCCGGGAGTAGTGGCTCACGCCTGTAATCCCAGCACTTTGGGAGGCCAAGGCAGGCAGATCACAAGGTCAGGAGATCGAGACCATCCTGACCAACATGGTGAAACCCCATCTCTACTAAAAATACAAAAAAGTAGCCGGATGTGGTGGCACAAGCCTGTAGTCCCAGCTACTCGGGAGGCTGAGGCAGGAGGATGGCGTGAACCCGGGAGGCGGAGGTTGCAGTGAGCCGAGATCGCACCACTGCACTCCAGCCTGGGTGACAGCGGGAGACTCCGTCTCAAAAAAAAAATTATAATAAAATAAAAATTCACTGAACATTAAAAGAAAATACACAAAATACGCTGGGCACAGTGGCTCACGCTTGTAATTCTAGCACTTTGGGAAGCCAAGGCAGGCAGATCATGAGGTCGGGAATTCGAGACCAGCCTCACCAACATAGTGAAACCCCATCTCTACTAAAAATACAAAAAAAAATAAGCCAGGCTTGGTGTGCGCCTGTAATCCCAGCTACTGGGGAGGCTGAGGCAGGATAATCGCGTGAAGCCAGGAGGCGGAGGTTTCAGTGAGCCAAGATGGCGCCATTGCATTCCAGCCCAGGCCACACTGCAAGACTCCGTCTCAAAAAAAAAAAAAAAAAAAACCACAAAATATATTAATAAGACTGTGGTAAGGATGGTAAGATTATGAGTGATTTCTTTCCTCTATTGCAAACTATACCATTTCCTTTATAATGTGAAGTGTTTTTTTGTTTTGTTTTGTTTTGAGATGGAGTCTCACTCTGTCACCTAGGCTGGAGTGCAGTGGCTCAATCTCGGCTCACTGCAACATACACTTCCCGGGTTCAAGCGACTCTCCTGCCTCAGCCTCCTGAGTAGCTGGGGTTACAGGTGCACACCACCGCGCCCGACTGATTTTTGCAGTTTTAGTAGAGATGGGGTTTCACTGTGTTAGTCAGGCTAGTCTCGAACTCCTGACCTCGTGATCTGCCCGCCTCAGCCTCCCAAAGTGCTGGGATTACAGGCGTGAGACACCGCGCCTGGTCTATAATGTGAAATTTTATAGAAAAATGTCGCTAAATGCTAATCAAGTCTGCCCACCAAAGATAAACCTATAATAAAACAGGGTGTCTCAGCAACAACAACAACAAAAAAAAAAAAAAAGAAAAGAAACCATAAGCCAAGCATGGTAGCACCAATCTGCAGTCCCAAATACTCAGAAGGGTGAGGCAGGAGAATCACTTGTGCCTGGGAGTTTGAGGCTGCAGTAATATAATCGCACCACTGCACTCCAGCCTGGGCAAAAGAGCAAGACTCGGTCTCAAATTAAAAAAAAAAAAAGATAGAATTTTTTAAATACTAAAAATACAACATGTGAAGTGAAAATTTCACTCGGCAAGCTTCACAACAACAAATCTGAGATGACAAAAGAGTCAGTGAACTTGAAGCTACATCGATAGATAGAATCTAATGTGAGGCCAGGCGCGGTGGCTCACACCTGTAATCCCAGCACTTTGGGAGGCCGAGATGGGTGGATCACCTGAGGTCAGGAGTTTGAGACCAGCCTGACCAACATGGAGAAATCCCATCTCTACTAAAAAATACAAAATTAGCCAGGTGTGGTGGCACACACCTGTAGTCCCAGCTACTCAGCAGGCTGAGGCAGGAGAATCGCTTGAACCAGGAGGTAGAGGTTGGGGTGAGCTGAGATCCCACCATTGCACTTCAGCCTGGGCAAGAAGAGTGAAACTCTGTCTCAAAAAAAAAAAAAAAAAAAAAAGAATCTAATCTGAAAGAGAAAATAGAGGTTAAACAAACAAACAAAAAACAGGGCTTCAGGGACCTACAGCACAGTACCAAAAGGTCTTACATACATAACCAAAGGCCTAAAAAAGAAGACAGAAAGAATATGAGGCAGGAAAGGAACTTTTGAAGAAATGATGGCTGAAATTTTCTTCAATTTGAAAAAAGACAAATCCACAGATTCAGGAATCTCAGCAAACCTCGAATAGTCAAATGCCTTGCTAAAAAGCAAACACAGAGGGAAAACTCTTGAAGCACCAAAAGAAAATGTCACATTACACAGAGGGAACCATGACTGGATAAACGGCAGATTTCTCATCATAAAATATGGAAGCCAAAAGAAAATAAACTAAAATACCCCTTGCTAAAAGATAAGGCACTGTCAACACAGAATTCTATATCCAACCACAATGCCCTTCAAAAATAGAGGTGAAATAGATACTTTCAGATAAAAGAAAGCAAGCACAATTTATCACCAAAAGATACGCCCTGCAAGAAAGGCTAAAGAAATTCTTCAGGATTAAGAGAAATGATGCTAGAAAATGCAAATCTTCAGAAGACAAAGAAGACTACCACAAATGGTAAATATCTGGGTAAACTTAGATGACTTTTAGCTCTTAAGTTCTTAACATTACATGATTATTGAAAGCCAAAATTACATTGTTGTTTTCTGGGGCTTATAATGTACATAGTTCCAACACACATGACAATAGCATAACTGACAACAAACAGAGGTGATATAAAAGAACAACTTACAAGCTTTGTATACTTTACAACTTGTACAATATTAGTCAGAAGTGGTAATACTATAAAAACAGACTGAAAAGAGTAAAGAAATATATTTAAATTGCTAGAGAAATGTGCCAAAGAATTAAGTTGAAACCCTTCCTGATATTAAAAAATTAATTCAAAAGTGAATCGCAGACCTAAATGTAAGAGCTAAAACAATAAAACTTTAGAAAAAAACATAGGAGGTAAGTCTTTAGGACTTGGTTGAACAACAGTTTTTAGACATAACACTAGATAAAAGTAGAGGCAACAAAAGAAAAAATAACTAGAATTTACCAAACCTACAGACTTTTTTGCTACAAACAAAATCATCAGGAAAGTAAAAGGATGGAAGAAATATTTACAAGTCATATGTCTGATAAGTAGTTTGTATCCAGAATACAGAGCTCTTCCACTCAGAAATAAAAAGCTATACAGCCCAGTTAAAAATTGAACAAAGGGGCCGGGCACGGTGGCTCACACCTGTAATCCCAGCACTTTGGGAGGCCTAGGCAGGGGGATCACCTGAGGTCAGGAGTTTGAGACTAGCCTGGCCATCATGGTGAAACTCCGTCTCTGCTAAAAATACAAAAATTGGCCAGGCGTGGTGGCGGGCACCTGTAATCCCAGGTACTCAGGAGGCTGAGGCAGGAGAAGCGCTTGAACCCGGGAGGCAGAGGTTGCAGTGAGCCAAGATATCACACCACTGCACTCCAGCCTGAACAACAGAGTGAGACTCTGTCTACAAAAGAATATAATGAAAAAAGATAAGTAAAAATCAACACCACAATGAGATACTACCTCATGCCCTGTAGGATAGCTAAAATCAAAAGCCAAACAATAAAAAATGTTGGCAAAGAGATGGAGAAATTAAAACCTTCATATATTGTTGCTGGTAATTTAAAATGTTACAGCCTCTTTGTCAGTTTTTCAAAAGGTTAAACAGAGTTGCAGCATGAAACAAAAATCCTAGGCCCAAGAGAATTGAAAACAAATGTCTGGATTTGCAGACAAATGTTCATAATAATAACATTATTCATAATATTGCAAAAGTATATACAACCTAAATGTTTATCAATTAATGAATGAGTAAAGAAAATGTAGTATAGCCATGCAATAGAATATTATTTGACAACAAAAAGGAATGAAGTTCTAATAAATGCTACAAAACAAATGCTTGTACATGATGCTAGGAGAAAGAAGCCACTCACAATACACCAAATGATTCCATTTATATGAAATGTGACAAATAGGGATGGAGACAGAATGAAGATTAGTGATTGCCAGGAGCTGGGCAAGTAGGGTAATGGAGAGTGACTGTTAATGGGCCAAAGGGCTTCTTTTTGAGGGGATCCAAGTGTTCTAAAATTGATTGTAGTGACGTAGAGACTCTCAAAAAAAAATAGTGTATTAGCACACATAGAAAAGTAAAACTCAATCACAAGGTGTCTGTAAGAAACACACTTTAAGGGAAGACACAAACAGGTCCAAAGTAAATGGATAGGCTGGGTGCGCGGTGGCTCATGCCTGTAATCCTAGCACTTTGGGAGGCCGAGGCGGGCACTTGATCACTTGAGGCCAGGGGTTTGAGACTAGCCTGGCCAACATGGCAAAGCCCTGTCTCTACTAAAAATGCAAAAATTAGCCAGGCATGGTGCCACACACCTATAATCCCAGCTACTAGGATGGCTGAAACAGGCAAACTGCTTGAACCTGGGAGGCAAATGCTGCAGTGAGCCGAGATCACACCACTGCACTCCAGCCTGGGTGATAGATTAAAACTCCATCTCAAAACAAACAAACAAACAAACAACAACAAAAAGATGGTGAGTGGCTACATAGTAAAGAGAGGGAGGGACATTTCACAGTAAGTCAGACAATGAAGAAGTCATAATAATTATAAATGTATGCACCTAAAAACAAGGCTTCAAAATACATGAAGGAAAATTTGGCATAAGGCATAAACAGTCAGAATACTCAGTGCCCCAAACATGGTAAGATATTTTAGCATCCCTCTTTGTGATTGACAAAACCAGACCAAATAATAATAGTCATCATCATCATCTAGCAATGTTAAAACCACTATAAACATTCTTTTCAGGTAAACTTGGTGCATTCCCCATGAAAGACCACATACTGAGCCACAAAGCTGGACACAATAGAATGAAAATAATGGGAATCATACAGATTATGTTCCCTAACCACATTAGAAAAAAAGATATGAAATGAATGACCTAGCAGCCGGGTGCGGTGGCTCACGGCTGTAATCCCAGCATTTTGGAAGGCCAAGGCAGGCGGATCACCTGAGGTCGCGAGCTCAAGACCAGCCTGGCTAACATGGTGAAACCCCTTCTCTATTAAAAATACAAAAATTAGCTGGGCGTGGTAGCGGATGGCTGCAATCCGAGCTACTCAGGAGGCTGAGCTGAGGCAGGAGAATCGCTTGAACCTGGGATGCGGAGGTTGCAGTAAGCCAAGATTGCATTACTGCACTTTAGCCTGGGTGGCAGCGCAAAACTCTGTCATAAAATAAAATAAAATGAAATGAAATGAAATGAAATGAAATAATGAAATGAAATGAAATGAAATGAAATAAAATAAAATAAAATAAAATAAAATAATAAAATAAAATAAAATAAAATATGTAGGGTTCTACCTAAAGAACCTATATATAAAAGGGTAAAGTAAACCCAAAGTAAGTAGAAAAAAAAAAAGAAATAGTAAAAATAAGAGCAGAAGAAATGAAACAGAAAAGTAACAGAAAATTTGAAGTCAAAGCTGGTCCTTTTGTCAGAGACCTCTGAACCAGAGTGCTTCTATCTTGAACAGGTGCTGGGTCAAATAAGGCTGAGTCCTGCTGGGCTGCATTCCCAGTAAGTCATGCATTCTAAGTCACAGAATGAGATAGGAGGCTGGCACAAGATACAAGACAGAAAAACCTTGCTGATAAAACAGGTTGTAATAAAGAAGGGGGCCAAAACCCACCAAAGCCAAGATGGTGATAAAACTGACCTCTGGTCATCCTCACTGCTCATTATACACTAATTATAATACATTAACATGCTAAGAGACACTCCCACAAGCGCCATGAGTTTACAAATGCCATAGCAATGCCAGCAAGTTACCCTATATAGTCTAAAAAGGGGAGGAACCACTAGTTCTGGGAATAGCCCACCCCTTTCCCAGAAAACTCATGAAGAATCCACCCCTTGTTTAGCATACAATCAAGAAATACTCATAAAAATGGGAAACCAGTGGCCCATGGCACTGCTCTGCCTATGGACTAGCCATTCTTTTATTCTTTTACTTTCTTAATAAACTTGCTTTCACTTGATGAATCCGCCCCAAATTCTTTCTTGCATGACATCCAAGAACCTCTCCTTGGGGTCTGGATTGGGACCCCTTCTGGTAACACGTTGGAAAGACCTACAAAGTTGACAGTCTGCAAGCGAAATTAATTTATTTTTAAAGAGGAAGAATACAAATTACCAAGAATAAAAGGGGAATTAGCTCTACGATCCCAAAGGTATTGAGGGCCAAAGATTATTATTAATGACTTCATGCTAACTAATTCAACAGCTGAGATGAAAAGAAGAAATTCTTTGAAAACAAAACTTATCAAAACTGATAAAACAGAATATCTGAGAAGCATTTTAAGTTGAATTATCAAAATCCTTTCCAAAAAGAAAACTCTAGACTCAGATTTTTTCACTGATAAGTTCCTTCAAACACTAAAGAAAAAATAGCATCAATCTCACACAAACATTTCCAGAAAACAGAGAAGACAATGCTTCCCAAATCATTTTCTAAGTTGAGCATGAAGAATACCAATGCATATGCCAAAAATACCAGCACCTGACAAAAAGCAGCAAGGTTACACCAAAATCCCTCACATACAAAGATGCGCAAATATTTACTATTAGCAATTTAAATCCAACAATATATTAAGAGGAATAGGCCAGTTGCGATGGCTCACACAGATTACGAAAGTAATCCTGGCACTTTTGGAGGCCAAGGCGGGAGGATCACTTGAGGTCAGGAGACCTGCCTGGCCAACATGGTGAAACCTTGTCTCCACGAAAAAAATTAGCTGCTCATGGTGGCACGTGCCTGTAATCCCAGCTACTCCGGAGGCTGAGGCAGGAGAATCACTTGAACCCAGGAGGCGGAGGTTATAGTGAGCAGAGATTGTGCCACTGTACCCATCTCCAAAAAAATAATAATAATAATAATACACCATGACACCAAATGGCATTTAGTATAACATTTGAAAATAAAACAATGAAATTTACATTAATATATTTAAATATATAGCATTATCTCAATAGATACAGAAAAAGCTTCTGAGAAAACTCAATATCCATTCAGGACATAAACCCTCAGGAAGCTAGGGCTAGACCTTACTCAACTGTGTATTCTCCATGGCATGGCATGATTATTCCTCTTAGGGTCTGTGACTATAACTATCTTTTCAATGGCAGTTATGTTGGGTTCTGTTGTCCTTGTCATATCTAAACAGTAATAAAACCTATATTTGAAAACAATCTGATAAAGTTCATCAATAAAACCCCTACAGCTGACTTATAATTAGTGGTGTAACACTGAATGCTGTATTCAAAGAATGAAAACAAGATTAAGTCAATTCTGTGAGGGAAGAGAATAAAAGGCATTACAACTAGGGAAAAAAAGAGATAAAACTGTGTTTTATGACAATCATCTATTAGAAAAATCTAAGAAATGTACCTAAAAAAACTCGTAGAATTAATATGACTTAAGGTTGTAAGAAACGGGTCAATATACAAAAATTCTATTTCCAACAAAAAATTAGAAATTTTTATAATACTTCATAATTGCTGAAAAAGTATTTAATATTTTAAAATACAAATAGCATCAAAAAAAGACAAAATACTTAAAAATAAAAATAATTTTAGGCCAGGCGTGGTGGCTCATGCCTGTAATCCCAGCAGTTTGGGAGGCCGAAGCAGGCAGATCATTTGAGATCAGGAGTTGACCAGCCTGGCCAACGGGGTGAAACCCCATCTCTACTAAAAATATAAAAATTAGTTGGGCTTAGGGTACATGCCAGTAATCCCAGCTGCTTGGGAGGCTGAGGCAGGAGAATTGTTTGAACCCAGGAGATGGAGTGAGCCAAGACTGGGCCACTGCACTCCAGCTAGGCGACAGAGTGAGACTCTGTCTCAACAAAAAGGAAAAAAAATAAGTAATTTTAAAAACAGAAGACATGCGAGACCAAAGGCTAAAAGCAACAAACGACTGCTCAGACAAAACAAAAAAGACCTAAATAAATGGAGAGATATACTATACTAATGACTAAGACTCAGTGGTTGTTAAGATGTCAGTTCTCCTCAAACTGATCAACAGATTCAAGACAATTACAATCATGATCCCATCAGCCTTTTTTGGAGAAGACAGAAAAGAGATGATTAAAATTTATACGGAAATGTGAAGGACGTAGAGTATGCAGAACTTCGAAAAAGAAGAAAAAGGTTTTAGGACTTGCAATTCTGACTTCAAGACAATATAAAGTTACCAAATAATCCGAATACTCTAACAGGGCTAGACAAACAGATTTTTGAAGCAGAATAAAGATTTCTGAAAGAGATCCCACTTAGGCAGCCACGCGATGTTCCCAAAGCAACCCGGTGAGAAAAGGAGACTCTTTTCAACAAATGGTGACAAACAACTGGATAGCCACATGCAAAAAACTCAGACCTACAAAAATAACTTCAGACGCATCACAGACCTAAATATAAATTAGCAAAAGCAAGCCCTTTTACAGGAAACAAAGGAAATTACCTTCAAGACTTTGAGGTTAGGCAAAAGTGTCTTAGCTCACAGTAAGCAATAACTACAAAAGAAAACACTGATAAATTAAACCTAGCAGATATAAATATTTCTGCTCATCAAAAGGTACAGTTAAAATAAATAGGCCGGGCGCGGTGGCTCACGCCTATAATCCCAGCACTTTGGGAGGCCGAGGCGGACGGATCACGAGGTCAGGAGGTCGAGACCACGGTGAAACCCCGTCTCTACTAAAAACACAAAAAGTTAGCCGGGCGTAGTGGCGGGCGCCTGTAGTCCCAGCTACTCGGGAGGCTGAGGCAGGAGAATGGCGTGAACCCGGGAGGTGGAGCTTGCAGTGAGCCGAGATCGCGCCACTGCACTCCAGCCTGGGTGACAGAGCGAGACTCCGCCTCAAAAATAAATAAATAAATAAATAAATAAATAAATAAATAAATGGGTAAACCACATAGACTTGGGGAAAGTATTTACAAAACATTTGTCTAACAAAGGATGAGTATTTAGGACATATAAACACCTTCTGCAACTCAAATAGATGAAAAACGAAAACAAAGAACAGTAAAGGCAAAATGAACAAACTCATCACAAAAGAGAACACACAAATGGCCAACACACAAGCTAAAACGTGCTCAATATCACCAGTTATCATGAAAATGTAAATTCAAACCACAGTGATACCACTTCTGGTCAAGATGGAGTGAATAAAGGGGACCAGATTTAGCCTCCTTGCGTGAAATAATAAAAACCTAATAAAATGAATGAAACAACAGCACTGAAGATATTGGACAAGTAACAAAAGACAGTGATCCCTGGAAGACAAAAAACAAACGGGCCACACGTGTGCCCAGCTTACTGCCTTGAGAGAGTTTTCCAGGTCGTGGAACAGGGAGGAGGAACCCAGGCAGAGCCTGTCGTCTCCCCAAGTTGAGGAAATGGAGCTGGAAGTCCAAGGAGGCCAAGGTGCCTAGAGCTCACAAGGGAGACCAGCACTGAGTAGAGAGCTGGAGAGAGAGAGAGAAATGAAGAGATCTACAAGGGCTCACCCTAGAACTTTTGGTTGAATGACAAATCAGCACTTGCAATGTAAAGGAGCTGTCCAAGGGCAAGGTGAGAAATCACCAAAACAATTAGACGTAATAGCATCCAGGACTGACTTAAGGATGTGTATAGTACCCACACCCAAAAGTCCAAAAGGAAATGACGTGATATAATTTATATCACATTGGAGATGTGACATTGGAATACTAAGAAAGAAAAGGCTTCAGAAGGAGGAAAAATTTAACCCTAAACACAACCCTGGTCCAATCAAGGAAAACATAAAAGACCCAACAGAAAGAAACTGTTTTCAAGCAACTTAATAATGCCACAGAACAAAGTCCACAAATATTTTTAAAAGGCAAACAAAACTAGAGAAACTAGAAAACAAGGTAAAATTCACACTGGCTCAAAAGCCAATCCAAATTTATAAGACTTACATAGAAGCAGGAAATTATACCCCATAATGAAACAAAAAACAAACCAATTTTGAAATGAAACAGAAAATAGAATTGGTAGACAAGTCCTTTAAAACAATTATGATGATATTTCATATGATGAGAAGGCTAGAAGAAACAACATATTAAGTAAAAATATGAATTATTTTTAAAATTTGAACTTCTAAAGATGAAAATTACAAAGTCTAAGATGAAAAATACACTTTGAAATTTGCAACACATGAAATCAAAATTACTAACCTAAATGAAACACAGAAAAAAACACTAAAAAATGTAATACGTGATAATTGAAATAACTTCAAGAGGCCAAACATATTTGTAACTAGAGCCACAAAACAGGAGATAATATTGAAAAAAATTTTTTAGAAATCATGGCCAACAACTTTTCACATATTTGAGGGAAATTATAAGCATATATAACAAGGCACTCTTTTAATGAATTATCATTCGCTAGAAACATGAAGAAAAGTGGCTGAGCGCAGTGGCTCATGCCTGTAATCCCAGCACTTTGGGCAGCCAAAGTGGGAAAATCGCCTCAGGCCAGGAGTTCGAGACCAGTGTGGGCAACGCTGCAGAACCCATCTCTAAAAACATACATACCCCCCCCCCACACACACACACACACACACCACACACATGAAAAATGGCCTGGCATGGTGGCTCACGCCTGTAATCCCAGCACTTTGGGAGGCCGAGGTGGGCAGGTCACCTGAGGTCGGGAGTTCGAGACCAGCCTGACCAACATGGAAAAACCCCATCTCTACCAACAATACAAAATTAGCTGGGCATGGTGACTCATGCCTGTAATCACAGCTACTCGGGAGACTGAGGCAGGAGAATTGCTTGAACCCGGAAGGTGGAGATTGGGGTGAGCCAAGATCGTGCCATTGACTCCAGCCTGGGCAACAAGAGCAAAACTCCGTCTCAAAAAAAAAAAAAAGAATTAGCCACGGGTAGTGGCACACACCTGTGGTCCTTCCAGCTACTCAGGAAGGCTAAGGCAGAAGGAGGTCAAGGCCATAGTGAGCCATGACTATGCCACTGCACTCCAGCCCAGGTGACAGAGTAAAAGCCCATCTCCAAAAAACAGGGTAAACCATGACCAAAATGACTACAATCAGAAATTAAAATTCCAGTGCAGCCAAGAAAAAGATCTTATTACACACTACAAAATCAAAAGAAAGTTGAAATCGTTATAATACTATCATGTAAAGTGGACAAAAATAAAAATTTTATCAGGAAAAAAGAGCATCATTTTATATACATTAAGGGTTTAATTCATCAAGAACACACAAAAATCCTAAACATTTATTTACCTATTAATAACAGGGCTTCAAAATAAATAAAGCAAAAATGAGAGAACTGTAAGAAGAAATGAAAGAATCCACAATTATATTTTAAAATTTCAGCAAACCTCTCTGTGTAATAGAACCAGGCCAGGCATGGTGAATGACACTTGTTATCCCTGAACTTTGGAAGGCCGAGACAGGATTGCTTGATCACAGGAGTTCAAGACCAACCTGAGCAACACAGGGAGACCCTGTCTCTACAAAAAGAGTTTTAAAAATTAACTGGGTGGGCCAGGCGTGGTGGCTCACACCTGTAATCCCAGCACTTTGGGAGCCAGAGGCAGGCGGATCACCTAAGGTCAGCAATTCAAGTCCAGCCCAGCCAACATGGTGAAACCCTGTCTCTACTAAAAATTCAAAAATTAGCCGGGCGTGGTGGCACACAACAGTAATCCTAGCTACTCGGGAAGCTTAGATAGGAGAATCGCTTCAACCCAGGAGATGGAGGTTGCAGTGAGCCGAGATCATGCCACTGCACTCCAGCCTGGGCGACAGAGAGAGATTCCAGACCAGCAGACAGAAAATCAGTAAGGATACAGAAGCTTGAATAACACCAAACTGACCTAACTAACTTTAGAACACTCTACACAACCTACCAGAATACACATTCTGTTCAAGTGCATTTGGAACATTCACCAAGATATACCATATTCGGGCCAAAAAAAACAACTCTTGGTACATTTAAAAGGTTTGAAGTCTTATCATGATTTTTTTCTTACCACTATGATATTTAGAAATCAGTGACAGAAAAAAAAATCAATAGGCAATCCCCATATTTGAAATCAAAACATACTTTTAAAATAACCAATGGGGGCCAGGAGCTGTGGCTCACGCCTCTAATTCCAGCACTTTGGGAGGTCGAGGCAGGTGGATCACAAGGTCAGGAGTTCAAGACCGGTCTGGCCAAGATGGTGAAACCCCGTCTCTTCTAAAAATACAAAAATTACCCGGGCATGGTAGCCGGCGCCTGTAACCGCAGCTACTCAGGAGGCTGAGGCAGAGAATTGCTTGAACCCGGGAGGCGGAAGTTGCAGCAAGCCAAGATCACGCTGCTGCACTCCAGCCTGGGCGACAGAGCGAGAATCTGTCTCAAAATATAAAATAAATAACATAACATAACATAACATAACCCATAACACCAAGGGGTAAAAAAAGGACAAATATATCAAGTATTTTAAGACAGTTAAAGCAGTGATTGAAAGAGAAATTTATACAATTACATGACTATATTAGAAAAGAAACAAATCAGTGACTTCACCTTGTTCCTTAAGAAACTAGAAGAGCAAAAGAAAGATCGAGCAGAAGTCAATGAAATAGAAAACAGAAAAATAGGGCACACTCAGTGAAATCAAAGGTTAGACTTACACTTCTGGGACGATGGAATGGACATACTTTTCCCTATTCCTCCCACTAAGTACAAATTTAAAATGTGAACATTGTAAATAAAACGAATATTCTCTGAAAGGTGGAGAGAAGGCAAATTAGCTCAGGATCACAGGACACAAGGCACAATATAGCAGTAAATTCCCTGGGTATTCTTCTTTTTGCCTAATGTATCCTACTCCTGGAATGGAAGAAGTGAGTACATCAGGACACCGATGAACACAGACCAAAAAAAAAAGAATCCCCAACAGGGCCCGGCGCGATGGCTCACGCCTATAATCGCAGCACTTTGGAAGGCCGAGGCGGGTGGATCACCAGAAGTCAGGAGTTGGAGACCAGCCTGGCCAACATGGCAAAACCCCGCCTCTACTAAAAATAAAAATTAGCTGGGCGTGTTGGCCGGTGCCTATAGTCCCAGCTACTCCGGAAGCTGAGGCACGAAAATCGCTTGAACTTGGGAGGCGGAGGTTGCAGTGAGCAGAGATGGCGCCACTGCACTCCAGACTGGGTGATAAAGATGGTCTCCAAAAAAAAAAAACAAACAAAAAAACTAAAACAGTTGTTTAAGTAAGATGCATAGTCTCATGACAACACAAAAATGCCCAGGTTTCAATCAAAAGTTATTTGTGATACCAAAAAGATATGAAGAATCCAGAAGATTTCAAATTGAATGGAAAAAGGCAATAAACAAATGCAAACATCAAGATATCTTAATTCTAATATCTCACAGATACATCAGAATTAACTGAAAAAATTTTTTGTTTGTTTGTTGTTGCTTTTTGTTTGTTTGTTTCTTGAGACGGAGTCTCGCTCTGTTGCCCAAGCTGGAGTGCACTGGCATGATCTCAGCTCACGGCAAGCTCTGCCTCCCAAGTTCAAGCGATTCTCCTGCCTCAGCCTCCTGAGCAGCTGGGATTACAGGTGCCGCCATCGCTCCTGGCTAATTTTTGTATTTTTAGTAGAGACGGGTTTTCGCCACGTTGGCCAGGCTGGTTTTGAACCCCGGACCCCAGGTGACTAACCCACCTTGGCCTCCCAAAAACAATTTTTAGGCCGGGCATGGTGGCTCACGCCTGTAATCTCATCACTTTGGGAGGCCGAGGTGGGTGGATCACCTCAGGTCTGGAGTTGGAGAACAACAGCCTGACCAACATGGACAAACTCCGTCTCTACTAAAAATACAAACTTAGCCGGGCATGGTGGCACATGCCTGTAATCCCAGCTACTTAGGAGGCTGAGGCAGGAGAATCACTTGAACCTGGGAGGCGGAGGTTGCAGTGAGCTGAGATCACGCCATTGCACTTCAGCCTGGGCAACAAGAACGAAAGTTTGTCTCAAAAAAGAAGAAAAAAAAATTCAGCGGAACAAATATCCAAACCATATCAATGAACTAAAATAAGCAGATATAAAATACAATAAAGAAAAATGGTTTTGGCGTAGTGAATTGGGGTAGAAAAAAAATACGACAAGAAAAATGGGATTCCAAAAATGTTCAAGTAACTCAAAAGAAAGCAGGAAAAAGAACAATCAAAAAACTAAAACTAAAACGAGGCGTGGTGGCTCAGACCTGTTATTCTAGCACTTTGGGAGGCCAAGGTGGGTGAATCACCTAAGGCCGGGAGTTCAAGACCAGCCTGGCCAACATGGTGAAACCCCAACTCCACTAAAAATATAAAAATTAGCTGGGCGTGGTAGCACATGCCTGTAATCCCAGCTACTTGGGAGACTGAGGCACAAGAACTGCTTGAACCCGGGAGGCAGAGGTTGCAGTAGGCCAAGATTGAGCCACTGCACTCCAGCCTGGGCAAGAGTAAAACTTTGTCTCAAAAAAAAAAAAAAAAAAAAAAAAAAAAGGATTCTGACAACATCTGTAAGTATGTAAATGACCCAAATACCTAAAAACAGCAAATAAAAGACAAAAACTGGCCAGGTGCAATGGCTCACAACCATAATCCAAGCACTTTGGGAGGCTGAGGAGAGCAGATCACTTGAGGTTCGGTGTTCGAGACCATCCTGGCCAACATGGTGAAACCCTGTCTCTACTAAAAATACAAAAAAAAAAATTTAGGCAGTCATGGTGGTGGGCACCTGTAATAGCTACTCTGGAGGCTGAGGCAGGAGAATTGTTTGAACCCACTAGGCAGAGGTTGCAGTGAGCCGAGATCATACCACTGCACTCCACCCTGGGTGACAGAGTGATGAACTCCGTCTCAAAAAAAAAAAAAAAAAGAAAAAGACAAAGATTGACAAACTAGATTTAAAAAACATAACCTACAGCCAAGCATGGTGGCTCACGCCTGTAATGCCAGCACTTTGGGAGGCCATGACAGAAGGGTCTCTTGAGCCCATGAGTTCGAGACCAGGCTGGGCAACATAACAAGACCTCGTCCCTACAAATAATAAAAAAATTAGCCGGGTGTGATGGTGCACATGTGTGGTCCCAGTTACTTGGGAGGCTGAGGTGGGGGAATTGTTTGAGCCCAGGAGGTCCAGGCTGCAGTAAACCATGATTGTGCCACTGCAGTCCAGCCTGGGTGACAGAGCAAGACCGTGTCTCAAAAAAAAAAAAAAAAAAAGGCCAGGCACAGTGACTCACACCTGTAATCCCAGCACTTTGGGAGGCCAAGGAAGGCAGATCAAGAGGTCAAGTGTTCGAGACCAGCTTGGTCAACATCGTGAAACCCGGTTTCTACTAAAAATATAAAAAATTAACCAGGCATGGTGGCGGGCACCTGTAATCCCAGCTACTCGGGAGGCTGAGGCAGGAGAATTGGTTCAACCCGGGAGGTGGTGGTTGCAGTGAACCAAGATGACGCCATTGCACTCCAGCCCAGGTGACAGTGCAAGATTCCATCTCAAGAAAAAAAAAAAAAAGAAAGAAAGAAAGAAAACATAACCTAACACTGTTTTGTGTACAAGACATTTACTTCGAATATAACAATCTAAGCACATTGAAAGCAAAAAAAAAAAAAAAATTCAAAAGGTATATGATGCAACCATTCACTAAGGAAAAGTGGATGACTATATTAATATCAGAAACAGTATACTTCAGAGCAAAGAAAAAGTACTAGAGACTAAGAAGGAAATTATTTATTGAGAGAGGGGTCAATCCACCAAGAGGACATAACATTCCTAAATGTGTATGCAGCAAAAAACCAGACTACGAAATCTGTGAAAGAAAACCTGATGGAACAGAATGAAGAAATACACAAATCCACTATAGAGACTTCAGTATTTCTCTGTAACAACTGTTAAAACTATACATATGATCACAGCAAGAGTATTTACTTCAACCCCATGAACTAACTGGATCCATGGACATTTACAGGACATTCCACCCAGCAAGAGTGGAATACTTTTTTTTTTTTTTTTTGACAGAGTCTCACTCTGTCGCTCAGGCTGGAGTACAGTGGTGCAATCTCAGCTCGCTGCAACCTCCGCTTCCTGGGTTCAAGCAATTCTCCTGCCTCAGCCTCCCAAGTAGCTGGGACTACAGGCATGTGCCACCATGCCTGGCTAATTTTTGTATTGTTTTTGAGTAGAGATAGGGAGACTCCGTCTCAAAAAAAGAAAATAGCCAAAAGTGATGAACAGGGGATATATAAAGGTACTACTGCTTGTCTCAGCAGCACATATACCAAAATTGAATCAATACAGAGAAGATTAGCATGCTCCCTGCACAGTGATGACATGCAAATTCTTAAAGTGTTCCATATTTTTAAAAAAAGATACCAAATAAGCACCCGAAAAGATGGTCAACATCATTAGCCACTAAGTAAATACGTATTAAAAACACAATGAGGTGTGTGTAGTGGTCTGTAATCCCAGCACTTTAGGAGACCAGTCTGGAGCATGACTTGAGCTCAGAAGTTCAAAACCAGCCTGAGCAACATAGCAAGACCTTATCTCTTCAAAAACATATTTCTAAAAACATTGGCTGGGTGTAGTGTAGCACACACCCATAGTCCCAGCTACTCAGAGGGTTAAGGTGGCAATGAGACATGATCATGACACTGCCCTTCAAAGCCTAGGTAACAGAGCAAGACCCTGTCTCAAAAATAATAATAATAATAATAATAATACACACAATGAGATATCAC